>NC_000003.12:140069210-140372240 GCF_000001405.40 Homo sapiens
ATAACCCTCCCTCTCTGTATATAGCAAAACAAGTCTCTCACCTTTGGTGGGTTTGGTCTGGAGTCAGTGGCTGCCGGAAATTATACTAAGTGCACCATGTTAACTTGGCTATCAGGAGCATCCTGGGTACAGCATGACACCAAGACACCAGATCAATGGTAGGGCCTGGATAGACCTCTCCTGTTGAGATGCTGAGACCCCTGCAGAAAGCAGACCCCAACTAGTGGGAAGGGGGAGTGCACAATTTTCCATGGGCTTCATGGGCAGTGATGGAGGCTGGTTGATGCTAGTTGATTGTATAAGAAGTAAGTATGACCCTTCCATGCCTGAATGACAAGCTCCATATCATAAGAGTGGATTTCAGCTTTTATGCTTTGTCTCCACTAATCCCTATAGCCATGCTTGGGAGGTGTTCATGTTGCCCTTTTACTGTGAGAAAGCTGAGGTCAGAGAAGTTCACATCTTCCCTTATAGCGCATGTTGGCAAAGGCAAGATTTAAACTTGATTTAGCTAGACTCTGAAGTCTGTGTCCTTCCTCCATCCCATGCTGCTTCTCTCCATGAGGCTAGGACTACAGGGTTGATAGAGGGTCAGCAGGGGGCACTGGCAGGAGATTAGGATGTAGCTGGGAGTGCATGGATCAGACAATCCATGATCTCAATAAGCAGTTAGAACAAGGCTATATGGGAAGGAAGTGAGAAGACACCTCAGCATGAAAGTTAGGGAAAGTTGTTTGAGAGCAAGATTGATGGCCTCAGACCTTCTGGAATGCTTTAGCCTTCAGGTAGCACTGCCTGCATGGATGACAGTGGGAAAGTGCTCCATAAACCTGACCATCACACCTACTCTTGGATAGCCTGAGCAGGTCAGTGGCTCTCACTGTCTTTGGTCCTGCTGTCAGCACATTTGTGGTCACCTATATTTTGATTTCATTTAGATGCCAGATTCCATTTAGATAACAGCATCCTTGCCTTTACCTATCTTAAGTCAGAGATCTCATATTTGGTGCAGAAGAATGAATGTTGATCTTGAAGTTCTGGTGAAAGACGTAGACTCTCTTCCTAGAAAAATATACTTTTTCACAAATGTTGCATACAATTTCAGGAGGTATATAGCTCCCATAGGATTTCTCCATCAACCTCATGGAGGTCTACAGACCTCATTATAAGCCTTGTATTAAACTAGGAGGTTGACTCCTGATGTCTGTGCATCTTGAACAAAAACCAAAGGGAACAAACAATTTCATATGCAATGATAAACAAATAGAAAAACAGACAAAATACACTAAGCTTAACAAGAAATGTTCAGGAGCTATAGGAGAAAACTTCAAAATCTTACTGAGGAACAAAATCAAAGCTGTGACTAAGTAGAAAGAGTATATTTTTTGGATGGCCAGATTTGATACTTAAAAATGTTAATTTCCCAGCTATTAACTATTACATTGTAAGCAATCCCAAACAATAGTCCCAAAAGGTTTGTTTTTTCTTGGTGGGAAGAGTTTCCAAAATGATACTATGGCTCATTCAGAAGAGGGATTGGCAGTCTGTGGCTTGCTCAAATCCAGCCCACTGCTGTTTTTGTAAATAAAATTTTATTAGAACACAGCCACTATCATTTGGTTATGTATGGTCTGTGGCTGTTTTCCAGCTACAAAGGCAGAGTTGAGTAGTTACTACAGAGACTGAATGGGTCACAAAAGTCTAAATTATTTATTATCCATCCCTTTAAGAAAAAGTTTGCAGATTTCTGATCCAGAAAATTAAGCCCATGAGAAGACCTGTGAAAACGTAAAAAAAGAAGATTGGCACGGCAAGACTAGCCTTATCGAATTTCAAATGTTTTATAAATACACACTACTTACTGGCACAGGAATAGACAAATAGTTCAGTGCAACAGAAAAGTGCAGAAATAGGTACAAATATTGGGAGAACTTACATCTAGTATATGTTAACTTGACATTTCAAATGAGCAGGAAAAGATGGATTATTCAATAATAAACTATGTTGATATTTGGAAAAAGGGAAAGACATTGCAATACCTTCCGCATGCTTTCTAGACAAGAAATTCTAGATGGGTACAATAGTCAGTAAAATCACAAAAAGGTTACAGAAAAGGAGGGTTGATGTATTTTATTCTAAAAAAAAAATCCTGTTCAATACCTTTACTTTAGAGAAGCCAACAGAGACATGAAAAACAAGACCAAGTATTCCCCACATGAAAGATAAAGAAATGTTATGCAAAGATGACTAACAAATGAGAAAATCAATAAACAATCCAATAGAAAATCAGCAAAGAGCATCAATAGGCAATCCATACATACACAATAAAAAATGAAAAAGGCCGGGCGCAGTGGCTCACGCCTGTAATCCCAGCCCTTTGGGAGGCTGAGGCGGGTGGATCACCAAGTCAGGAAATTGAGACCATCCTGTCTAACACGGTGAAACCCCATCTCTACTAAAAATACAAAAAATTAGCCGGGCGTGGTGGCGGGCGCCTGTAGTCCCAGCTACCCAGGAGGCTGAGGCAGGAGAATGGCATGAACTCGGGAGGCGGAGCTTGCAGTGAGCCGAGACTGCGCCACTGCACTCCAGGCTGGGGGACAGAGTGAGACTCCGTCTAAAAAATAAATAAATAAATAAATAAATAAATAAAAAAGAAAAACACCAAACATGAAAAAATGCTCAACCTTCTTTTGATTAGAGAAATGTAAGTGAAAACAACTATGATATATCTTTATCTGTCAGATTTGCTGATTGGCAAAGATTCAAAACATGTCAAGGGTATGTTGAAATAGACATTTCCCATGCATAGTTTGAAAGAATAATTGCAATCTTGTTGGAGGGTAATTTAACAACATTTATGAGCATCAAACTTTCTTCTACAGTTTGACCCAGCATTGCCGTATTTAGAAATTTATCCTATAGGTATGCTCAAACACACAAAGATACTTGGAAAAAAGATTAATTGCACATTGTTTATATTTCTTAAAAAAAACAGAAAACAACATAAATATCCATTAGTAGGGTTTCATTATGTCAATGTTGCTGAAACCTGAGTAATGAATCAATTCCATTTGAAAGAAAAAGGAATTCTCAGAAATCCTTATGTTGAATCTAATGATTTTTATTCTGTTGTTTCTCTAATATGTGCAACTATTAAACTAAGTATAAATCTCATAGCCTTATAGTTCTTCTATAAATCAAAACCACGTGTGTTAGTTATATGTAAATGAATACAAATAAAATTCAAATTAACAATGTTAATTTTATCAGATGTATGTTTTCTGTTTAAAGTGTTGATGCTGTGTTTACAGTGGGGTTGTGTAGACACAGATTCAATTTATATGTAACATCTATGTTTTAGTCTAATAATACTAATGAAGGGAAGGCCTGTTTACAAAAATAAGCTTCAAAATTGTATTAATACATTGAGGCTTTCCTTGTTAGTTCAAGATATTCAGATCCATGATTAATCAAAATCTCCAAAGCCAGTTTTAATGAGCTGTCACTGATAATTCCATGAAGCTACTCGGTTTATTTGAAGATAAGGGTAGCATTGTGGCTTATTGAAATGTGTGTTAAATAGTATTTAATCTAATTATCCCTGGAACTGAGAACAGAGACATTTTTCCTGGAGTACTTACTGCCATCCTTATGCTAATGAACTGATGCGTGTTACCAAGGCACAGACTGCTACGGAGATTGTTTGAGTTCCGCTTCTTGCTTATTCTACCCGGAGGACTCAATTTATCTCCTCACTTTTCTCTTTTCAAATTACTCTGAAACCTTTATCTCCACAGATGACCATGATGTCATTCGATCTTAATTTGCAGCGACTGTCCTGGTAAACACAAACACGAATGGTGGCACTGGAACTTTGGGCTGTTCTTTGTAAAAAATGGCCACCCAGATGATCCAAAACACTGCTTTTCGGTCATTTTCTTGTAAGATATCATCAAAGTGAAAATGCAGAATTGACAAGTCTGAGTTCCTGACTACAAGACGATCCTGTAATGTGGTGAAATTGTAAAGGTATAGACGAGTGGGAAGAAAGAAGGAGAGAGGGGGATTATCCCAACTCCAAAAACACAGCCACATTTACCACTCCCACCCCCCAGGATGTATTTTCTGGTTAGGTTGTGTGGATACCCATTGAAAATATGCCAGAGCTTTGGAACTAAGACAATGTAGGTTTGAATCTGGGTTCAGCTGCTGCCTCACCAGCTGACTAATTTGGGACTTGAAGAATGGTGAGAGCCAAGCTGGCACTGCAGACAACTGGGCCCTTGGCACAGGCCACACACATTCCTTTGCCAGGCCCAATTGACCCCCTGCTCCTCATTCATGGTGCCATGCAGACATCCATCCCTGTAAAGCATCTCCCAATGGACCAAGGATGTACTTGGCCTCCTAGAGCACTGGCGAGGGTGGGGCAGGTACACCAGAGCTCTCCTTAAAGCACTGGACACTTAGCTGTAGGTGTTAAATAGATGTTGGCAGAGAGCATTTAAAATCCTTACCTCAGATGTTTTCACGCACTTCCCTGCCTAGAAGTGCAAAGGGTGCATGGTTTAACTGTGGTTATTTACAGCCAAAAGAAAGTGACTGGCAGTTCTTGAGAAGCCAGGGGTTTTATTTCTTGCTCTTGTTTTCCATTTCTGTGATTTACAGTCCTGTGAACTTGCCTGAAAAGCTCTGAACTCAGTCCATTCTGCCCTGCCCCTGTGAAAAGCAGACTCGGCTCTCTGGTGGTCAAGGAAGGCTGAAGAGCATGATGCCTTGTACTCCAGGAGGCCCAGACACAGGTGCTGCTGCCTGGTGGTTTTCAGCCTGGCTACCCTCCTCCACTTATGGCTACTGTGCACACCAGCACCCTAGCTCTTGGCATGAAAGCTGAGATCAAAGCTATAGCTTGCTGTTTTGCTTTTTTTTTCCCACCTGCCATTTGACCTTTGATTTTCCTTAGATAAAATGTTTATTTTTTAAAAATCACCCACTTCCACTCAGGGCTAATTATCATCAACTTTTGTCTTGATTCTTGAGCACTTGAGTATCTGAGAGATAATTCCTCACCTTGCCTCCCCCCACCCCCCAACAGTGGATGGACAGAGGGCCCGGTTTGGCATGTGCATTGGCCGGGGTGTTGACTGGAGATGCCCCTCCATTCTGGGCAGCATGTCGACAACCTGGGTTGGGGGAGTAGCTGTTCTTAGCCCAAAGGAGGTGCTTAATAAATGACTGCCGAGCAGATGGAGAGATGAGGGATGCCTTATTGTCTGGGCCTATTCACAGAAGTGCAGTTCTGGCTTCTTGCCCAAATTGGTACATTATACTACGTTAACAGAGGTGTAAAAATAATAATAGTAATACTCAATGCAGCTGAGTACTCTTTAATGTTCATGACAACCTTTAAGGGAGAGATGCTATCATTACTCTCGTTTTACAGATGAGGAAACAGAGGCACAGAGATTTGTACAATGTCACAAAGCTGGTAGTTGCAGAGATGGGATGCAAATTCAGTTCCATTTGACTCCGGAGCCTGAGCTTGGGGAGATTATGAGATGCAGTCTTCTTTCATATCACCTGTGTTCCCTCAATCATTAAAAGTTCTCCTTGTGGGATCCAACAGTGACCTACCCCCACTGCAATGCCTTCCCTGGCTTTCCCAGTCAGGGGCTCACTCTCCACCGAACCCCGGGCCCAGAGTACTTACTTTCTCCAAATCACTTCCTGGTATTTTTCATGGACACAGTTTGTCTCTCCCCTGCATTTTCAGGATCCTGAAGTAGAGGCCAAGGCTTTACCTCTGGAAGCACCAATAATACCCAGCTAAATGCCCTCACTAGTCATCCCTGATACTAGTTATTTGCTCCTTTCTTTTTGTGAGCCTCACCAGAAGTATATCAACTTTATTAGCTTTTTCAAAGAACCTGCTATTGGCTATCTTGGCCCTCTCTAAATTACATTTATTATTTTATTAGTAGCAGCTTTAATATTTATTATTTTCTTTCTTCTACTTTCTTTGGGTTCCTTTTCTCTTTTTCTAGTTTAGGTGGATGTTTCAGTGCACTAATATTTGTCCTTCCTTCACTTAAGTCTCTGCATTTTCCTCCACTGCTTCAGCCAAATCCTGCATGTTTATATATACATATCTCATAGAACTCGAAATAGTTTCCTGTTTGTATTATAATTTCTTTTTTGACTCATGGGTTATTTAGAGGTATGTTTCTTAACTTCCAAGTATATAGGAGAGTTTTCTGTTTTATCTTTTGATTATTGATTTTTCCTTAAGTTCTAATACTCTTACATCAAAACAGAAACACCCTCCCATTTATATCTCCTAACCTTGTGGCAGGAATTCCTCATTATCTCTGCTCCTTATGCCATCCCTGCTCAGGTGGTGTCAATTTCTCCATTTCACAAATGAGGATATTAAGGTTAGAGACTTCACCTGGTGTCAAGAAGCTATTATGTGTGAGTTGTTGTTGGGATGCAGAAGGAACGTGGTCCAGTCAAACTCAGCTTTTTTGGTTCTAGTGCTCAGCTTTTGCCTCTACCTTCTCCGCATGGCACAGTCACTGGGGATGTGAACAAGTTGGTGTTCGTGTTGGCGGAGGGACAGGAGGGGCCGTGTCATCATGTCTCAGGTGGGCACCAAATTCTCTTGCCCTGCAGGTATCTCTGCAGTTCCTATCTTGTGCTCCTTAAAAAAAAAAAATTGTAGTAAGAACACTTCACATGAGGTCTACCCTCTTAAAAATATTCCCTGTGTGCAATACAGTATTGTTAACTATAGACCCACTGTTGTACAGCAGATCTCTAATGGAAACTTTACACCTCTTACAGCCTCTTCCCATTTCCCCCTCTCCCCAGCTTCTGGCAACCACCATCCGGCCTTCTGTATGTGTTTGACTATTTACATACCTCATGTAAGTGGAATCCTACAGTATTTGTCCTCTGTGATGGGCTTGTTTCACTTAGCATAATGTTCTTCGCGTTCATCCTTGTTGTTGCCTATGGCAGGATTTTCACCTTTTTAAAGGCTGGATAATATTCTATTATGTGTATATGCCACGGTTGCTTTATCCATTCATCTGTTGATGGACTCTTAGGCTGTTTCCTCACCTGCTTTGTGCTCATTTTTACTAATTTAAAGCCTCCCTCCCAGACTTCCTGGGTTATTTTTGACAAACTCCAGGCTCTGCTCATTTTAGTCGCCACAAGAAGCAACAGTGCTCCTATAGTTAAAGCAGGAAAAGTCTCCTATAGCTTGGTAGGCAGGACCTGCCTTGGGATGTGAATTTCATGTCACTTGAGTGGCTGATGGATGTCAATGCCGGCCTCCCACACTCTGGCTGACAGGCAGACTTGCCTGCCCAACTTTGTGGTCAATGACTCCCCTCTCACCAGCAGTGTTTTTTTTTTTTTTTTTTTTTTTTTTTTCCTAGCCTTCGAGGCCCACCTTCTCTCTGAAGTCTTCCCTGGCCACCCTGGGTCACACTGTGCTGCCTAGGAACTCTACAGCAGTGAATGCCTGCATGATTTATTTGGTACTTAGCCTGTGCAGTGTGAATTATTCTGTATATCTTTATAGCTCTCTCTGGCCTCCCTACCTTGACCAAGGATGCCATGAAGGGTGAGAACACCATGAAAAGGGAGACCACAGTCCCTGCATCTGTGTGTTCACAGCTTTAAACACTGCCTTGCACGGTGGGATGCTCAGCACACACAATATGCCCGCCCAGGCACTGTGCTTTGGAGCTGGTGATTATCTGTCTTCTCTACTATGGCTCCCCAGCATTTAATGCCTGAATTACATTTTTCAACTCTGAATTTACAAGGACGACTAGCTCTAAGATGAATGAAGAAGGCCAAATTCTCTCAATGAAATGGAAAGCATGTAGAAGTTATTAGAAACAAACAAGCAAAAAAAGCATTCTGATCATCTGCAGGTTATGCCTAAGAGAGCCTCATTGTGAACCTGAAGTTTTCTTAGACATCCATATGTAAATTTGGATTCCCAGTCCTAGCTCTCTTCTGGGCCTCTTCTGTCCTAGTCATTCTCCGCCAGTGGCTACCTCTTCCTTTGTTCTTTGCCAGGTTACCCCTCTGTGCTCCTTCCTGGCCCATGATCAATCAGTTCCAGGCCACAGCAGGCTGATTGGCTTATCACAGGGCTCTCATTTACATCATAGAGTTCTCAGTCTTTCTGTCCAGCACCTGCTCAAAACTCCTTCCTTGAACCAAGGTTCTTAATCTAAGAGCTCTATTGGTGGTTCGGTTGCTCAGTTATTTCTGTTTCTGTTGGTACCACACATATGTCTGCAAATGTGCGAGATGTGGGGGAGACTCTCTTTAGTGAGAAGGGGCTCTGCCTGTCAGGAAGGCCTGCCCTGTACACTGCTGAGGCTTGCCTACAAAACCCCATTGTGCCTGCGGTGAAAGAGGTCTTCTCAGTTTCCCTCTCATGTAGAGGGGAGGAAAAAAAAAAAACCTCAAACCTTATAGTTTGAAAATACTCAAACCTAGAATACTTTTGCTCACTGCCCACAAAGCTCTTTCCTCTGTTGTCCTTTCATCCAGTATCAAATGCTCACTTTGCCGTAGCTGCTTATGTTTGGAATGGCCGGTTTGCTCCCTCTCTAGCATTTAACTGTTTGATAATTTATATGAACTCTCCTGGAATCCAAACCAGATTTGAGTGTGATTATTAAGGCTTGAAGTTCCTTCTCAAGGGAAGTTGTAGGAACTGGAGAGAAATGTTGCTGGGATTGGTAGAAAATTTCCCCTGCAAAGGGTCAACTGTGAAGCTGAATTTTGGGTAACACGGTGGATGAGGGGAAGATGAAAGAGGAAGCAGAGGTCACCATGTGTGCTGGTGGCATTTGGAGGCTCCCTCTAGCCCACTTGAGCTTTATCCTGTGGACTCACAGGACACCCTGCACCCTCTTTTGGATCAATGTCAGGAGATGCTTGCAGTAGTTCTCCTGTGATCAGCTCTAATCCTTAACCTTTCATTGGTGCTTGACTTACCTCCTCAATGGGTAAAACATTGAAGTACTGAACTAGCTCCTTCTGGTTAATTTGTTGATTGGATTGGAAATTAGAACATGGAGCTGGTCAATGCACGGTATCTGGTAATTGTGGATGGGGGAGATGACTGGGGCAGAACTGAGCTCTATTTTTGCCAACATAGTACCAATGTGTGATATAATGTACTACTGAGACCATTACAAAATTAAAGGTGACTTTTTAATCTGGAATTGCAAACCGACAGCAGCCTGTCTGGGGAGCTCCATGTAATGAGTGTATGTCTCCAACAGTCTTCAATGACTGACAGGTGAAAAGCTGTGCCACAGCCTGGAATTATTATGCTGACACACAAAAGAGGGCGGGAGTGACAGCGTGGTGATCTACCAGTGCTGTCTGTGGGGTTAATGGTAAGCTTTCCCACTGCTAATGGTTTATAAAAAGAACAAAGAAAAGGAAAACGGTGCAGGGGAAAATCAATAGTATTAACAGAGTCATGGTAATGAATGCAATCGTTTATTTCTGGGATGGCTTTTATTGAACTGGTTTTGAACTTGATACCTTTTATTTTAAGTTTATGAGTTAGTGAATAAGAAATTCAGGGAAAAAATCAACTTTCTGCCAGACACAGCAGCCATGTTGTGTTGATCAAAGCTAAAGTTTTCAGTCTTTGAAAAAGGGAATTGAGATAGGAATATATAAATGTTTATCCATAAGGAGGATACCATGGAAATGCTGGGGAATAAGGTGTGGTTTTTGATATCAGAAAGACCTATTTTTGAGTCCTAGTTCTGTCTGTTAGCTGCATGACCATTGATCAATTTCTTTTTGCATGAAACAGGATCTCCCTAGCCAGGGTTGTTATGAGACTCAGGTGACATCATGTCTATTTATAAAGGCTTCTAACATGGTGCCTGGTAGGTTTCCTACTTACCAAACCACAGGTATGGTTTGCTGATGCCATCATTATCTTGGTATTTTATACTTCATTATAGTCTCCCAATTCAATGAACTCTTGAGCTGAAGGCCAAGAAAGAGTTGTATGGTGTATGTGACCTTTTCAATCTGTTGATTAACGATATTCATATTAATATCAATTTTCAGGAGAGAGCATAAATTTCCAAGAGATAGAGAAAATCGTTCTAAAAGATGACAATCTCTAGAAATACTCAAGCAAATGTGGTAGGATCATGTACTATGGACACTGTAGAAAAGAATACCAGGGTAGGCTGGGTGCAGTGGCTCACACCTGTAATCCCAGCACTTTGGGAGGCCAACGCAGGGGCAGATCATGAGGTCAGGAGATTGAGACCATCCTGGCTAACACAGTGAAACCCCATCTTTACTAAAAATATAAAAAATTAGCCGGGCATGGTGGCACATGCCTGTAATCCCAGCTACTTGGGAGGCTGAAGCAGGAGAATCGCTTGAACCCGGGAGGCAGAGGTTGCAGTGAGCCGAGGTTGTGCCACTGCACTCCAGCCTGGACAACAGAGTGAGACTATGTCTCAAAAAAAAAAAGAAAGAAAAAAAAGAAAGAAACTAGGGTGGATGAGAAGGAGAAATAAGAGTTTACATTTGTTTACTTTTTACTCAAAATAAGTTTCAAATTGATATTTTTAAAATCTAGAAACAATTTTGATGAATAATGGTTTTTATGTTTTCATGTTTAGGTCCAGTGCATATAAGTTTATTCTTGATTAATGGCAGGAGGAATTAACATACACTAACTTTGAGGAAGATGTGCTCATATACATTATTTTTATAATTCAGTCATATGAGGCATTTTATTCACATCCTACATGAGGAGATTGAGAACAAAATATGTAATGTAGATTCAAGTTGCACAGCTAGAGTGAGGCCAGAGTTCATACCCCAGTCTCGTGGTCTTTCTGCAGCCTCATGATAGAGCAAGGATATTGTCACCTGAGAAACCAACATTGAACCTCCTTCTCTGAAGCCCAGTGAGTGCCCTTCCTCTAGACTCTGGCCACAGCTGGGCCTCCCTCCATCAGCCCACATAACTCATTGCAGTGTGCTTATCTGTTCACTACTCTTTGTCTTCAAAGGAAACTCCAGAATTGTAATAGCTGTATCCTCTTCATCTCTGAACCTCCAGGACTTCAAAAGAAGTGACTGGACGTAGTAGGTGCCTGGGAAAGGTTTTTGAATGAATGTTTGAAGACAGCATCTAGGTGTCCAGCTCCTAGACCTTTCTTTGAGCGACAGTGGGTCTCAGTCTCATCTATTCAAGCTCCTGTTTGGGTTCATATTTATCCCAACCCAACCTTCTTTCTCTGGCCCTTGAGTCTCTCTTCATTAAGACTAATGTTTTCCCAGCTCACCAAACTTGCAGTCTCCTGGGATTCTCTGCTTCCCCCTATTATTTTCCACTAGTCTAAGGTGCTGCTTCATAGGCTTTCACAGTCCCATCTGCAGTTCAAGCTATTTGGCTGTATCTGCTCATCAGCCATCAATGAGGACTCCAGGAAACCACCGCCCCAAACACCCTCCAATCAGTCCCCCTACTCCTGGGGGCTGGAGCTCTGTTAGCCCACAATGGCTATGCAGCACCCAAGGTTTGCCACAAGGATGGGGTGAGTGCGTGGTGTGTTACACGGATAAGTACAAGGCTATAAGGGTGGAAACTTCCATCCCACTTCTGCTTCTTACCAGCTATGGGACACTGCACTGTGAGAAGGCTGTGTGTGAAAGTGAGTCAGTAAAGTGGAGATAGGGATGAGCTGACCTCTGAATATCCTTCACTCCACAGCGTACTTAGCTGTGCCAGTGATGTGACACCGATGCTATGTCTTTGTGGAAAATGGGCCTCCAAAAGAAAGAAAGATGCTTATGTTGATGACAGAATGGAACAAAAGGTGAAGATGTGTGAGCAAGTGATGGTTCTCTGCAAGAAAACAGATATTCACGGGGGAAATTTTGAACAATAGTGGAATTTTTCAATTTGGTTTTTCCCCCCTTAGGGCAAATCCCTCACAAATGTCAAGACACTACTAAAAATGAACAATGAAGAAAAGATAAAGAATACGAAAGTATTGACAGCAATGGAAAGTTTAATTTCTTCTTTTGTATTGAAAGATTAATTTTCTTCGTGCCAAGGTTGATGTTTCTCCTCTTTTGCATGTTTGTCATTAGTATTCTGCGTGAAAAGTTAAACACTTGAAAGGGATAAAGATTACCTGCCAGTGCTTTCCCCATGAATCAGATTCAAAATGCAAACTGTGACATGAGGCGGAGACGTTTATTTTATTTAGTACGGAATCAGGAGAGGAAATTGCTCAGTTTCTGCGCTGCAGCCCCAGGCACTGGGAGGGTCACACTGGTGTATCCCTCCCCCTCCTCCCACCCTTACCCCCACCTGCAGAGTCCTCCCTTTCCTGCTCAATTCTCTCCTTCCCCTTCTCTTTCCCAAGCTGTGCCTGATATCATGATATCATACCACCCCTTCTGCACACCGCAAAGCCTCTGTCCAGAGCAAGGGTTAGAGCCTTGCTCATTCCGATCAACTGGATTTAGCATCACTCTACTCTGGAGACTGGAGAGAGGTTGGGGTTCAGCTATCCAGCTCTGTAATTCAAAAGCTGTTTGACCTTCAGCAAGTTGCTAAACCCTTCTGGATCTAGCTTACTTATTTTTTATTATATATAAAACTCAGCTGTAACTACCTATTGGCTGATTCATTTAACTAACTGTAACTTGTTCATGGCTCACCACCCTCCACCTACCTAGAGTTAATGTCAAGCAGGGCATTTCTCTCCAGCTTTTTGAAGACAACAAGCCTATTAGAGGTGCTAAAACACCTTAAATGGAGCAGCAGGAGTGGACCAAGGACTGCTTCTGACTCACAGCGGGTGGATGCCCAGTGGGAGGCAAGACTACTGTCATAAATATTGTTCTGTCCCCTAGAGCAGGAGAATTTTGAGCAATGTAATCCTTTCTGCTTCACACTGCAGCCTTTCTCCTGAAGTTATTTGACTACTGGGGGCTCTTCTCCTGTGGCTGGCATTCTTTCCCTTCTCTCCTATTCCTTGAATATAGAGGGCTGTGTGCTGCGTCTGGAGGGCTGGCAGGGGGAATGATGGGAATGTGCATTGCTTTTTGGCTTGGGGTTTATCTATTAAGAAATTGCGGGATGGGCCATCTTTTCAGGCTTTGCATTGCAGGGGACAGGCCAACAAGGTTGGCAAATGCATCTTTGAAATGAACATATCTCCATCGTGCCTCATTTCTGGGATCAGAATGAATTAAGTCCACCCTGGATTTTGAGAGCCTCCCACTGTGGCACCCACTACTTCTACAAGTCTCTGACTACAGTCTAATGCTCCCCCATACACCCCTCCAAACAGAGGAGTTGCTTCCTACACCTTCTCATCCCCTCGTTGTGTTGCTGCTTTCAAGCCTTGCTCTGTCACCATCCCCTTTCTGGAGTTGTCTTGCCAGAAGTTGTCTGTACAACTTCAAGTCTTTTAGCTCAATCCATGAAGCCCCCATGATCCACCATAGTTTCCTATGGGACTGTGTTAGGTTCTAGGGATATGAGGAAGAACTGGATGTGGTCCCTTGCTTCAGTGAACTCACACCTCAGGCTGTATCTTTTATATATTCTCCATCTTTGCCTTAGTAGCAAGCCCAGGTCTTGATGTCAAGGAGCACGTGGAAAATGTGTATACCTTCTACTTGGGTGCAGCCATGGACAGCACCATCATTTCAACCAGAGGGCCTTTACACATGCTGTTTCCGCTGCCTGAGAAAATCTACCTTATCCCTTCAATAATTAAACTTTATTAGGTCTTAGCTGACATGTTACTTCCTTGTGGAAGCCTTTTGCTGGACACTATATGGCTCATTTTTATAAGAACTCATGGCTTCTTGTATTCTTCTGTTATAGCATTTATTACGTTTTTTGCTGATTTGTTTGTATGATGATTTGAATATTTAATGTCGTCTTCTCAAGACTGTAAGCTCTATGATCTAATTTTTTCACCACTCTGTGCCCAGTGCCAGACACAGTGGCAAGTCTACTATGTTGCTATCTGATTAATCTGTATTAAATAAATGACTGGTAACTTGATAGCCCAAATTTTCTAATGGCAGCAAGGAGGGATGAATTTTCAAAGTAAATGTCTAAAAAGCTGGAAAGAAAACCTTAAATGGCTGGCTAGTTGGATGAATGGATGAATGAATTAATGATTGGTTGGATGAATTAATATTTCAGAAAATAAAACCAGGTCTTCCCGAGCAGCAAGTTCTGGCAATTGAGAGCCATCCAGAGATTTACCATATGTCTGTCTTTTCCTCTCCAAACTCTAGCTCATGTTTTGCCCCACCAATATTCTATTACCCCAGAATCCCACATTCTTACGTGTCTGCACATTCAGAGGCAGAACCTGGTGCTTGTGCTACGTGGCACATGATGAGTTCAAGTTTTAGTGTAGGATTTTCCATCCACTGGCTTTTATCCCACCTGTGCTGGGGAGTCTTCCCTGAGCACAGCAAAACTACACAGTTCTGGTGGTAGTGCAGCCCATGGGACATCTGTGGGCAGGACACCACCAAGGGAATACAAAGGAGTGAAGATATTAGCATGCATGTGTCTTAAGGTCAGCATTTTTTTTCAAGTGTTTTTTCATTTCTTTTAAAAAACAGTAAACTTTGATCTTCTGCCTCCATTCAGTAAGCATCAAAAGTGGACTCCTGATACTTCCATTTTTGATGTAACACATAAACTGGAGATCGGTAGGAGATATTCTTTATTGCCTTTAAAAGGATTTTACCAAAGAAAAGTAGTAGGTCCTCTTAACCTGGAAATGTAGACTTTTCATGATGCTGCATATAACCCTAGAGGAGTGGGAGGTCACATCCCGATGAATCAGCATATTGGTGTTCTCCTTGCCTTTCTTGTTTCAAATGGGATGCATGTACATCTCCCGTGTGCCCTCCTGAGAGGCACCACCACATGCTTGCAACATCACTACCCTGTGGTGGTGACCAAAGACAGAGAGGTACAGATATGAGGCCAGGATTCAGGATGTGACTATATGAAATAAGTATAGCCTCCTCCTACAGCCCAAGTAACTGAATGAAGTACTGGGCAGGGAATAGGAACATGAGGTCCTTATTCAGCAAAGACCTTAACCCCCTGTATGAGCTCTGGAAAGTCCTTTAATATCTGTGTGGTTTCACTAAGGTTAGGAATAAGTGTGTATGTAGATACGTATGCATTCAAATGTATGATAGCTGACTGACAAAATCTAATTTCCTTCAGTAGTCTACTGAAGTCTATCAGAAACCAAGTCTACAGACAACTGCAACAGAATGTGTTGCTGTTTTATGGTTATTTTACCAAATTCCCAGGTTCAAGGAAACTACCTGAGGGTTCTCTAATATACTTCATGGTGCAAGACACACTGATATGGGATATAACCTATTGCTGGACTTGAGCAAATTTTGAAATCACAAATTCTAAGGGATTCAGGGAAGCCTAAAGGCATTCCAGCCCCAGCAGATACTTGAATCTCCTTTCCAGCATCTGCAACAAGCATTTTCTACTCCTGCTTACCTACTTCCTAGCAACAGAGAATACAGTACCCTCCTGAGGAAGTCTACTTGCTTTTTGAATTGGGACTCAACCTGTGTATGAGTTTGTGTGAACTGAATGTGTGTGCATACACATAAGCATGTGTGTGAGTGCAAATGTGGTGTACCCACAGCATGTGCAATCCATGAGTTTGTTTCTAGTGTGTGTGTGGCTGAGTCTTCTACCGTTTACTTCTCCAACATTTTCAAGGAGAAATAAAACTTTTCTAGGATTGTCAGATATTTCGATTCTTGCAGCCTCTCTCCACCAGCACAGTTAATTGAGGGTTGATTTTGTTTGCACATGTTATGCATTATTCATCCAGGGTCTCTGTGGACACCTAATTTCCTGCCTTAGAAAAGAAATCAACAAACAGATGGATGTCACTGCTGTTGCATTGCTGCACTGAAAGAAAGATGGTGGGCTAGAGAACGTGTTCCCCTGTTTGCACAAGGTGCTTTTCTTGCCAGCAATGAGAGAGCCTCATTTTCTTACAGTGACAAGCTTTCTGACCAGCCTTTAGACCCGCTTACTTTCCTCATTACATATACGTAAGCAGGGCTGTGGTATAAGCTGGTATTTAACCACACTAGGGACATTTCTCCAAGTCTTCTGCTCACAGTCTTACCCTGCTGGGACCAACCTCACCTAGAAGCAGGGAGAGGCCAGTTGGGCTGTGGACATCTTCTCACCTTTAATGAGAATCCAAATCCTCTGGGGGCAATTTACTATGGCTAGAGAGCTGACACAACTAGTTGTGTATGGCTGGGTGCTGGAGTCCATCTGGTGAGACTCCGGTGTCATTTTTTTATATATCTTCTCTGAACATCCTGGCCTGCTCTACCTCCTCTGCCCCTCTCTCCATTGTTGGCCCCAGGATCTCCTACAAGCCTGAGTAAAGACAGGAGCAATACAACAATGTCTAGAGGGAAAACTTGCCTCTGCAGACTCCTGTGGATATAGAGCCTCAGAGAATGTTTTGAACTGTGATCTCAAAACTATGGTGTGACATAGTTGTGTATTCACCGGATCCTATGCTTTAGCTCTTCATGAAAGTCTGTGATGACTAGGTTGCAGAGAATGAGCTAAAGTACAGATCACTTGGGGCAACTCCTGGAGACTCCCTTCAGATGCACATTGACCTGTTAGTGAGAAGTATGATGTTTTAAGGTACATGTATTCAGCCAACTATAAATCTCTCATGGGTCTCTTTTCCACCAAGTCCATAATAATAATAGACTTTGCTGCCTTCCTTATGAATATTTGGACATATTATGCCAATGACAGGAATGACAAATGGATTTCCTCTGGTGTGATAATGCTAACAGATTAGGTAGGTGTAGTCCCTCTTAGTCTTTTGAGAAAAATGTTGAACCTATATCTCTGTTCGGTGATAACGAATGCTGGGGTTGGTTAGCAATGTCTGCTATGGGAATGGGATAGCAGAGCTGTAGTGTGCATGCTGTAGTGCATAGAACAGGCTGTGGAGCTGGACTTCATCAATTTAAATCCTAGCTCTAATATTTCCTATAATTGTGTGATATTAGACAAATGACTTAAACCCTTTGTGACTCAATATCTTCATATGTCATTGAGAATATTGATAGTACTTACCTGTAGGGCTTTTGTATGGATTGAATCATCTAATATGTGCAGGGTGCTTGGAATGGTGCCTGGCACATAAGTGCAACGTAAGTATTTGCTGTTATTGTAATTACAAATACATATCCGTGACCTTCAATCCAACAGGAGTTAAAGTTCACCTGGTTTATTTATCATGTATACACTCATTTTGGGTCCCCAGCCTTACCACTTTCTTTTCTAAGTGCTCATAAACCGTCTCTTTCAGATGTTTTCTACAGTTCCCCTGGATATCACTGTGTATCTCAGACATGTATTTTGGATCCATACTCTCTCAATCCTTGAAAATTAGGACTTTTGTCATTGCTTAATCTTCAGGCATTGCTCCAATTCTGTTTCACAGCTGTCTTTGACAGATCCTGGTGACATATTAACTAGTCATTGTGTATCACATACAGTTCTAAGAGCTTCCCATTTTCCTCATTATTCCTCACAATGACCTTTTTAACTTGGCACTATGATAGTCCCCACTTTACAAATAAGAGCTTTCACATTTAGAGAACTTAAATATCTGCCTGAGATTTCTCAGCTGACAAATGGTAGATCCCAAATTTGGATTCAGGTCATTGCTTACCTAAAAGGTGGTTTGAAGACCTTTTGTTTGGTGGAGGTTTTTTTAATGGAGGGAAGAGGATCATAGCTGATATAAGATTTGGGAGTTTGGGTGAAGTACAGGCTCAGAAACCGGTGTCTTGAGACCAACCAGATTGTAGTTGTGTTGTGTCCATTTAACCTTTGCTGAACTTCAGGAAGGAGGGAGAAAGAAGACTGAATTGTTTCCCTTAATTCAAAGGACAGTTTATGAAGATTAGGACAGAGCCCAGTGAGAGGTATACATCGAGGATCAGGCAAATGAGCTGATTAAAGGTTAAACATATGAATTGTAGCCATTCTTCTTATTGAATTTGTATTTTTAAGATCCAAGGTAAATTTGTAATACCTCTGCCCTGTTATTAATAGCTATTTCTCAGCATTCTGCATTGGAAGGGCTCAGCTTCTACCTCCTAGCATCTTTCTCTTGTAAGTAGTTCATTCTGCTATTCATCTGTCCACTGATCCTTCCCATCATCAATTTAATCATTCTTGAGCTAGATTGTTGTGCTGTGGATAATGGAGTAAAAAAGATAGACTGCTGTTTTTGAGGGTTGTGCTTTGAGAGTCAAATGGGGAAAATAAAAAGTAAACATACTCAAACAGTAAGATTGTGGCTGATATAAACAAAATATTTAGGTTCTATGGGGCTCCCAAAATGGATACCTAACCCAACCTGAGAGAGGAGAGTAATATCATTGAGAGCTTCTCAGAGGAGGTGAATTTTGAGTTAAGTGGATAAGTTGTTTGTAGCATGGAAGGAAATAGAGGTGAGGAGTTTGGGGCAAAGAGAGATAGTAGTGTCTGGAAGGTGTGGGAAACTTCAAAATGTTGGCATGCTTACAGCGTAAATTGCACAGGTGGCAGTGGCATGGGAGCTTGTCCCTATGCATCTCATAGTCCAGGTTAAGGAGTCTCGATTTTAAGGAGGTTGGAGCCACTGATCTCTGGGGGCTCAACAGGAGGCTAAAGGCAGGAGAGTTTGGTATCTCATCAACCGTTCGTTATGCCATGACATCTCTAACACAATGGATTATTTTGTGGCCCATTATTCGTTTCCCCCCTAAGAAAACCAGATGCAAACATAATCACTTGGTTAAAATAAGATTTAGAGCACTGTTATCACAGAAGAGATGGTACTATCATAAAAGCCACTGTCCCACAGGCAACATTTTCTATTAACAGTAGAAGATTTAACAGATGTCCATTATCTGAGAATAGGATTTGTTCTGATAATGGCCAGACAATGAGTTCCAGACAGTTTGTAATCCAGGGTCTCCTTCATTCTTGTGCAGACCACATAAATCAAGGTTGACTTTTATGTGACACCTGGACACACCATAACTTGTTGAGGGAGGAATTTCTCTGAAAGTCTTGTATTTTTAATCTAGAATCCAGCTGAGCCACAATTTCCCATCCCAACCCCATTTCACATTTATGGCCACCAAGTCTACACTGACATTTAAGGTCATTTGAGCTGCCCTTCACAGGGTTACAACTGCAGAAAAACAAAGGAAGCCATCTCTCCCTGGAAGCTGTCAGTACCACCCCTGCCCCCTCCTATGACTCTCCCCACCCAAAGTCCTTCCACCTCCATGTCACTGAGGTTCCTCGGAGACTGTCAATACTGGATTGACCTGACTGGATCTGCACAACGGATGTGGTGATGTCATGCCTCTCCCCTGGGTTTCTTCCTGGACCCAGCAAGGGAGGCCTTCACAGCTTGCAGTGGAATATCTGAGGCAAAACCTTGAAACAGAATTTCATAGTATCTGTCACATTCTCATATTTTCTTTCTTTAAAAATTTAGTTGAATAATTTCAACTTATTTCACTGGATAAAGTAAATAAATATTTTACATTTGCTAAAACTTTATACTTTGTTCCAAGTTTTTTAAGTGGAAAAAAATGCATGTAAAAAAATTTAAATCAACTGAGACAAAAAAAAGCACAAACATTAAAATGGAACTAAAAATGTAAGTATGCAAAACACATTGAGTCTTTTGGTCTCTGTCCCTCTTTCCTGAAGACCTGCTAGCTTAGAGGCTGCTCATGTAACTGGAGCTCCATTAAACAAGCTGACTGAGACCTGGTCTAGGGCTCACACCTTTTACCTCATGTCTCACTTGTTCATATCTCTTGGGATTCTGATTTGGGCCTTATTTTTCTCTGTGTGGCCTTGTGTGCCCTTTGAAATCAAGCTTAATTCTTCTAGTCTCTTGGAGTTCACCTCTGGCTTCCCTTCTTGGCCAAGATTCAGATTCACCCTTGGATTATGTGGCTTCTGAGTGCCCTGGTTCAACACCTGAGTTGGCTCCCTCAGTGCAGCCTTCAAGTCTGTGCCTCAACCCAGCTTCTCCAGCAGGGAAGTGGTCCTAGGGAAGCCCTTTTGTTCTGCCCAGTGGAAAAGGGGACCTATTAGTTCAGCAGGCTCTAAACTCCCAAAGCAGTAAAGAAATAAAGCCCCGTGTTTTTGAGGGTGCTCTATTTTGGTCTTCCTTTTCAGCTGGTTTTATTTATTTATTTATTTATTTATTTATTTATTTATTTATTTATTTTTGAGACTGGGTCTTGCTCCCATTGTCCAGGCTAGAGTGCAGTGGTGCAACCTTGGCTTACTGCAGACGTGACTTCCCAGTCTTGTGATCCTCCCACCTTAGCCTCCTGAGTAGCTGGGACTACAGGCATGCACCACCATACCTGGCCTATTTTTTGTATTTTTAGTAGAGATAGGGTTTTACCATGTTGCCCAGGCTAGTCTCAAACTCCTGGGCTCAAGTGATCTGTGTAAGAGTTAAAGAAAGGGGAAAGAAACACAAAACATGGCTTAACAGTTAAAGGAAGGTTTATTTTAGAGAAAAAACCTGAGAGGGGCTCCTGGCTGATTTCAGCTAGGATTGGCTTTTTTTTTTTTTTTTTTTTTTTTTTTTTAACAGACTGAGTATATATTGGTTTTAGGGTGAGGGGGCTTATTACAAGCTTGGAATGTTTCTGTGTGGGGGAGAAATTTATGGTGGAGCTGGAATGTCTCTGGATGGAGGGGAGGTTATCTTGGGGCTGATATCTTTCTGGCAGGAGGTGGGTTGTCTCGGGGCTGGCATCTTCCCGGCTGAAGGGGGGTTATCTTGGGGGAAGCATGTCTCTGCTTGGGGAGGAATTTGGAATGTTTCTGGTTGGAGATGTTATTTGTGGTTTATGGTCATGCTGACCTTAGCCATTAGGCTGATGCCCTTTGGATTTAGGTGGTTTTTGATTAAGGTGAATTTTAAAATAATACTTGTCCAAGATGGCAATAATCCTGCTCTGTCAATCTTCCCACCTTGACTTCCAAAGCACTGGGATTACAAGCATGAGCCACCATGCCTGGCCTTTTTCAGCTCTTTTATATTGATGAATCTGCTACATTGAAGATCAGTGAGAAAAAACAAAGGTACTATCAATAATGGATGGCCAAATGCAGGTCAGTTGCTTAATGCTGTCTAGTGTATGTCGGGTGATGTGGGTGGAAGCAAGATGAAGCATGACCCCTTATTCTGGGAGCGTAAGTCCTGTTGGAGGCACAACACTAACACAGAAAATAGGGAACAGTGAATCTCATGGGAAGAGTGGGCTACACCAGCCAGGAAAGACTTCCTGGAGGAAGTGAGGCTGACTGATCCTTGAAGGGTAGGGCAAACTTAGGGTGAAGTTTCTGAAGTGAGGAATCAAGACTCAGAAGCAGGCTGGACATAGTAAGGGCAAGATAGACCATTAAAGGAGGTGTACGGGGGCAGGAAAGGGTACTACTGGTCAGGGGGTCAAAACAGAGCTTTGTGGTAGGAAGTTAGAGGCCTTCAAATGCCAGATTTGGAACTGGGAATCTGATCCTAAGAGAAGGTGTATTGCATGTAGGTAGCCTGGTGATGGGTAGAGGAGTTCTGAGGAACTCTGGGCTGCTCCTACATAATGTGGTGGAGTGGCCCAGACTGACTCTGTCGACAACTGTGTCCCCTGGGGAGGTTGGTGGCTTTCTAGAGCCAGTCACCATTTCTTTATTTTAAACGTGGGATAATGACCCCAACCTCATGAAGCTGCTGTAAGGATTGTTGTGCACAAACATGGAGACTGGTGCCTGATGGATAATCAGTGCTTGATAAACATAAGGTGCCCAACAGCATGAGGCAGACCACACAGAGCAGCTGCGGGCAGGGAGAGATGACTCAGCTGGAAGAGCATACCCTTGGTAATATGTCCTGAACAGACTCTTGAGCCTTAACAAAGCAGTGCAAAATCCAGACACACAGGCAGCCCTCATCCTGGACACCCATTCCTTGGCTGTACCCAACAGACCACTGCTTTCAGGGAGCCGTGCCAGTGAGTAGCTGCCTTCCTTGGGGGAAGGAATTCCTAGAAAACACCAGAGCCTGCCTGGGCGGTATGTGGCAGTCACAGAAGCCCAGAACATTTCATTACCTAAATCTGTGTACAGTTTGAAGACATTTAAAAAATGTTTATGCTGACTTGCTGCACTTCTCTATGAAATCATTTTTTGAAATTACTCAGGAAATGAAAACATTTCCTCACTTTGATATTGAAATGCAGAAGGCGTGGGCCATCCACAGCTCCACTCTGGGCCTTCTGTGGTTCCTCAGGGCCAAACACAAAGCCTCAAACAAACACAGAAGGAACAATATCCCATTAGGGATTTTGTTGATGATGTACTTAAAAGTTATATTGTGTTTTAAAGTTCCATTATGAATGGGAACAATAGCCTCTGTGTTCGCTTTTATTGCCTCACCATACAACAATGCAATTTCCATTTGCTTTGTCTAATTTTCTCCATTCTTCGTGGTATTCCTAGTCCCCAGTCAATGCCCAGTACATAGTAGATGCTCAGTAAATGTTTGTTGAATAAGTAAGGATTCTCTAATTCAAGTCTGGCTGTGCCTCAATCCAGGAAGCTTTACAGAGAGCAGGTCCTGGGATTCCCTACCAGCCCGTTGGATCAGCCCCACCCTCTAAGTCTGTCTGCAAAGGCTGCTGTGAGAATACTTCAGCATCTGGATCCTTGATGAGACTATGAGGCTCCTGAGAGTGCATTGTGTGCCCCCTCAAACCTCCTGGCCCTACTTAGAAGTGTTTAGGAATTGGGATGCTGTCTTACTGTTCAATTCACTGAAGAATCCTCCCACAGTCATCACTTGGGAACACACTTTTGGACATGCTGGATAATTCTGCCAGGAAAAAAGTGAGCCTCTTGATAAAACTGTAAGGATGAGAGACATGCCCCTGTTTTGCTCTCAGTCCTGGGCACAGAGAACTGAACATTTCATGGGAAGAAGCTGGTGTTCACTAAATTGTACTCAGTATTGACAAACATTATCTGTTTCTCCTGGAAGGAGGCTTAGAGTGGGGTGTGTTTATTTTATTCATGGGCAATTAAGTGTTAGAGAGGCTTAGGGTCTTGCTAAGGTTGCAGAGCTGGGAGGCCCACTGATGAGGTCTTTCTTCCCAGGACTGTGCTCCCAGCCACTGCGGGGTGTGCCGGGCTGGTGCATGAGCCTTGGGAAACCATCAGGTGAAGTCACTTTGCAGAGAGCAGTAGGCTGGAAGTCAGAAGACCTCTGTCTGATCCCTGCTCTCAAACCTGATTCCTGTGGACTCGAGCAAGTTAATTACAACACGAGGGAGTTCCACGAACAATGAAAGCTCATCCAGTGCTCACCACCTTGAGAAGGGACTCAGCAATCCTCCTGCAAGCTCCTCCACTCCTTCCCTCCATGGTGCATTTCAGTCTCCAGGGACGGTGACTTGCGTGCTGCCTGGCTCCTCCTACCTCAGGGGTTCTCCTCGCTAAGCATGCTGGCCAGATGGCCAAGAACAAGGATGAGGGGTGAGTGGATGGAGGGTGCTGATCAGCTTTTTTGGAAGCCACTAGATTTATCTTTCCCCAGAGTGTGGGTATACCATCTGGGCCCCTGTGAGGATGTAAGCCCTTTGTTATGCACGGTATTCAAATGGGAGCTACAGAGCTGGACAGAGAGAGAGAAGGTGGGGAGAGAGAGAGGCTTTAGGCCCATTTTGTTACTGACTCCCTCAACTGCAGCACGGCCCAGGCTTCCTTGGGTGCGGTGGGGCAGGGGTGTCGCCTGCTCTGGTTGCTCCCTGAGCCATTATTTCACAGATATTAATTAAGTTGTGAAAGGAGTGTATTTAAAGTCCAGTAAATGACAATTGAAGTAATAAACAATGGCACCAGGTCATGGAGCCAGGAGATGGCTCAGCAATGATCTGTACCCGCCATGGCCTGAAGGTGTCCTCACTGCCTTCTTGTTTCATCCTACCCCCCAGTTAGCTGTCTCTTCCTTTAGCCTCTCTTCCCTTCTCACTTGTACCCTGGTTCCTTCCCCTCCCCTTCCCACTTACCTTCAATATTGGAGTTTAGGTCCCCTCTGCACATTTCATATTCTTTGCTGAATTTCAATGTCCCCTAATGCCAGTGACTGAGGGCTAGCAGAGGGTGGGGTGAGCTCTGCCTGAGCATTCACTGTTCTTCACTGTGGCAGGGTTGGGGACATAGATCTCGTAATTTTAAGATGGGGTGGGGAAAAACCATGGTGATCTTCCACTCTATCTCTCCCCTAAAGAAGGATTTTCCAATGACCAGTGTGCAAAATTATTTTGAATGGCATAAGGTGAACATGGCTATTTATAGGTATGTATTTAACTGTATGTTAAAATATGTACAATTAGTATGTCAAACCTACTATTTCTAAGTTACAAGTAGTAGTATCTTAAGGATAAGTCGTTAAAATGAGTTTATTCAAAGTCTAGTAAAAAGAACAGGAGTAAATACAAGTAGAGTCCAGATATGGCAAGAACCCTCAGAGGTAATATGGGAATGACTAACGTGTTGGAACACTGCCCGGGGGAATCTGAAATAGGAGAGCTCATGGCTGAGAGGACACAGTTCCTTCTGAAAGCAGCCCATGTGTTCCATATGAGAAATTCAAATTCGTCTCATTAATAGAACTTGGACTCATTTTTCTGTCACTAATATCCTTTTCATTTCAACAGACGTTAACCCTCAACCCCAATGCCAAAGTAAAACAGAAACACATCCTACACACATTTGACAGTCAGATCTTCCCTG
The DNA here is from genome assembly GCF_000001405.40 of Homo sapiens. NCBI lineage: Eukaryota > Metazoa > Chordata > Mammalia > Primates > Hominidae > Homo > Homo sapiens. The sequence continues at coordinate 140,094,202 of NC_000003.12, forward strand.
CTAAAAACATCTTTTTTCTAATCCAGTGGGGTGGGGAGTAGGGTAATTGTCTTTATTTAAGGTCAAAGACTCAGGAAGGGGCAGAGCCAAGCGTCAGACCTGAGTCTGTCTGGCTTTAGAGACCATGCCCTTTCTCCTACTTTGCTAGAGGAGCTGTAAAGTCTCTTCAAATTCTATAAAATCTATGACTTGAATTAAGGATATTTTAATTTTTCTCCATGCCCTTTGAAAAATAAAACTGACCTTATATTTTCCTGGGGCTGGCTGATTCCTTTAACTCTTGCAGGCATTTTAATTAGCATCAATTCCATGTATTCAAGGAAATGAATTTTTATTTCAAATGGTACAGGAACCTCTAGAGGGAAGAAAGGAAAAAAAAATTAGCAAATGGAATGTTCAGTGCTCAAAACTCTTTCTAATTTAAAAATGTAACATCATAAGTGCCTAAATTAAACAGCTAGGGTGCTGTGCAATACTAATAGTGTATCCTTTAGTCTGCAGCAGCAGTGGCAGACAAAGGCTGGAAAAAAAGCAGACAAGAGCCCTCCCCAGTGTCTGTGCCCCCAAGTTATACTGTCAGGGGGCTCTCCTTGAATATGGAAATTGGCAATTTTCTGAAGTCTGTTGAGCACACTGTCTTCTGCTTTGTCAGAGGTTTCACTCATAGCAAACTGACTTTCCGTAAATTACGTTATAATACGTCAAGGATCGTACTGCAGCCAGGGCTTTGTAGTCATTGCTGGAACCAGCAGGAGTCAGTGGGACTTCAAGGTCTCAAAATGACTTAAATTAAGACCAAGACTGATTATAGAACTTTAAGTAGATTTTATTGATGGCATGATGCTCTCAGCTTGTGAGAGTCTTGTAGTATTCTTAACCCTTCAAGAGTCTTTCACAAAGATTCTACTAACTTAATTTCTCTACCCCTTTCTGATTAGTTCTGTCTCTCCCTCAACACCGTACCAGAGCTGCTCATATATTAAGGATGTCTGGGGGCTAGGAGCGTTAATGGCAGTGAGAATATTAATAGAGTGGTAGAACAAATAATAACTCATAACATTGACTTTTGTTCTGAAAGTTCTTCAGGAGCTACTGTCGTGGGGAGGACAGTTTCTGAAAAGCTGCCTTGTCAAGTGGGTATGGCCCTCCTTTATTTCGATACTCCAGATTGCTTAACCATATTCTTTGATGCCCTCAGGCCAAATATCCAAAATTAAAAATTACTTAGCTCTTACATACCTGTAGTTAACAGGGACATTGTATATGAATGTTTAACCCAGGAAAGCTCAGTGCCATTAGTGGAGAACTGGAGGAAGCAGTTGGCTATCTACAATTACTCCACTTCTGATCACGTCATGCATTTTCTATCCTACATAATAATTTGGATCAGGCTTTGGCATAACTACTATTATTCTATTCCAACTACAAACATCCCCAGTTCTCATAAAGTGTATGGAGACTTTTCCTGCATCCTGATTATGAGTATTGGTCACATGACACTAAATTTTCTGCACAAAATGAGAGAGGAAGAGTGCTTGGAAGCAAACACCTGGGGTATTGGGACCATGTCAGTGACCAGTGACGAACATCTGTGTCTCTTTAGTGCTATGTTTTCAAGGACGGTGACAGCCATTCCAAACCCCGTAAATTAGTGTTAGGACGCGCAAGTAATTGAGTTACAAGCTGGCACCCACACTGTTGGTGAGTGGGTAGCTGTTTGTTTGTCTGTGATGGGCTCTTGTTTGCAGTGATTGTGCAGTTTTGTCAAGTTGCTCTCCTAGGAGATAAAGCACAATGGGTAGAAGAGGAAATTTAAGGACACTGGATGATGATTTACTCAGCTTCTTGGAAAAACAAGAGCGCCTTTCTCAGAAAAGATTCTAAGGGAAAGTAATTTGATTTTACCAAATGACTGCAAAGCCCAGTTTTAGAGTTCTCTGCTTCATCATCCTCATGCCTTCCTGATCCTGAAATCTCATTTTCTCTTCAGTGTCCAGTGGTTTCATGCTGTCCCCAGCTCCCCAAACAGCAGAGGGCATAACTAATACTGCTTCTGACTGCTTCCTGTTTCCCTCTCTGGCCAATTCTATCTAATGCAAATCATGTTCTGCTTAGAAGTTCCCAGCTTTTGCAGTGGAAGGTTTCCGATAATTCAATTGGTATTAATGGTTTATAATATGTTACATCTCTCAAGAGCATTTGTGACGTGCCAGAGGATAAATGTCATCCTTGGAAGGGATGAAGCTCTGTTGGTAGATTTTGTGGCACTGGAAGTAAGGTGCTGGGAGAGAATATCTTGGCGGGAGTGCTTTCCTGCTATTGTGTTTTGTTTAATGATTTGTCCCCATTCTCATGACTACTCCTGGAGATAGTTATGAAGAATTCTTCTAGGTCATGAACCAGGACCACATCAGCTGGGAACATTAGCTGGTCATGTGCTTCACTGCAGATAGAGATCCATCAAAGCCTCTTTTGAAAATGCCCAAAGCTAGATGTGGCCCATATGGGAAGCCTGGCAGTTGCCCCAGGCTCCTGATTCAGAGTTGATCTTATTTTATCTCACAAGGGCTCTGTGATCTCTTCGTCTGGAATAGGAGGCTGTGCTGTGGGGAAGAAAAGATAAAAAGAAGGAGTTCATATCCCCTTGGAATTAGGGTTCCGTGTGAAGAGACATGAAAGAGGCAGTAGGCAGAGTAGCTATAGCCACAGCCTTGGTGTAGCCCGCTGGGTTCTAGTTCTTGCTCTGCCATTAACTCTGAGTGGGCAAATTCCTGACTAAACTTGGGTGCAGATCAACTCCTTTCTCTAAGCCTTGGTTTCTTCACTATAAGAACAGGTGTTGGACCAGCTTAGCTCTCAGAACTCTCCCAGCCCCAATATTGGGTACAATATTATAGAATTATTTTGTCAAATGAGTGGACACTTTTTGAGTATTGATAATGTGCCAGGGGCTTTACATATATTTTTCTAATATAATAACAACTATATTATTACCTTCACTTTATACATGAAGATGCTGAGCCTCAGAGGGTTTGGGTGACTTATGGAAGATCACAGAATGGAAGTACTGGGACTAGGGACTGCCTGTCTCCAAGCACAGTGGTCCTGTCCTCTCTCTACCCTACTTTTAAACTGAGAGATTTAGCAGCCATTTGGTTTGGATTTTCTGTTGGCTTGCTACAGCACCCCCTGCTTTACTTTCAGCCTACCATTTTTCTTGCGATCACCTTGATGATAATAATGCTCACAGCAGCCAATATACTTCAGCTCTAACTATGTGCCCTTGAAGAGCTTACAATCAAGTTGAGGAGATAAGACATACTAATATGAAACATTAGGTAAAAATCACACAAATCATTCAAATGCATACATAGTTGTATATGAAACCATGTTGTTCCCACTCCATGTGCTTTCGAATTTTAGAAAAGAAAATGATGGGGGCGGTCAGAGAGCCCACGTATTACCTCCTCCTCTCAACTAGCGTCAATTGCAGTGCAGTTACTAGGCTGGAAGGTGCTGATATTAAAATCTACAGATGGGATCCATTGAATAATTTGTGTAGTTGTACATTTTTATTGTCACAGGTGTTTGGAGTTTTCAGTAAGTGATTTAAGATTAGGAGATAAAGAATGTAATTATTTCCCCCAAATGCAAATGGGCAGCTTTGATTACATTGGATGTGAGTTCTCGTATTTTTGTTCTCCATCTAAAATACAAATGAAAGTTTATTTCCTGCTATTCGTCCCAGAGAAATGAATTTTGTAAATGCCTATACAATGCCATGATATAAGACATTGGACAGAGTATTCCTGAAAACAGCATTGGGGAGATAATACAAGCTGAATAAATCTGTCTATTCAGCATAACAGCCAAAAATGGTGAGACTGTAGAGTGAAGAAGCAGAGACAAAAAACAAAACAAAACAAAAAAACTTTATTTTATGCAAGCAGGAGAGCTAATTGGAGGTTTCAAGAATGCCACAAAGCAAACCACAGTAAGTATCACAACTCAGGTGGATACTTCTACAACCTGGTAGACACCTATTTCTGCAAATTCCTGTCATTTTTGTAACTACACCAGGCCTTCCACAATCCAAGTTGTAATCTTCTACCAACTTCTGCAAAGATGGTACAATCTGCAAAGTTAGAATAAGCCTTTTCCACACCATTAAATTTTAACATTTCACAAGTACTTGGCTACTAACACAGCATTACTTTTAATGAGAAATCTCAAAGCTGATTTCTCACCAGCTGTCACTGTTGAATTGTTTGATGTTAAATCCTTCAGCAAGACTGAGGGAGACAGAGAAAGAGCTATATAGTGACATTAATTGCTTAATCAAAATATGTTAGTTTGGAAATGTATAGACATTGCATATTTACTATTTTGAAGGCAGTAAATTTTTTTTGGCTGGAGATTTTATTCATTCCCCCGGCTTTAGAAGCAATTACTAAATACTCAAACATGTAATCTTCCCTGAATGCAGTTCACTGTTTTATGGTAGACATGAAGTCTGTTGTCTGCCTCCCATCTGGTTTCCAAATATCTTATTCTATGGGATCTGAGTTACTGAGCTAGACTTTGTGCTCCTGAAAGTTTGTTATTTTATGTGAGAGCATTAGGAGTCTGAATGCTTCCCTAGGAGCAGGGGTGAGAGCTAAAATTGACTGGACAGCCATGTCAAAAAGAAAAGTGGAGACACTGTCCAGGCCAGATCACAAATCCAGGCCTCTCCCACAGGCCCAACATACTTAAAGGTGAGATCACACACGGACATGGGAGGTGGTGAGAGGCATGGATGGAGGTGGAGAGCCTGGTGATGTGCGTGCCAGATGCCACAGTCCAGAGAAGGACATGAGAATCTGCTGGTCCGTATGTGGCTCAATCTCACCCAATTGCAGTTTTCTCTCTTAGGGCAGATTTTAATAGAAGAGTGAAAGAGTAGTTGTCAGCTTTTAAGGAGCTCTCCTAGAAGTCCTACTATATTAGCTTCCTAGGACTGCTGTAACAAATTACCAGGAACTGCATGGCTTAAAACAACAGAAATTGATTCTGTGCTCTCAACTCTGGGGAGCAGGACTGGGTCCCCGGAAGGCTCTAGGGGAAAGTTTTTCCTGGCTTCTGGTAGCTTTTGGTGACTCCAGGCATTCCTTGGCTTGTGGCTGCATTGCTCTAATCTTTGCCTCCATCTTCACATGGCCTTCTCTTCTCCATGCATCTCTCCTTGGTGTCTTATAGGGACTCTTGTCATTGAATTGAAGGCCAGCTTGGATAATCCAGGATGATCTTGTTTCTAGATTCTCAGCTAAAATACATCTGCAGAGACCCTTTTCCCAAAGAAGAACACATTCACAGCAGCCTGGATGTGGACCTATTTTGTCAGGGGGCCACTATTCAACTCACTACAACTTCCAAACTGCTGCTACTTTCATCTCATTGGCAAGAACTGGGTCCCATAGTCCCTCTGTCTGCAAGACAGAGTGAGAAGCTATATTTATAGTTGGATGCATTTCTGCTACAGAATTCCTCTCAGTGTAATGCTTCAGGTTCAGTTAGAGCTGGTACAGCAGATAAAATCTATTTGCCAACCCTGAAGAAAATGGCAGTCACAGGTTAAGGGGTAAGTTGAATGCAGGAGTCAAAGATGGATTTAGGAGACTGGATCAGCTTCTGTTGGCCAGGCTCTGGGTCACCTGTAAGATGTTCCTGAGGCAGCAGCACATGCCCTCATGACCTACTTTCTCTGGCAGTGGGTAATCAGGTGTTGCAGGGCAATGGCTGGCAATGCTGGATGTTGGCCATCCTCTTTCTCCTTCGTTTTCCCTCCTCCTGGGAGGTCACATAGAGTTTTTTCCCTTCTATTTATCGTAGAAACTCTTGCCTACATACATGGGCTGGATTACCCTTTTTAAAATCCAACATTATCCTCTGTAAGTTGCATTTCTCTTTTTTTTTTTTTTGAACCATGCAACTTTTGTAAATTCCTTTTTTCTGAAAGTCCTAACCGTCTATTTATCCTGATGACTCCCCTCATCTATTGCTGTGAACTCCTTTCCTTCTTGACTTGACACAGGACATTTTTCTATTATTTCCCTCCTTCTCCCTCCCCTCCACCATAAAATGTAGAGTTTGCTCCGATCCCAATCCCCTTGGCTGTGGACTGTATCAAGGTATTACAATTACCATCTGCATCCCTATGGCAATGCTACCTTATCTTCCACTTATTAACATAAGGCAGTGATCAAGAAAATGATTTAAAATGTTGCGTTCAGCATTCACTTTTAAACTCAAAAGATACAAGGGAAGGACTGAACACTGTGGGATTCCCTTAAGTTCTCTTCAAAACATGACTTGGTGATAGAAAAATGTAAGTTTGCAGTCACTAGAAGGCTTTACTTTCTTTTGCTTTCCTAAATGTACTGATTACCCAGCCTCCCACACAGCCCACTGAGGATCCAGGCTGTGTGTGGGCCACACGCATAATCCTGTCTGTGGGTGGAGAATAATTTCACGCATGTGTACAGCAGAGGTGGGCTGTGAGGCTCACGTTCTAACACGCCGGGAGACGCATCATCAGCCAGAAGGCTGCTGTAGAGTGTTGGCAAGATTCCGTAAATCCTGAAGTGATGGTTCATAATGGCTCCAATGCCCATGTGTGAGTACAATCACCCTTCCATGCTCATGTTGTGCCCTCATGCTCCTGGAGAAGAAGTCAAGCCTGCCTTTATTGGTAGCATTGTTGCTGTCCCTTGTAATTAGGATATATCACTACAGGCCTGTGTGCAAAGCAGAGGGAAGGGCAAGGCTGTAGAGACCCTGGTTGGAAAGAAGCACCTGGTACACTGGGGTCACACTGGGTGGGCCTCACTCATGATGTTGGGAACTATTGGTTACATGTCCTTTAACTATTTTTTTATTTGTAAAATGTGGTTGATAATGTCTACTTTATTAGGATTTGTATAAGAATAAATGAAGCCATGTTCCTGGTACATAATAGGCACTCAGTAAATTTGAGTTCTGTCCTCTACTCCTTTTCCCTACCCTCCAGTGGACTGCATAGTTTCATGCTGGCCATAGACTTACCCATTATTATTTTATCAGCTAGTCACCAAGCAGTAATAGTAATATTCATATTGGTTATTACTGCATATGCCAGTGTACATGTACATTAAAATGTTTGTATGCATCTCATAGGAATTCAGGAAAAGCTGAACCACCACTAGACATCAGGTTGGACAGACACTGAAGTCGCTCCCAGGTTGGGCAACTCTTATATGCCTCTTTCTCATGGTTCTCAAATTTCCTTTGTTCATTTGTGTCTTTTGTTTTTTCTCCCAGCTAGTTTCCCTGTGTGAGCTTCATAATGGCTTTGGCTCTGTATACTAGTCAGAATAGCCCAAGTTACACTTTATAACAAATGACCTTCCAAGTCTCAATGGTATAATAAAATAAGAGTTTATTTGTCATTCTTGCAAAGCTTGGTGTGGGTTGTTGGTTTTCCAGGACAGATCTCTCCTAAGGCATGGTTCAGAGCTTCAGGCTGCTTCCATCTTATAACTATGTCATCTGGAACATATGGCCAAAGGGAAGGGGAGGAAACGATGGAAAAGGCACAACTGCTTTTAACTGCGCTGGCCCAGAAGTGAAACAACTCAGTGCTGCTCATGGTCCGCTGGCCAGAACTAGTCATGTGACTGCAACTCAGTTGCAAGGGAGGCAGGGGCATGTAGGAGAGTACAGGGATGTTTGGGGAACATGAACTCTCTCTTCCATACTCTGGGTCTACAAAGTCTTAAATATCTAGTGTCTATAGCTAAATTCTAACTTCTCTGAGGATTTCTTAGTTCAAATTCTTGATGAAAGAGGCCATTTTCTAGGTCCTAATTTCAAGTCAGACCACACATGTCATACAGAGGTTGCTGGCTGGCAAATGGGCTTCCTATAAACTGCTGTCTACAGTTGGGCCAATCATTCGTGATAAGGAAGGACACCATCACATGCATTGCTGCCTCCTTGGCAGGGGCTGTGTTAGGGACATGTTCTCGAAGACGGAGTTGTAGATGGAGTTGACATCCCCAAAGAGAAGTTGTACCAAGGGACTTGCTCTGATCTCCCATGGACAATCTAGAACCAACAGTCCATGATTTGGGGGCAAGAAGCCTGTTGTGCTCAGACATTATTTCAGGCAGCCAAAAGCTTGTGGTCATTGCCTTGGGTCTTCATAGTGACTGAGCAGGTGACTTCAGGCCCTTGGAAAGCAGGGCAGGGCGGTAGATCATGAGACATATTGCAAAGAATCTTGCCTCTGATTTCAAGTTGAAACTTTGAAGGTCCTACTGTGGGTTGCCTGGCAAGATTTCCCACAAGCCAGGAAGTAATTTCCTTATGCAGACAACTAAAACTCAATTGAAAGCCATTGTCTTCTATGACCTACATGACTCCATTGTTTCTTCACATTGTTAATGATACTGGTATGAGAGGCTGGGGAACAGAAATCTCAGATTCACCCAGGTGTTGATGGAAGAGACTTGGAAAGAGAACTCTAGTTGTGGTAGTCAGAATGACATATGAAAACACAGAATAGTTACATGATGACCAGTAGTTGAAAGAGCACTGAAGTCAGACAGGTCAAGAGGTCCAATACTCCAGGCTCAAAACTTTCTGTGATAAGCAATTTACCCAACCCTTCTGACCCTCAGTTTTCTCAACCCTTCTGACCCTCAGTTTTCTCAACCCTTCTGACCCTCAGTTTTCTTACCTTTCAAATAAGGATATTAATATCTATTTTGAGAATTTGAAATCAAGTATGAAAATCACATAACTTACTGCCTAGAAGAGAATAGCTCAACAATTAAAGGTAGCAACCAGCATTATTATTTAATAGTGTGCTTAAGGCAGACTGACCTCAGTCAGACTGACCTCAGATTTCTGAGACTGACCATGTTCCCAGTACCTGGGCATTGCTTATAGCTTAGTCTGTAAGGTTGCAGCAGCTGGGCAGAACAACTGGAGATAATCTTGTTTTGATGAGAGGCTGGGCTGTATCTTTAACCAAGCCAGGATTGCTAACTTCCACATGGCCTTCTCACTGTCTTCATCACTCTCTGCTGCAGAACTGAATGAGTGATGCACAGCTGACTTACAGTGGGTGGAGAAGAGGCAGCTACCCCCTCCATAGTGTGCTTTCAGAGGAGACAGGAAGCATTTTTTCTCTCAACCACAATTTTCTGTCAACCTCCCACGACTGCCATAGTGCCTCCAATTCCATCATCATAGGCTTTTTGTGGCTTCATTTAGAGATTATACATTTAACTTTCCATCAGCAGCATTGATAAGTGAGTTCTGCATTCATGTATTTTTCAGGGTCCTTTTGAAGAAAATATTTTAGCTGTGATCTCAGAATCCTAGTCTCAATATATCAGATTAAGTCTACACTGGGTAGTAGGCTCAGCCATGTCTAGACTGTCAAAGATAAAATACAGAGTAGTTCCCAGGAGTAATACGTCATTTCCCCTTGTTTTCTGTGCCTTGTTGAAGTCTGGGAGAATCACAGCCAATGCAACAGGCATTTATAGAGCACCTACTATGGACCTTGTCCCAGTTGGGCTCTCAAAGAGTTTATGGACTAAATGGGGAGAAAAGATAAACACATAAAAAAGGGATTTGCAAGACAAGGGTTGTGCAACAATACAGAATAATATCTGCCAATAATTGAAAAACTGTGGTATTCTGATCTCCAGAGAACTAGGACATGATTGATGGAGAAAGGAGAGGGAACTGTGAAAGCTGATTAGAACGTTTTCTTCACCTTGTTCTTATCAGGGAACAAGGAGATACTTGTTCACATTAAAGACTGGTAAATTTAGCTGGAATGGAAGGAATTTCACAGCTTTAATCAGAATATTGCCAACTTGTACAATTCACTATCATGCAGTTAGTGAGGATATCTTTCCTCTCTGCTGACTCCAGTGGTAATAAAGATTGAGTTGCACCCTTCAAAGGATGACCTGGGTTTTTCCACAGACAGTTCCTCCCACCTGCCCTCTCCTTCATAGAGCAGCAGGCTGGCGGCACAAGAGAAAGAGATAAACTCTCTGAAGTATACCACCCACACTTGGAAGATCATTGTTCTTCTCCAAGAAAGAGCTGGCAGAGGTAGAAGTTTCTATTCTGTTCTTAGCACAAATGTCAGAAAAGACCTAGGGTTCTTTGTTTGGTGCCAACTAAGCAATGCTCGGCTAAGAGGAGCTCCTAGTTTTCTTGTTCCTCACCCTAATGCCATTGGCTAAGACTATAGTAGTGTTAGTTCTTGGCTGACTGTACAGCTATGGCAAGTGTGCAGATAGAATAATTCTAGCTTATACAAAATGCTCGCTGATTTACCCCATAAAGTGTAGCTGTTCAGAATTAAAGGAAAACTTAAGTCCAAGAGAAAGTGTCTAAAAAGAGAAAGTGTTGCTGACAAATAAAAAAATACAATTAAAAGGCAAGATTAGATATGGTGGCTCATGCCTATTATTCCAGCACTTTGGGAGGCCAAGGCGGGCAGATCACTTGAGGCCAGGAGTTTGAGACCAGCCTGGCCAACATGATGAAACTTCATCTCTACTAAAAATACAAAAATTAGCCAGGCATGGTGATGCATGCATGACTGTAGTCCCAGCTATCCTGGAGGCTGAGGCACAAGAATCACTTGAGCTTCAGAGGCGGAGGTTGCAGTGAGCAGAGATCGTGCCACTGCACTCCAGCCTGGGTGGCAGAACCAAGACTTTGTCTCAAAAATAAAAAAACAAAAGGTAAAACCTGAATTTATGGTGGTAATATAGAAATCTTATTCCAGGACAAGGGCTCTGGTGTTTTATTCAAGTCTTGTGATATTTCTAGCTTTTGGTTAAGCAGTGACTAACAGCAGGTAAGAATTGTGAGAGAGCAACAAGTTTATCAAGAGACTTACTTCTTTAAATTCATCCTCTTATGATATATCATCTTTAAGTAATCTAGTCTGACTTTAGCTGCTTTATTAAAGTTACTGACAAAGTGCATTCATATGCCTGTTTATAACTATGCTTAGGACAGACTCTTGGTTGAACATCAAGGCCTTCAGCAATGCTGATGCCCAAGTGAGCACAGTTCCTGGAGAGAAGGCATCATATCTTAAAACAGCCATAAACTCTCACTCCAAACATCTAAAGGGCCAGCATATGACACACATTTTGGTAGCTTTTGTAATAATTAGTGATTGGATAGTAGCCTCTGTTCCCTCTCTCCCAAGCTTCTCAGTATCTTCTCCCCTCCTCAGAGCATGCTGAAAGATTTGACTGCCCACTCCTAGGACCTGGGCATCTATATTAGGTGAATTTCTTAGAGCCATTCACTGGGAAAATATTTACTAAGCATCTAATCTATGCAAGGCTCCTTCCATGATGCAGACTTATTACTGGGGAGTGTGAGGCAGGGTGGGATGCTGTTTCATCAGACCCCCGGCACCATGGGCCCCAGCTTTCCAATGACTGTAAGATAGAGAAGGCCTCATAGACATTTAGCATCTTATCTCCTGTGTACAGGACAAGCACCTCAGCCTCAGGGACCTGTTTTCCTCCTCAGCATATGTGCTAGCTCAGAGAGGGCTGCTGTGGGTTGGTTTGATGCTGTGCAGCACATGGGACCCTCTCTGAGCAGAAGTCACACTCGGTGACCTAAGAGGTGATGGGGCCTGAGTAAAGCCTCCTTCAATGTGGAAATCATCCCCTATTTAGTCTGCAGAGGCTGGCATGGTGGGCCTGGTTTTATCGGCAGAACGTGGTAACTTCCCTAGGAAAGATGGGTGGAGGCCTTTTCCTTTTCAAATAGCCATGTGTATGGCAGACACCTGAAGCTGCCTTATATAGTCAGATCCAGTCTTTAAAGAACTGGTCTTTGTTCTTCTCCTTCTTTTTTACAAACAATCCAACCCTGAGCAGCATACCTTCCCTGAGTAACAGATTCCCTGAGTAACAGGTGACCAGGGTCTATTTCTATTCTGGAGAGAAGCCTCCTCTTAAGTAACTTGCATTGTCCTTAATATGTGGTTTTCCCTGACAGCTGATCCTAGGAACCTCCCAGAGCCTTCCAGAATTCTCCCAGAATAGACAGATTTGATCAAGAAAGGCTTCTTCCCATTGACAAGGTGAGCACAGCCTCATGCCTGGGTCTTGAACCTGAACCATGCAGGCCAGATGTCCACTGCCTCTGTCTTCTCAGAGTGAGGCCTCCCTGACACACAGGATGGAGCAGGAGGTGGGGTCTTTGTTGTTTCCAGAATCCTATGGTCTTCTCTCTGCCCCTGTGGGTGAGCACTGCTCACAGCTTCACACTGACTACTTTTGCCTAGAATTCTAGGCAGTGGCCCTTTCCAGAAGACAAGGTTCCTCTCCAGGATGGCCCACAGGAAAATGGGAGGATCAGTTAGGTCTCCCTCAAAACCACCATTCCAGGCTGGACAGTATTCAAGGACCCTGTTATTTAAACATAATTTTTACAGAAGAAAGGCTGTCTACAAAATGAGTCTTCAGAAAAGCAAAATAGCAAAATTTCTTGGTAGATTTTTAGAATACTATTAAGAAAAATATTAAATTATAAAAGCATGCTAATTATATCTTACATTTAACAAAATTATAATTGTGCCTGTGTGTTATTTTGGCTAAGTCAAGTGTTAATTATTTCTTTTCAACACTAGTGTTAAGCAGCGGGGGGATATCTGAGTAGGAATTCACTTTATAAGTGATCATTTAATTAGTGACATGACAATTTGTCCTTTTTTAATGCAATTTCACTACTGTCTGGCATTAAAGATAAAGATTTTAAGAGGACTAACAATCTATATGAATCCTTTGGTGAATGCTGGTACAGCTGAAAAAAGGCAGACATGAATGGACTAGAGGGCTCCCAACATCAGAATTTCTACAGAGCCCACAGGGAGCTTCTATAATAATATCCTCTATGTTGACATCTGCTTGGGAGCCTCCACATCCTGTCCTGGCTCCCCTGCCATCTTTCCCTAAAGTAGCCTGTCCTTTGCGGTCTTTAATCTTTACCCACTTATCAGATTCCTCTCCACCTTTTCTCCTAATATGAAAGGGCATCTCTTTTCCTGGATCCACTCCCTCTCCCTAGCCTTTCCCAAGCTGGCATCATTCTAATAGGAACAGTTCCTGATGTCATTGTTGCTCTTTGACACCCAAGAACAACTCCAGAAAAGAGTCTTGCAGGGTGGATTTTCAGGGAAGGGGTTTCCTGTCATTTCACCCTCAATGTGAGTGCAGACTCACCTGGTCCTTTAAGCACAGGTCCTACTGAATCAGATATCTGCATATTTGTCTCTTGAGGGGAATATTAATACTATTCTGAGTACAACTGTATCTAAACCCTGCCAGCTGAAGAAAATTTTCCTGTTTGTCTCATCAACCAGTAGCTCCCTCTTCATGTGCAGTCCATAAAGTCCACAGGCAAAGTAGAATTTGGTTCCTCACCTCTCCACCTTGGGGCTGAACCAAGGATGTAAGAGTCACATCACTCTCTAAAGCTGCTTCCCTTGTTATCCCAAGAGAAATGGATTATCATTTCACTTGGGATTCATGAAACTATTTTGTCCTCCTCAATCTTTTAATTCTCACAAGACTGCAGAGACATAGGTGTCCATCTCTCAGTTTGATAGCTAAGAAGAGGAGACTCAAAAAAAGTGAGAGACTTCTCTGAGGCAGCGCCTCCAGCAATAGGCAATTTGGGACCTTGATCTGAGCCGAGTCCATTGTTCTCGTGCCATTGTGCCAGAGCAATGAGTGGTTGATAAGGGACACCCTCAAGAAAGAGTGGCCTGTTGTGTTCTAGGAATGACGTGTTCCTCTTCAGTGTGTAGAGAATATAGAAATTACTTTTTCAGACAGCATCTTCTGAAATGTTATCTACTCATCCAGTGGTTCTACAAATACAGGTAGAACCACCATATCATCAAGTTCTGGAGCTGACACTGACCATTTCCAACCTTCAGTCATAACTTGCATGGCTGAAATTGAAGTGTGTTTGGCATAAAATATGCTTATTCTTTTGAGTATTAAGCCTCAGTACTTAATACTATATCACATGCAATTACTTAGAAGTCAAAGTCTCCATTACACTTGTCCAAGTCATAAGAAGAAAGCTCTTTAGGGATTCCTGGAGCCCATGGAACCTGGGAAGCCTGCCACAGTGGCAATGGGGCTGAATCCACCCCTCCCTGCCTCTTTCCATTCCCTTTCCAGGCATGTTCCTTACCTGTAAACCTGCTACTTTACCTGCAGCTAGAAGTCCCATTGAATTTTTTATTTGTTTTTGTTTTTTGTGTTTTTTATTAAAAAGAACCTTGGTGGAGTCATTCTTAGGTTTCAAAATACTCCAGTCTCAAATTCACAGTCAAGGCAGTTAAGGGCAAGATAAGACAGGGATTGGGCTTTGGAATTTGCTGAGATGCAGCTTGTTTCATCTCATGGTATTTATTTTGTTTTGTTTTGTTGTATTTTGAAGCCCTATTTCTTCTAGTAAGAAGCACGCATCTAAATATGCTATGTTCCCTCTTTGGACATGGCCACTTTAGAAAATGAGCCCAGAGAAGGAAATTCTTCAACCAAAGGAAAAGGATGGAGTTAGCATTTGTTGTACTCCTGCTAGGTACCCGGCACTGGGAGAGCTCCATTTATGCCCTGTCACAGAGGGGCAGAGAGCACCCTATGAACTGGGTATTATGGTCCTATTTTAAAGATAGGAAGGTGTGCCTCAGAAGGGTGAAGTATCTTGCTCAAGCAAGGCAGCTATGAAGTGGAAGAGCTTGGATTTGAACAAAAGAGACTGGGATGGATGGAAACCTAGGCACTGTGGTTCATGGCTTAGGGAGTTAATTCTGGGCATGTGAGTCTTTATGGGGTCTCAGCATGTTACACATGGAAACGTCTTATTTTTTTTCCTTGCCCCAATGTAACAGGACAAGATTACCTGCACCATTGCCCTTTACCTGATCTCAGGCTACTGGCTCCAGGATAGTTCTCTCTACTCTACCAGAAATCCAGGTATTACTGTAGAGAATCATAGTCACCTCCTGGAAGAGCCGGGAATCTCAGCACAGGCTGCTCACAGTGTCTCTGCATAGCTCCCTGGGAGAGACTGTGTGACTCAACCGAACCATGCCCTTAGAAGCCTTGATGTGCTCTAATTGGGAGAGGTGCTCTTGCCTAGCTGAGGTGATAATTGGCCCAGGCTTGGGTAAAAGTAGGTGGCGAATCTCCCTTCCTGTTGGCTCTGGAGGCCAGGAATGGATACAGTGGGGTCATGGGCTTTTTATGAAAAGACTGCTCCTTGGTCTTTTTCAAAGCTATTTTGAGCTTTGGAAGTCCCCATAATGTCTGTGCTCTATGAAAGCACTGAGCCCTGTAGAGATCTTTAGAAGAGCTAGGAGAATTCTTAGGGAACTAAGGAAGTTCCCAGGGTTGGTAGAGAGGGCAACTCTTTCCAGCAGAAGAATTTTCTGATGGCACAGAGACAGGACCAAAGAATTAGCCCAGAGCAAAAGTGACTATGCCTGAGAACTTGGATTTTGCGTGATCTAGTCAGGAGGCCATGCTTCAGTTCCAGCTTTGCAATTAACATCCAAGTGACTTAGTACAAGTCATGCTCCTCTCTGTGGCTTGTTTTTCCCCATCATCAGTGAAAAGAAATGTGTTAAAAGCACCCCAGGTTTCCTTGATCACAGTCAACCCTCCCACTCTGCCATGTGCCAGCCCTCATCAGCCTTCCCAGGACCATAAATCTCAGAATCATTTATGCCAATTTTATGCCAGGTTTTGCTAAAAATATGTCTTTATTCTAAAGGACTGGCAATTTCAAGTTACTACCATTCCTCTTAAAATCTGCAAATATTGGAACAATTCCACCTTAATCAGATTTTACTTTTCTAAGTCATTTTATTTTGAGGCACATATTATTTAGATGACTCAGGGCTTCCACGAGCTTTTTAATTAGGATGAAGTTCTTGATTCCCAAGTGGATGTTAAGACGACCAACATCTTCCTTACAGAGCTACCTACTCCCTGATTATTAACAAAGGAAATTTTAAAGATCAGGGCATGAACTACTCCATAAGAGAAACCTCAGAGCCTATTTTCACAGTAATATTTTGGCAGTAAGCAAAGAGGGAAATGTAAACATTAAACACCATGGGGCATCGTGTTATTGAATAAAGAAATTAATTTCTACACTTCTGTAGAGGATATAGAACTTTGATTCTAAGATCAGGACTTTTCACTTTGCTATTCCTTCAAAAGCTCTTATTTACTCTTTGTTATTAGAGAAAAAATTAAAAAGCTAGCTATGGATGTTCTAAAGTAATTCCCTTGGAGGATAGATATATTGCTGCAAATGCTGGGATCATTCCTCATTATTTCTATTGTAGATCTAGGGAAGCTAAGGTTCCTTGAAGTTTGATGCCTCACAGGCACACAGGTAGGGAAGGGCTTGCTTTTCTAACTCAGCCCTGGCTTCTCTGTGTTGCACCTCAGCCTCTGGGTGCCCACCTGGAAGCCCTGCCTCTAGTCAGATGGCAAACCTCTCTGGAGGAGGGCTGTTGGCTTCTCTTCTTTCTTTCCTCATAGCCCCTAGACCAAGATGGGACTTGCAATTGGCTCCCAGGAAGAAAATCAGGCCACTTTGATTCCAGAATCATTGTCCAGTTTCCAGGTTGTGGAAACACAATCCAGATTGTAGCTTGTCCAGATTGTACTCCTAGAAGGATCCTGGGCTCTTCAACCCCATTCTCCTATTGTTCTCAGGAGAAGAAGCTGCACATCCAAGGTTTAATGTGTATCACTCTATGCTTCCTATCTCATGGCTAATCATTCTTGAGGTCACTGCTATTCCAAGGGGGCCAGTGATTCTATTAGAGAGACAGTCTGCAGTAGTCCTGTGCTCAGTGTAACATCTCTATTTTATGCTTTGTATTTGCCCCTTTCCCCTACAGACACAACTCCTTTCTCGCTCCATGCCTCCATTCTTCTTTCCCTCCCCTCTCTATCTGAATTGTGTGTCATTGTTCATCTCCTCTGGTCAAATCTCTGAGTCCATGCTGAAGACTTCACAGATGCAGACTTAGTGAGGGTCTTCATCTTTTTTATCCAAGTCAGACAAATGAACTCTGCAATAGAAACATGAGCCACTGGGGCAGGCTACCTGGAGAGACCTCGCAAACGGGCCACCTTGAGACAACCCCTGAAGCCAAGTGGTGGAGGAGCAGAGTCTCTGTTTAGGCCTGAGCCCCAGTGTATCAAAGTGCCCCCACCCACACAGAGGAACACCCTCTCTACAAGGGTTCCCTTCTTATGTTGGGTGCAGATCTCTTTCTTCCTGCCCCGAGCTCCTGATCGACAACACATCAGTCTATGAGAGCTTGCTTTATACCTATACCCCATGTGTTCCTGGGGCCTACAAGAGGAGTAAAAATGGCCCGTCTCTTCAAGCAGTCAAGGTATAGTTGAAAAAACAAGGTAAATATCCTTGGAACAACTAAAGAGTATTATCATCATCATTTATAGACTGCCCCCTCTGCACCAGAAGCCACTGTGATAAGGACTTCATATGCACGATCTCATTTAATTTTTAGAACATCCCTGGAAGGTGAACTCACTTTACAGATGATGAAACTGAGGTTTACAAGAGTACAAGTGACTTACCCACGACCACACAGCCAGTGGTCTGCAAAAATGGGCTTCAAATCCACAGTCCAACCCTGGGACCTGTGCTTTACTCATCTCACAACACAAAAGTATATGCAGTTTGCAGGTACCAAGCATCACTGCTATGCCTTGGCTCAAAACCCAGTGAAAGAATTGGAAGGAATTCTTCATTCTGTTGAAACCAAAATTTTCTTTAAAATAGAACACACATTCATTTCCTGCTTAAGAAGACAAGAAAGGGCCATCTTGATGAAATTTTCACTTATGTTCTGTGAGGGGGTGGCACTGAAAAGAGAAACCATCCTTTAACTACTTGTCTTCTAAGCGATTTCAGGAACACCATTATTTGTGGAGCTTATTTTGCTTCTGAAATTGTAGATGAAATGAGGTTACAGGGAAGAGGAGCAAATATTAAAAGTGTGTGTGTGTGTGTGTGTTTTTTACTACACTCCAAATAATGACTTTTCTCCTAAATTTTCTGCCATAGAATATGCATTTTTAAAGCCCATAATAATAAGGCAGCTTATAATTCACAGGAGTGTATCTTCATGGAGAAATCTCAGCACGTGGTGCAGATGCAGACAGCCGTGCACCTGGACATTATACACGATGCCATGATCTCCTTCATAAGTCAGTAAATGGGAAAGTCATTTATCCCTCTGTCAAATATGGGTGAATCTGAAGGCTTGAGTCGCTCTAACCTCTGGCTTCTTATGGGTGCATGCAGTCCAGGGGAAATGCTAGGTTGCAAGCAGAGGCAGGATGAACCCGTGCTGAGACTGCACGTCTGACCTAGCAGGCACCGTGGTGAGAGAAAGAGCAGACAGTCTGCCCTTTCGAGCTCTAGGCAAATCCTGCTTGTTGATACTATGAAAAGGTAAATTTGAAAACCTCTCTCTGCTTTGCAAACATGCCTTTAGAGACAGAGCATGAAAAAAACAGACCATAAAAATCCCTTTGCAGCTGATTTTCATTTAACCAAACTGAAGTGCAAATGCTTATTACAGAAAATGGCTCATAATGTGTTTGTAGTAATTTCCAGGAGAGGCCCTAACATGCCAGAACCATCCTTCTGATGGCTGCCTTAGTCTTCTGCTGGAGCCAGTGCCTTCCAGCTTGTGGGAACCAATTGTTAAATACTCTGATTGGTTTTTTGAGCCAGTTGTTAAACTGTTAGTGGCTTGAAATTGGCCACGGATGGAATTTTACACCATGGAAATCGGCAAACACTACAAATTGCAGTTTCTTTCTCCCACTCCCCACTCCTGCCCTCGCAAGAGAGCCAGTTTACTAGCATACCACTGTGCCTAATTGATATCAAATTCTGAACATCCAGCAGCAACCCAGGCTGTGCTCCCCAAAGGTCTGCAGAGACCCTTTGAAGCCTAGGGGCTGGCTACAGTGCCTGCAGACTGTGTGCAGACCCCAACTCGCTCTCTCAGTGGCTGCGGCACTCTTGGTCTTCAATATAGTTTCAAAATGGGAACTGCTTCCAAGTAATCTCAACCCGGGGTTCTCACAGAGCACTTGTCTGAGCCGTCTCAGGCCTGTGCCCTTCCCAATCTCCTGTCCTACTCTTGGCACCAACTACATTCCTTTCTGCCCCTTTCTAACTGTGTGTCAACACCATTTACAACAGTGAGAAATTGGACTGTGGGGTTTAGGGTTTCAGTCACATAATTCCATTTGTCTTGGGTTAAAATTTTAAAAGACTCCTGGGAAGCATCTTACTTACCTTCATATTAACCCTCCAAGTTAAGTTGGGCATAATCATTCCTATTTCACAGACAAGAAAACTGAGGCAGGGAGTGCTTGGATACTTTGTGCAAAATTATGAAACTAATTGATAGTGACGCACGACTATCAGGTTGAGCAAAAAGATCCATTTTAAACAATGAAGTGAATGGAGCAATTGTGTGTGTGTATATATGTGTATACGTGTGTGTGATATTCTACACATGTGAATAAGTGATATGTAGTGTGGGAAGTTATTCATAATTGCGGGAAAGCCACCAGCTCTGTGGGATAACTGTGTTGGATCAGGCCAGTGAACAGAGAACTGGCAAGCTCTGGGGATCTGGTGATCTGCAGCAATTTACAAACTACCTCTGAGCAGACATGGATCCTTACCATCTTCTTGCTGGAGTTCAGGATGAGGCTCAGATTCCTTGCCTTGCCCATAAGGCTCAAAACACCCCATCTCCAGCCAGAGCTCATGTCACTCTCACCTGCTTTGGGAGTTCCCATCTCCAGGGCTATGCTCACAGTCCTTCCCACCCACTTTCCAGCTCTACTAAATTACTCATCATTCCCAGAATTTGTTGCTTCTCCCACTTTTTGTGCTTTGCATATGTTGTTTCTTTGCCAAGAATGCTCTCTGTATTCCTGTCCTCTCCTACAGGCTGGATTAGGTCTGCCCCATGGTGCTCCCGCTGGCCCTGCATCTGGCATCACCCTTATCACCTGGCATCCTGTCCTGTCCTCTGTCTTCTATTTGTCTCCCTCACTGGCCTGTAAGTTCTTGGGCAACAGGTTTCTGTGAGTCTATCTAAAGCTGAATCACCTAGCCCAAGCTTCTCAATAAATTTATGTTGGAAGAACAAAGGGGCGGTCTTAGACAAAGGGATAATAGCTCTTATTGTAAGATCCAGCTGATTGCCATGGCAGAATGTACGCATTCAAATTAGTGTTTTTCTTCAAATGGCTACTGCACACTGAATCCAGATATATTGGCTACTAGATTCTAAGGATCTTAGAGGCAGGATATCATATTTACATCATTTCTATTTCTGGTGTCTGACACACAGGGTTCTCACCTAAATATTTGTTGGAAGAGCAAAGATAATGAATAACAAATGGAGTAATATTGTTTTCATCATCCCAGCTGCACAGCGACCTTCACCTCTGCCCCCTCCCCCCATTTCTCCATTGTTAACATGGTTAATATTCTCTGATGTGGCTTTTCTAGGAGCCATTGCTGGGACACTCTCAGTGACAGCCACTGCAGTCTCCCTTCTGCCTTGATGTGACTGACACCTCGACTTTTGCCAGCTCTCTTCAGTACCTGTGTAGTATCTTCTCCTGCATTATTACAAGGCCTTTTGCCCAACCAACACTTTCTTGTTTCTAGGTGATTATGTGTGTAGTTCCCTGAAAGGAAGAAACAATAGCCCAGTTTATAGTTGAGGAAACTGAAGTTCCAAGAGTTGCAAGGCTGAATCTAAATCACATACTGTGAGCAAGTGAGGGGGAGATATGGAAACTATATCTTATTCTTCAGCCCCTAAGCCTATCTATTCTCTTCTCATGATGCTGTCTTTGCCTTCCTGGTTACAAGACACCATAGTGGGGTACATGACATTCACTTAAAAGATACATAGATTTTTCTCTCTGTGTGTGTTTACAGTGTTCAAAGATATAAAATCGTGAAATACAAGACAGCCTATTCCTTGCTTGGAGTGTCTGTGGGTGGGTGGGTAGGTGGGGGCCACATATTTCCTGGCCTCTCACCCCCACCTCTGGCTCATCAGGGCTAAGAAGAGGCCTCACTCCCTGCTCTTCACTGACACAAGGGCTGAGCAGAGAAATTTGAATAGCAAGTTCTCTGTAAAGGGCAGGGAGAAAAAGGCCCTGCTTCTGATTAGATTTTCTCCCCAAACCAGCTTGTCACCTCTGATCTCTGCCCCTCAGCAGGCAGGGCAGCCTGAGCCAAAAGCCTTTGTGTTTGACATTCTTTTCATGTGAAAGCACCAAAGCCATGTCCTCTTCAGTCTCCAAAATGTCATGCCCCAAGAGATGGGTTGAAACTTTAAGGAAGTCTTCACTGAGAAAACGTCCCCATCCTATTGTTCTCCTTGAAAAGCAACTGCTCCGAAGCTTTCATTCTTCAGGAAATAAAAAGTAGCTTCCTAGGCTTGATCAGAAATCCTCTACATAGAAGAGCTTCTGAGGTGATCCCAGAGTGGGCTCCGTTGTTAGGCTAAGAAATCGGATCGGTTGATGAGAATGTAGACACTTGTTTTTGCTGGAAATGTAGCCTGGGTTTGCTGTCCCGGAGCAGGAGTGGCTTCTGGGTTCAGTGGACAGAATGTCTGGTACATTGGTGCCTGATGTCAGGGGAGGGGCCGTTTTTGACCCCTCCCAGACTAACCTCTTTCTATTCCTGCAGCAGCTGAAGTGGGAATATCAAGTGTTTCCCAACCTTAGTCATACACATCCACCTCCACAGTTTTTGCCTCATCTACAAATCTCCTGGTCTATTATTGACTTAGTATTTTTCTTTAGAGAAACTTATTCTTTAAACTCAGTAAAATTCATTTTAAAAGGAAACTTTATATTTCAACCACAAATGGAAAAAAATATCACTTACTATAAATCTGTAAAAGTAAATATGGTGAAATCAAAGTAATATTATTAAATTCTAGCTAGACACCGTTGCCTGCAGGAGGCTCTGAGCAGGAGGCTTGCTCAAAGCCAGAATAAGTGCAGCCAGGTTTAAAGACATATTTGCTGCCTTCTTACAGGAATCAGGAATTTACCTTGAATTGAAAATGGACTGGTTTTCTCCTTTTGAACAGGGCCAGGACTAGGGTGGGGTCAGTGAGGCTCCTGTGTGCAAAATTTAAGGAAGCACTCACCTGCAGGGCCGATCCTGTACTTTTGTACCATTCTGAGAGTGAGAGCCTCCTTAACTTTTGCGCCCCCCAGGTGTCTTCTGGCATTGCCTCAGTCCCAGCCCTCTATGATTGAGTGTCATTTATCACCATATCCCTATATTACCTAAATAAATTACCTGAGCACCAGCCATGGGAAATACCCACCTTCTGCTCAGTGTTCAACCAGAAGAGAGCCTGAGTTGGTATGCTTGTGCTGAGACAGCCCTCAGTGATGGCTAGATCCCTTCTAAGCACCCATACACCTCTCAGTTAATTATCCCACTAGCAAAGTGCACTGAGTGCTTTATCAGGTTTTCCAGGCTCTAGTTTCCAGAATGTACCATTTTACCTTTTTTGACATCAGTGTACTATTGGCTTTTGGTCAGTCTTCTGAAATTGCTCCCATATTCTGGAGCCCCCCTTTCCCCTGCTCTGCTGTTCCGGGCTGGGAGGGGGACAGTTTGCTAGGATGGCCCTGAGTGCACTGTGGCGTTTCCTGTGTGTGAAATGTCTTTCTCAGCCTGCTGCTTTCTCATTCCTCAGAGTTCTGCTCAGGCATCCTCCTTCCCTCAGGGCAGTTAGCATTCCTCTGCCTTCTCCACGATGAAGAATGACCTCTACCCTGCCCGCCGTGGTTGCCTCTCTGCAGCCTCTGACCTTCTCAGAGCCAAGAATGTGTCCTACACAGCTCAGTGTCCTCAGTGCATGTAACCAGGGCTTGATCCAGCACATGGGGTGAGGGTCACAGTTTCTAGAATTAGATAGCCCTTAGTTCTGCATGCCTGCTCCACCACAGAACTTCCCGAAGCTTTCATTTCCTTGCCTATAAAACAGAGCTAACAGTACCTCCCACCAGGCTAATGGTGAAGATTTTATGAGGTAAAGTGGGCAGGTCCCTTGACTCAGAGCCAGCCTATGACATGTTCCCATGACTGCTAGCCCTCATGGAAGGGAGCTAATTAAAAAGGTGGGTCGCCTCTTGGGGTAGGAGAGGGGAAGCAGATATCAATTTTCTATAAACAATACTTACTGTTGTCTGCCCCTTTTCCTTTTAATGGAAATTGCAATAACCACATAAGTCCAGTACTTTTAGCCCCTCCAGGAACTTTCATAGCCACAGACTTGTAGGATTAGCAGAGCAATGGAGGGACAGCAGGGGCAGATGCAGTTATGCCCATCTTACAGATGGGAAAACCAGGGAGGCAAAGTGACTTGACCAAGGTTACAGAGCTCAGGGCAGGCAGGCCTGAGACTCTTGCTGGACTTCATATTCTTTCTATTCAGTCCTTCGTCTCTAGGTAACCCTTTCATCAGGATGCCCTGCTGCTAAATGCCTCCTTCTTAGGCCAGCAATGGGCTGAATTTTGTCTTCCCCAAATTTATATGTTGAAGCCCTAAGCCCCAGTACCTCAGGATGTGATTGTATTTTGAGACAGCACCTTTGAAGAAGTAATTAAGGTAGAATGAGGCTATCACAATGGGCTCAAATCTAATATTGGTGTCTTATAAAAAGAGAAGATTAGGACAGACACAGGAAGACCATATAGGGTCACGGTGGTCTGCAAACAGCCATCTGCAAGCCAAAGAGAGAGGCTTCAGAAGAAATCAATCCTGATGACACCCTGCTCTTGGACTTGTAGCTTCCAGAGCTATGAGAAAATAAATGTTTGTGTTTAAAGCCACCCAGTCTGTGGTACTTGGTTGTGGCTGCCTAAGCAGATTAATATGGGCCATGTGTTGGAATTGAAAGACAAAAGAAAAGTGGGATATCTGGGCAAGGAGAAATATGGAAAAACTTCCCATTTCCAGAGACAATCAGTGCTTCACGATTTGGTCTCATCGCTGCTGGGACCATCTGAGGCATGTCAAAGAGGAATGCTCTGGAGGACCTCAGCAGTGATGAGGCTGGGGAAACAAAAAGAGTTTTCTTTCACTGTCGACAGTGGTTACAAGGGGCAAAAATGGGCATATGTCAGTGGGTGCAATCTGGAGCCTGCCTAACCTCTCTTGGAAGACAGAATCAGGTAGAAAGACTGGGGGATAGAAGGCCTTAGAATGAGTTCTGTTGGGGAGTTTGCATTGGATAGGTGGGGGGCCCAGTCCAATTTCAGTGACTCCTGGGTTTGAATTACAGATACTGGAAAAGTTATTTAACCTCTTCAAGACTCAGTTTCTACATCTTTGGAATATGGATGACATGTTCTCTACTAAGGCAGAAATGCGTGTTATGTCAGGAATAGAAAGGGGCTCCCCAAGTGATGGTTGCAATCATTATTATCACTTCATTTACTAACAGTTCCTCTGGTGGTGGTCTTATATTCCCAGGACACAGTAGGAGTATGGGGCTGAAGGTGGGTAAGAAGCCCCAGATATTAGAAAAATAATAATAAAATAAACCCAACAACATAGCAGAGCAGGCAGGTGGGATCCAAGGAGGACACAGGGAAAGGGAGAGAGAGAGGAATTAGCTCCCCACTAACTTGGGCCCCAGGAGGGGCAAAATGCCTGCTTTGGAAGTGGGGTTTGAGATGTCATAGCTTGAGATTGTAACAGGTCATGATCATGTTCCTTCCTCTGTCAACTGCCGGCTTCTCCAAACTGCTTTCTCCTAGATTAGAAGCAGAAAAGGTAAACTATAGTCATGTCCCCACTCAGCAGAATCCCAGAATCAAGTCAACAGTCAACCAGTAATTGGTAATGAGCTCCCGTTGTCTATAGCTCTGCACTTAGATGCTGAGGCTTGGAAGGAAAGAGAAGCTTTAGTTCCTCCCTTTACTTAGGCTAGGCTGCTAAGATGTACAGACAAGACACAAGTCAAGTAATAAGTCTAAAACATGCAGCACATAGTACATGTTTGGTTAGTGTAAGCCGTTAATTATATCACAGTTAATTGTTGGAATGTATGGGAGGCAGCAGGGCACCTAATTTTGTTTTGTTTTGTTTTAAGACAGGGTCTTGCTCTGTTGCCCAGGCTAGAGTACAGTGGTGTGATCATGGCTCACTGCAGCCTTGACCTCTCAGGCTCAATCAATTCTCCCACCTCCCAAGTAGCTGGGGGTATGGATGCATGTCACCACACCTAGCTAATTTTTGTATTTTTTGTGGAGACAGGGTTTTGCCATGTTGCCCAGGCTGGTCTCAAATTCAAGTGATCCTCCTGTTTCAGCCTCCCCAAGTGCTGGGATTACAGGCATGAACCACTGTGCCTGGTCAGCAGTAGGGCATCTTATTGTCTTAGAACACTGATTTGGGAGTCTTTGCTGCTTGCAGTTGAGTTGGAGTCTTCAGCTGCCACTTAGGTGCCCAGTGAAGACTCCATGAGCCTCAGTTTCATCTCCCATGAAATGGGTATTGTATAGGAAAAACTCTCTCCAGCCACGTTATTCCTCTAGTCTTATACCACCACAATAATCACCAACACAGAGGAAGACTTCTGGGACCAAATGCGTAGAGGTTTTTCCCCACACCCTAAGCAGTGGATGCCAGCTAGGTGTCTTCCAATTCAATTTTGACACTACCTGTAGATAGTATCAAATCCCATAGGTTGGGGCTTAGTCATCAAGAATGCCTACCACCACCCCAGATACTAGCCTTGGGTCCCTGGGCCTCTGGAACTTCTGACCCAACCCACTTCAATTTGGAGTTTCCAGAAACCCCTCTTTGGATGCCGTTAATTTGTTGGAGTGGCTCACAGAACTCAGGGAAACATGTTTACTGGTTTATTATAAAGGCTATTACCAAGGATAGAGATAAAGAAACATGTAGAGTGAGGTATGGGGAAAGGCACAGAGCTTCTATGTCCTCCCTGGGCATAGCACTTTCTAGGAACCTCGATGAGTTCAGCTGCCTGGAAGCTCTCTGAACTCTGTCCTCTTCAGTTTTTATGAAGGCTTCATTATATAAGCACGATTGATTAAGCCATTGGCCACTGGTGATCAACTTTTCAGCTCCTCTCCCCTCCCCAGAGGTTGGGGAATGGGGCTGAAAGTTCCAACCCTCTGATCCTGCCTTGGCCTTTCTGGTTACCAGCCCCACTTTGAATTTATCAGACAAAAGACACACAAAACATCGTACTTTGGAGATCTTAGAGATGTTAGGAGTTATGAGCCAGGAACCATGGATGAATATCTTGTCTGTCTGTCTGTCTGTCTGTATATCGTAAGACCACAGCTATCTTCAGGGCTTCCTCACTGGGCTGTGAAGTGTTCCCAGTGGGAGTTCTGTTCAACCACCTGGGCTGGAGAATTTCTCCCTATAGAGGACTGTCCCATGCATTGCAGGTCATTAGGCATCCCTGTGCCCTGGCCACAAAACACCCTGGCGGCCAGGTACACACACATTTTCAATGCCCCTGAAGTATTTTGGAATCATCTACTAGTGTGAAATCAAGATAAAGCATTGTATGTGCCAGAGCCTCTGGTAAACAGGTAACACAGTCAATTGAGTTAGTTTGAGAATAATTTAATAAAGAATATTTTTGAATGTGTGGACAGGGGTGAGGGAAACCACAAGAAGTAGTGCGGTGTCTCAGAGCTAGAAACAGTGAGATATTACCACCCCTGCGCTAGAAATGACAAGAGGATGATGAAAAGGTTACAGGAACCTCAAGATAGACGGGGTTCTTGAGAGGACTGTGGCCTTCAGTGGAGGGATGCAGTCAGCCCAGAGTGTACCACGGGAAGAGAGCTGGGGCCATAACACCCCAATTTCCTCTCACGTGAAATGGGTATTGTGTAGGGGAAAACTTCCTGGGATTTCTAGATGGTCAAATTCAACCAGAAGCAAGAGACAAGGGAGTTTTCTGTTGCTGGCTGGATAGGTGAGCTTCCCAGGCCCAGAGTGGTGGAGCAGGGCATAGAGTAGATCTAGAGGTACAAAGTGAAAGTTCCAACACATAGTAGGGACTCAACATATAGTAAGCTTCCTCTCCCTCTAGGCAGAACTCCTTGCAGAGATGCAGAGAAAAGGGAAGCCACAAGAACAGGAGTTTAAGAATAAGCTAAGGTGGACCTCAAGTCCCAGAAACAAGGACCAGGAGGTGCTGGAGTCTCCTCACCTCTTCCAAGTCCTCAGTCCCCTTCTCACTCCACCTGACTGTAAAAAGGTTACTGCAAGGGAAGTTCTGTGGTCTGGAAGAAAAAGCATGAGGCTTGGCTTAGGTGCTGTTTGGTGGGCTTGGTGAGAGGGAGCACATTGAGACTGTCCATAGCAGGGCAATGTCCAGCTCTGAAGACAACCTCTGTCTTTCATAGGCTGGACATGCATGAGGAGGACTACGCTGCCAACACAGGAACAGGCAAACACAGGCAGGATCTGGCTTGATCTTACCTTCCCTCCTGAGAAAACCAATTCTCATTAAGTCTGAATTGGAGAAAAAAACACAACCCTGCTATTTGAAGTTGACATCAGTAATAGCTTTAGGGGGAGTGAAAAAGTAACTGTCATGGAGAGGATTGTTAATTATAGTTTTGATCCAATCAGGAGCAGCATGAAACCAAGCTGGCTGTATCTCCCCATGGTCTCTCTCCTGTTCTGCAACTCGACATTTCTCACACTGCCCTTAGAAAACACTTAGGTTTGACTACAATTATGGCTTCCATGGGTGCACACCAGCTTTCAGCATGCTTTTTGCAGCCAGAAGACACCTATCCCCACTACAGGAACTTGTCAATGCATCTTTAACAGTATGAATCTATTAACTGTGTGGGTTTGGTATTTATGAGGAGGCAAGCCTGGCTGGCCCCTCTTCAAAGCTGGCAAAATGCCGTGGATAGATGTGAGGAGAAGAACATTTGGTACACAACAGAGGCTAAATGACAAGGAGTGGTGATAACCACTAATGGAATCACGTTAGCTAAATCATGGACTCCTGATTCACAGTATAACTATTTTGTTAGATAATAAAGAATGCCTTTACTCCCAAGAAATGGATTCTTAGAAAATTTCCATGAAGAAGCCTCTTGAGCGCTCTGCTGTGTACCACATTAGCTCCCCTAATGGGCTGGAAATGCAATATTAATGGCACAGGGAGGGAGTGCACAAATCAGACACGTGCAGAGAGTGTCTGTCTGAGGGTGGCAAAGCAGTTGGTGCTGCACCCTCTCCAGAGGCCCCCAAGTGATGGGCCTGCCTCCTGTTCCCTTGGTTTCCTAGAGCAGGGGTCTGCAAACTTGATCTGTAAAGGGTCAGATGTTTTAGGCTTTGTGGGCTATATAGTTGCGGTCACATATTTTGTTGTTCTTCTTTTTCCTTTACTTCTTTTATAATACTTCGTAAAGCATAGTTTTAGCTTGTGAGATATACAAAAATATGCCATGAGCTGGGTGTGGCCATTGGGCCAAAGTTTGTCAACATTGTCTTGGAGCTTTGGAGAGGTAGTTAGTTCATGAGTGTCTTAGTCCATTTATGCTTCTATTACAACATTTCTAAGACTGTGTAACTTGGAAATTATAGGAATTTATTTCTCACAGTTCTGGAGGCTGTGAAGTCCAAGATGAAGGTGCTGGCAGATTTGGTGTCTAGTGAGGGCTGACTTTCTTGCTTCCAAAATGATACCTTGTTACTGTGTCCTCCAGGGCGGGGGGGTGGGGGGCGGGACATGAATGTGGTGTCCTCACATGGTAGAAGAGTGGAAGGTCAAGAGGGCCCAGTTGATTCATTCTAGTCCTTTTATAAGGCATTAATCTCATTCATGAAGGCAGAGCCCTCATGGCCTAATCACTTCCTGAAGGGCCCATCATGAACACTGTTGCATTTGAGATTAAGTTTCAACATGAATTTTGGAGGGAATGCAAACATTTAGACTGTAACAATGAGCTTCCCAGAGAGGAGGGCACAGCACTGAAGGAGCCTCATTTGGAAGTCACTCAGACAGTAAACCTCCCTGAGTGCCTCTGCATGCCAAGCACTATTCTAGAGCATGCGGGATACCTCAGAGGTCAAAGTAATCAGGGATCCTTGCCCTTGTGGTTCTCACATTCTAATGGGGTGTCTTAGTCAGCTCAGGCTGCCATAACTAAGTGCCATAAACTGCGTGGCTTAAATTACTGAAATTTATTTTTGCACAATTTTGGAGGCTGAAAGTCCAAGATCAAGGGCCAGCATGGTTGGCTTCTGGTAAGGCCTCTCATCCTGGCCTGTGGATGTTTGCCTTCTTGCTGTGTCCTCACATGGACTTTCCTCAGTGCATTCACATGAGGGGAGAGAGATGGAGACATATATATATATATATACACATATATATGTATGTATATGTGTGTGTGTATATATATATATATGTCTTCTATTTATAAAGCCACTAATCCTATCAGATTAGAACTCTACCCTCATAACTTCATTTAACCTTAATTACCTCCTAAAAGCCCTATCTACAAAAACAATCACACTGGGGGTTAGGGCTTCAACATAGAAATTTGGGGCTGGCAGCACTCAGTCTATAGCATGAAGAGAGAGACAATTTTAAAAACATAATTATAAAAGAGGTGGTGATAAGTGCTAAAAGTAATGTAGGAAACAGTATGAACTGCTGGAGAAAGGCATATGGGGAACAGAGAATAGCATCCTAGGGAGAGGAAAAGCACATGCAAAGACTCTGGGTGGAAACTGAGTGTATTGAAAAATAGAAGCCTAGTATGGTTGTTCAGTGACTGGGGATGGATAGGCAATGAGCTGGAGAGGAAAGCAGGGCCCAGATCAAAGAAATCCTCCTAACAGCTGAATTTTATTTAGTATTACCATGTGAAGCCATGGGATTGTTAGTGGACTGCTGCAGAGGGGCTGAGCTACAGTGGGCAGTGGTGAAAGCAAGGAGAGCAGTTGTCTAATGAAGTAAAATAGGCAAGGGATGATGCCAGCTTGCTCCAGGGCAAAAGTGGTGGGAGGTGGTGAGAAGTGGATGAATTTGTGAAAAAATTTTGAAAGTAGAGCCATAGGCCTTGCTGATGAATGAGATTTGCAGGCAATGTTAAGGGTTAAAGATAAGTCCCCTGTATTTGGCCTGATGAACTGAATGGATAGCAGTGCCAATAACCGGGATGGAGAAGATTGGGCCAGGAGGAGATATGGGGGCAGCCATCAGAGGCCCTGTTCTGAGCTGTTGAGATGTCCATGAGACAGCCAGGTGGAGATGTCAGTTTGGCAGTTAAATATTCAGAACTCAATCTTAGGGGAAAATTCAGGCCTGGGAATGAAATGGTGGCATCATCAGTGATAGAATATATGTGAAGTTTTAGTGCAGGATGAGAACATGCAGGAAGTGAGTGCAGATAGTGAATGGGGACAAGGACCAAGTCTTTGGCCAACAGTGAGTCCAGGGAAGGGGGAGCAACAAAGGAGACAGGGGCTAGGGCCATAGGAGAAGGAAACCAAGTGACTGTGGTGACAGAAACCTGGAGAAGGCAATGTTTCAAGAGAGCCAGAGTGATCCTTGCAGCAGTTGAGTAAGATGAGGCCTGAGAACTAACCACTGGATTTAGTAGTGGGATGCAAGTGATTCATGACATTGGGGGTCTCAGTGGAATGGTAGGAACAGAGCCCAACTTTAGTGGGTTGAGGGAGGATAGGGGGAGAGGAAGTGATAACCATGGGTCTTGTCAACTCTTTTGAGAAAGGTTGCAGTGAATAGGAGCATGAGAATGGGGTAATTGCTGAACAGGGGAGTGAAGCTGTAGGGTGGGGAGTGTCAGAGTCCATTTTAAGGCACACTTATATGTGAAAAAATTGTTGACCATTCAGGACAGAGAGGGCAGTTACAGGAGCAAAGCCCACAAATGGGCAATTCTGAGGCACAAGGGACACATCTAGGACACAAGTAGCCGGGTGGGCATGGGGAGGAGGGAGGTTTCTACCAAGATAAAGTGGGAAGGCAGAGTACATGAGAGCAGATACCAGTGAGTTGGAGACAGGAATATGAGGTGGCTCCTTGATTTCCTCTCTTTTTTAAAAGGAAGGATGAGGTGAAGGTATCAGCTGAGAGGAGTTGGAAGGGAGTGTGGGTGTTTTAAATAGAGAGGAAGGTGTGAACTAATCACATGGGGAGTGAGACAGCAAATTTACTGGGGAAATATAATAGTGTTGTCTGCAGTGCTGATTACCCACTTGAGATTTGGGTTCAGCCATATAGATTGAGCCTCATTGTCACTGTTTACGTGTTCTCCAGACACTTTTATGTGAGTGCAGAATCTGGCTGAAAAGGGGACTAGAATTGCAGTAATAGTTGGAGAGAAGGAAGGAGAAAGAGCACAATCCAAGGGGGTGAAGCAGTTTTGGAAAGGAGCACTACATGCTGGACTAAGCTGAAAAAGGAAGAAATGAGGACATGACAACATGACTGACAGGAAGGAAGTGAAAGTGTCATCGGGGCAGGGGGCTGGAGGGCCCTGGAGGGGTTCAAGGGATTGTCAGTGCATTTATACTAGAGTGAATGAGAGGAGGCGATAGGAGGTGATGGTCAGGAATGGATGATTGCAAGAGAAATGTGGGGTTGGTTCAGTGGTTGGTGATGATGTATAGCCTTAGGAGTGGGGCCACGAAGTGGGAGGAGAAGAGAGATCATTGGGTTGAGAAGGGCAAGGAACTGAGATGCTATGGGTATGGAGAATCCATTCTCATGGATGTTTAAGTCTGCCAAAATGAAGACAGGAGAGGTGATGGGGAAGAAGGTGAAGTGCTTGGAGAATGGCATGGTGGGGGTGGCTTGGAAGTAGGCAGATGGCAGCAGTGTGATGGTATGCTTCAAAAGAGCTGGAGTTTGAGGATGAAAAAGACATGAAAAGGTGTGGAAGTGGCAGTGGGGATCCAGAAGTATACTTCCACACCTCCAGACCCTGACATGTAGTAAGTTAGCCTCTACTCCTAGAAGAGTTTTGCACATACTTGTGCAAAAAAAGCCCTAAGGGACCTCTAGGTTTCCCTTAGAATGTGAAGGAACTATCCAAAGCTGAGACCGAGGCTAGAGGTGAATTTGATTTGATATTCTCCAAATTCCAAAGGGCCTAGCATATGGGTTTGGAGATCAGGGAGGGATACTGGGTGGCATAAAGGGAGACACAGTGGGTAGTATGGTCTCTATCACTTGCTTCTCCCATTTTTGCCAATATTTTCCTAATGACCTGTATCTTAAAGACTTGAGAACCATCTTTTTCAGCTTTATTCTTTCAAGCACCTTTGTATGCATTCATTTAAATGTTCACTGAGAGCCTGAATTGTGCCAGGGTCTAGGCTGGGTGCTGCAGACACAGGGATGGTCACATCTGAACCATGCCCATCATAGTGGGCCCAGTCACTGTGTAAAGGCACACCAGTGGCTGTAACCCATCGTGGGGTGGGTTGCAAGTACTGTGTTCCTGACAATAGTTAAAATAATGTAATTAGCAAAATATTGACTTCAAAAAAAAAGCAAGTTCAAGGTTATCACTATGTGTCATTATATGTGTCATATATATATATCATGTGTCATTATATGTATCATATGTCATATATATATATGTCATTCCTTCTCACTTGCATACTAGAATACTTTCTAAAGTCTGGGAGAAATGGATGATTTTAGGGCCAGTCAGCTGAAATTTGAGGGACTGCCCCCCATCATCAACACAGATAGTAACAATCTGTGTTACTGACAGGCTGCAGATCCCAGGTCCACTATTTATTAGGCATTTGACCCGGGGCAAATTGCTTAACCTCCCTGAACTTCTACTTTCTCACCTGTTAGATAGCAATAATAACACTCCATGACAATGGTAGAATTGTCATGAGGCTTAGCTGATAAATAATGGCTATAAAATTCTGAGAATAGGCCTAACGCAGTACATAAGAAAGTCTTAATACATTTTAGGTTTAACTATGATTACTAATATGCTGCAGCCTACCTTCTGGATCTTGAATGTCACAGTGAGAAAGATGTTGAAAACCAACTGACGACAGGGGCGGTGCACAACAGGTGACTGGAGTTCTGATAGCTGAGCCAAATGACAATGCTGAGAAAAAGGTGTTATGGAAGTTGGGATGAGGCGGCTGTCAGGAATCACAGCTCTTGGGCCCTTCCTAAGTCAAACTTCCTAGTCAAAAAGTGACTTCCTGCCCTTTATGGACAGAGACAGCCAGGCTCATCTCAAAGGCTTCAGGAGTATAGGCTGGAATAAGAATAGGACTGGCCTCATGGGGTTGTTGTGGGCATTAAACCAGTTAATATATATAAAGCAGGTAGAACAGGGCTGGGAAAAGAATAAGGGCTAGATGTGATCCTGTTATTATTTTTCTCCTATGTTATTTATGAGCCTCTAGAATTCTTGTGTTTCATACCAAACCCTGGCAATACCACACTGACTTGTAAATCTAAGTGCCATCCTTATTTAAATAATCATAGTAATAATAAAGCCTCTAAAATTGACTGTATCTTAGAATTAGGAAGCAAATACTCACACCATGATAGGATTCTTTGTTCTAATAAATAATGGATTCATTGTAGGGGTTCTTAACCTGTGGTTTAGGAACTGCCTGAAAATTTATGTAAATGTTTATGAAAACATGCATTTGTATATTTTTCTAGGTTGAGCTTTCATCAGATTTCCTAAGAGACCCCATGTCCCCAAAATAGGTTAAGAAATGTTAAGCTCTCCCAATTAAAATAGAATT
Source organism: Homo sapiens (assembly GCF_000001405.40). NCBI lineage: Eukaryota > Metazoa > Chordata > Mammalia > Primates > Hominidae > Homo > Homo sapiens. Next base: position 140,128,223 of record NC_000003.12, read on the forward strand.
CCATTTGAAAAAAAGAAAAAGGAAAAAATAAGACCAGCTCTTGGGCGAGGGAGGAGATATCCAGTCAGGCAATTTCCACCCACTGTGGGCCTGACTGCTTTGTAGTTAATTCCATAGATAATGAAACAAAGCATTAAATATGGTTTCTGCTCTCAAAGATGTTATCAGACAGCATCCTGGCAGGAAACAGATGGCACATTCAAATTAGGTAGTATGAGGAGAGGTTAATAAAAGGATTATTTACAAAAGTGTGGGCAGGATATTATAAACTACAAGGGGTAGTGTGATAGTCTGGGGCTAGACATAGTGGAATGAAGTGATCACCCCTAGGCCTAAAGGGGAGGGAATCATTAGGAAACCTGAAAATAAACTGGGCATGGAGGCTTCCCTGATGGAAGTGTGACCTTCCTTTTGATGGAGAGGATCAGCTGCATTACAGTGATCCTACTGGGAGAGATCTGGGCGAATAAATACCCCAATTCCTCTCTCCTCTTCCTTCCGTGGCTTCAGTGTTCTCTGTTGCTGAACCCAGCCAGGAGAGGGCAGGCGAGAGAGCTCATTGATGGGGTCCATGTGGCCTCCAGGGCACAGAACTGGATGAAGAAGGGAAGGTGGATCTGGAGAGGCCAGTGGGTGCTGTCCGGTTCAGAGACCTTGGCAGCAGAAGGGGGCAGAGCTGAGTGGATAATGTGAGATTAACACATGAGGTCATCAGAGATGCAGACATGGTGCATACTTACATTCTCAGTGGGGTAGAGTCAATAGTGTTTCGACAGTTAGGAGATCAGGAGTGTGAACATTTTAGGGGATGCAAATCTTAGTAAATACAAAAACTTGTAATCCTCAGCTCCTGGAAACTGAGTGGCCATCTCAGTTTCCCCTGATGTCAGCATAGAGCTGAGCCCAGTTTAGTAAGTGTTTATCAAATTGATTTGATTCCTACCACTTTTTTTTTTAACTTTTATTTCAAACTAATTATGGGCTCCTAGGAAGCTGCAAAAGTCGCACAGAGAGTTCTGATGTACCCATACTCTTTCATGAAAATACAGATAAGACAAAGCAGGAATAATGTCTGACACATTGTAGGTACTCCTTGTCAGTAGCTTCTATTGTCCACATAGCCGCAGAAAAATTACTAGCAAGGACTCTTAGGTCAGGTGGACCTAAGTTCAAACCTAGCTTCTTTTGTTAATTAGCTGTGATGATTTGGGAATGGTTAATCAATCCTTCTTGGTCTTAGGCTTCCCATTCTTTAAATAAGGATTATAAATACCCCATAGGGAAGTGGTGTAGAATCAACAAAACATTGCATGCAAAGTGTCTAGTACACAGTATGTGCTCAATAATTGATGTTCTCATTATTAGATGGTAGGTTAAAGATAAGGACTGTATCTTTCTTCTGTCTCTGCAGCATCTAGCAACCCCTTGGTTCACCCAAGATGCTCAGTAAATTGTTGACAAATGAATGCATGTATTGGGGACTGGAACTTGAGGGAGCTAGTGTTCTTGAACTACTAATCAGGCACCAGATCAGCTGGGCCTGGTGTGTTGAAGCTTGGAGCTGCCAGGAGCCCTTTCTCTTGGAGTGCCATTCATCACCCCTGACTTCTGCATGCCGACACAGTGAGTGATGCATCGTGGAGCCCCTTGTCACATGTCGGAAGACCACTCTCCAATCCCACTCTCATGTAAATGCAACTGGAACCCCATTCATCAAGGGGACACAGCGTTGTCCTGGAAAGTAAACTGCCTGATGTACAGTGAACACAAATTCTGTCTGCAGCATACTGAACAGCTTTAGCAAAGTGCTAGTGGGATGGATACCCACTTTGTCCTGCTGACATTCAGGAGATAAAACTCCTGCATGTTGCAATGTGACAGCCTCTAACACTGGTTTCTAAACTTGGAGGAGGGCTGGGGGCAGAGTGGGAGCTTCATGGTCCTAGAGATCCGGTGAGGCTCTAGCTTCATTCTGCACCGTGTGAATTTGGAAAGTTCCATGACCTCTGTGAGTTGCCTCCTTTGCCTTGTGGGAATGGCAGTAGCAAACTCAGTGGTGGCAAAAATTACAGTGCTCAGGGAGCCCTCTGCAATCACATTGGAAAGAAGCTGTTGTAACATGCACACAGCTGTTAGCTTAAGAACATGTTATGGGAACCTTCACTGATCCTCAGAGCAGGTACTAAATGCACATTCCGGGAAACCCTCCTGGAAGTTTTGCCTGAGGAAATGGACATCATGCCTTTAGGGAAGTTTGACTGGGGGACAGTGAAGGAACATTCATGCTTTTCCTCATTAATTCTCTCAGTGAACATTTACAGTTACAAACTGTATGGCAGGGAAAGATGCAAATACAAGAGCCCCTGCTGCTTAGAGGCTCACATTCTTCTAATGGCAAAGAAAACATGAAACTAATTTAATGTGCAGCATTGAGATGAGTACTTTACTGGGAGAAGCACAGGGGACTTGGAGGAAGGATGAGGCTCCTGACCCAGCCTGAAGGGTCCTGGAGGCCTTCTCAGGGGAAGAAAGAGGTGGCTATGTTTTCCTGTGTGTATATTCCTGTGATATATTTTGCGTCTTTGTTTTCTAGAAGTCTTGACATTTGCAATTTTGTAACCCAATTCAGAGCAATGCTTGGACCCTGTGTTTAACTGGCTTCAGCACTGACAACCCTTTACACCATAGTTTCCTGTTCCTGAGCTCTTAATTTTGCTTCTCTTTGATTTCATTGGACTGAGTTTCTCCCCCTGGACCCCTTTCAATAACAGCGCCAGGAAAAACATACCAGGGCCATGTTTTCTGAGTGTTTAAAGATTGAAGATGATCCTTCAATGGCCTTCAGAAATGAAGAACTTTCTTGTCATACTTCCATTGGATCTTAACCACTTTGTCCCTCAAAACCTGATATATCTGTGTCATGGCATTTAGTGTATTAAAAAAAAAAATCCGGGCTTTATTTCTTTGGCAGCAAACCCATTTTATAATTTCTAATCTCTGCTTGGGTTCTTATGATACCATTTTAAAAATTCTTTCAAATCCAAAATTTTGAAGAAGGTTGCAAAGAATGAGTTTCTTTATGATTTTTTTTTAATGCAATGATTCTCTAAGGTCATTTTTTGGCTCAGCAAATTTCTTTTTATGCTTTGTTGCTTCTACAGAACATGCTCTGTATTCTTGCTTTCTTCTGAAATACAAATTATGCGTGTGTTGAACATTTGCAATCTTCTGTATTTATCATTTTCTCTATCATGACTTTTATATTTATGTCCCTTTCTATAGTATTCTGACAGAGGTTGTCAAGTTCGTAGTTCACATTTAGAATGAATATCCACAGCCCCTTGGTGGCAACAGGCAGACCTACTTCGGCTGATTTCTAGCCTGATTTTAACTACTTCTAGAGTGGTCTATAATTCTGCTTCTACTTGAAAATGGTAGTTGTGTGAGAGGAGGTGGGACAGTCAGGTGGCTGAATCATGAGAGGCCTCATATCCTGATAGTGATGGGGAGCTTCCCACGACTTTTCAGCAAAGCATGGCACAGACAGCTTTGTGCTTTAGGGAGCTCACTCTGGCAGCTGTGTAGAGGAGAATGGATTGGAAGAAAAGATACAGAGGGGAGAATGCTAGCACCGAGAGCGGGCTAAAACTGTCCCACAATTGACCAGTATCTTATCTGAACTGGCTGGCAGATGGGGAATTAATGTAGACACAAACAGTGACGTTTAAAACGTTGAAGACTAAATAGATCATTGCAGCCATACTTGTGTGTGATTTAAAAGCAGGTGATACAACAACCCCCAAAGTAATAAGCTTCTCTCAGAGATGAATTAGGATTCAGTCTGGCAATTACATTAAGGTTTCTGATAGATAGCTCACATGGAGAACTGCAATTATGATACATATCGCTATTCTGCATGGCAGGCTCACATAACTCATGTTGGTTTGAAGTTTAACAGGAGGAAAAAGTGTAAAAGACTCCTGACTTTAAGGGGAAATGCCTTCCTCTGATTTCTATGATTTTACTGATAGCACTTAAATAATTATTTTTTTGTGTGTTTGAAGGTGAATAATAAATACATCCATATGCACCTTCCTTCTTATTTTTTCAAGCTAATGCAAGTAACCTCACTTAGAATGCATACATCTTCCAAAAATATTTTGTAAACCAACTTAGTCTCCCCATGCAGGATAAGAAAATAAGACAATTCTCCTGCCCTACAAGATGCAAAGGAAAGAAGGGGTGAGGCAGGAGAAAGTACATGGACCACGGGCTTTAGTGGACCCAATTTTTTGTCCAGGCTCTGCCACTTTCCAGAAATGAGGAGTTGTTTAGTATGTCTTGGGGTCAGTTTTCTGCCTGAAAGTTGAATGTAGTAGAGGTGTCATGAGGATTAAATGAGATGACATGTGAAAGTCTAGCACAAAATAGGTGCTCTAGGGAAGTGAATTCTTTTAAAACAGTTTTATACTTCTTAAAGTTTAAATACATCGTTAGTAGCAAAGGGAATGCAAAACAGTTCTTGCAAAAGCAACTCAACTAATATCCACAGCTAGTGAATAATCACTTCCTTGTAATTACATCTGTGTTCTTGTGAAAAGAGCAAAATTTACCCCTTACTCCATCCCAGGGATTTGTTTTGTCTAAGATATTGTATTGAAATATGTTTTCAATGTCTTTGGAAAATGTCTTCATTTTAAAGGATTTTTAAATGGAGATGGGGATATGCTCATAGAATGTTTGCTAAAAATATTTCTATAAAGGAATACCCAAGACTGGATAATTTATTTTTTTTAAAAAAGAGGTTTATTTGCCTCGTTGTTCAGCAGGCTACACAAGCATGGCACCAGCATCTGTTCAGCTTCTGCAGAGGCCTCAGAAAGCTTTTGCTCATAGCAGAAGTCGAAGTGGGTGTAGACATGTCACATGGTGGGAAAGGGACCAAGAGAGAGGGAGGGGTGCCAGGCTCCTTTAAACAACCAGCTTTCTTGTAAACTAACAGAGCTAGAACTCACTCATTACCATGTAGAGGGGACCAAGCCATTCGTGAGGGATCCGCCTCCATGACCCAAACACCTCCCATCAGGTCCCCACCTCCAACATTGGGGATCACATTTCAACATGAGATTTGGAGAGGATAAATATCCAAACCATATCAGCATCTCCTTATTGACTTTGAAACTACACAGAGGCCTGATTTTGCAGTAGAATTACAGTAAGTTTCTCCATGCTCAGGTTACTTGTGTTTGTACCTAAGGTGTCTCCAGAGAAACCTGGAAGCAGTTGGCACTTAGTAAATCCATAACCAGGGACTGGGTGGAAGCATGCAAGATAGTTTTGGGAAGGCCCAGGTTCCTCCCACAACATCTGAAGGTCAACTCCTGAATAATTGCAGAGGTGGGGGGGCCAGGAGGCTGCCCTCGTTGCCAGATTTAAGAGCATTCACAGGTAGTGTTGTTGGGAGGTCAACCGCATTACATAGTACTGGAATAGCTTGGGAGGCAGGACTAAAGATACTTCATGCAAGGTACTCAATGCAGTGCAGCAAAACCAAAAATATTTTGTAAACCAACTTAGTCTCCCCATGCAGGTTAAGAAACCAAAACAGTTCTCCTGCCCTGAGCAGTAGCCTGAGCATGGAGAAACTTGCTGTAATTCTACTGCAGAATCAGGCCTCTGTGTAGTTTCAATGTTACTATTCTCTATGGAAATAAGAGAGTAGTAACTGTCTTCCTTACCTAAATAGCCACAGCCTGTCTTGTGGGCAATAGTCACATCTGGCTGCAGTTTGGACCTTGAGAAGTCAGAGCTTGGATGGAATATCTCCTCCCTCCCATCCATGATCCTTGGGAAACTGTTTGTACTTAGAGTCCAGTGAGTGACTGACTTGAAATTAGAGCTAATTCTCACCTGGCTTGGAGTCCCAATTCCATCGTTTACTTGTGGGATCTCCTCTAAATCTGTTTCCTCATTTATCAATTTATCATATAGTTGTAAGCACTGAAGATGCCTTTATCCCTCCTCTCCCCCTATGTGCTCATTCTCTAAGCTGAATATTTTCCTTCTGGACATAGAAGAAATCTTTCCACTGCAGTTAGAACTCTCTGCTGCCAGAGTCTGTCTATCCCTTGCTTGTCTGATTCTCTGCTCTCCAGGTGACATCAGACAGAACAACTCCTCTCTACACATTAGGACTAATCTCCAACCCCCACCCCACCCATCTGGCCTCCTGGGAAGAGCAACCATGCGTGGGGCTCATAAGGCCCTCCAAGCAGTCTACAGAACTAAATTAAGATGTTACCCATAAAATAATGTTTCCATAGAAACTCAGCCCGTGCCAAAGCTGAAAAATTTTGGGTTTTAATCTGGCCTCTTTGGACATAGGGAGTTACCACATGGTTATCAGCTTAGGAGAGGATAACTTGATATTTTCTGAGTGTCCAATTTACAGATTTCTCTCAACACAGCATAGAGGCCACCAGGCAATACACTGTACAACGGCGATCATCAGTGTGAAGCTGGGCTGGGGGAAGGAGAGGGTGGAGGGAGCAGCTGTCACTTAGTGCCTAAGATGCATGAGCTGTCATTCCACTAATCCATCGGGGAACATCATATTCATCAAGAGCTTCAAAATACATGCAACTACCCCCTAAATGATGGCTTGTGAAGAATTACCTAAGCTGGCTTGTTAAAAGAAGGTTGGAAAGGTGACTATATGAACATTTTAGAATATAGAGCACATGGAATTCCTTGCCCCAGGATATTGTTCACTTTGCAAACAAAAATATCTTCAAACAAGATTTACCTAGTGTTTTCAAGAGGATGTTTCACATAACAATAGTCCAGGGTGATGCCTCTCAAAAAAACACACACACACACACACACACACACACACATATATATATATATATATATATATATATATATATATATATATATAAAATATGCTGGGTATTACAGTCATCCTATGGAATTATACAATACACATTTGCATATCAAAGACTTTCATATCTTAGTAAAGATACCTGTTTAATTTTGTTTCCTTCTGTGTTTCCCAAATGTATTGATTCTGGAATTCTTTTGATGTCCCAAATAACACCCTCTCCCTCTGTTGTGGTTGACACTTTGGGAAGCTCTGGCAAGTTTCTATCACACTTTTTCTCAGTGTAATCCTTGTGATTATCTCCAGCAGTAGAATCTTGAGCTAAATGGAGAATAAAGTTGATTCAATATGTCATTTCTGTTGTGTTTATATTCTCGTAGTCTCTACAAACAAACTAGTTTGGATAGAAGAAATCCATGAGCAACTAAACTTCTAGGAATGTCAAGGAAAAGCTGCTGAAGGAGGAAACTGAGAACGGATATTACAGAGCCATTTGGACAGCTCATGGCAGTCTGCCTTTCATATGCTGAGAGAGGATCTATAGTGGAGCACACAATAACACGAGGAACAATAGCATTGGCTCTTTGAGAAATAGGGACACTAGTCTGGTGGAAACATTTTGTAAACTGAGATCGGAGTATATGGCTCAACTATAATTTTTTTGCAGGGTACCTTTGTTATGAGAGTCTTTTCCTGTCCAGATCCCCTCCATTTTAGGAATCTGGCTTAAACTCTAATCTCTAAAATCTTGTAACCCCAAACTAAGTTATATTTCTGCTGTTTGTCTCGAGAGCATTGGTGAATGCAGATATATGCTTAGGAGATTTAGATCTCTATCTTGGAGCATTAATATGAGTAAGTCATTATTTATCTTGGACTTAAGAAGATTTGAAGATTTCAGATCCAGAAAGGCAGAGTGAGGGTCACTTTCATTCTTAATGAGCAGTTCCTTCAGAGCTTATTAAATAGAGTGAGGCTGATTATGCCTATCAGCCACAGCTGCCCTGAAATGATTTGGATGGATAGCAGTGCTCTAATAATTGAAAATATCTATCACCCTTGGTCATTGTTCCCCTAGAGGATCTTGGATTCCTATTGATGAGCATAGGCAAATCTCCCCCTTAATTCTTGCGATATTTGTAGCTGGCACTAATGTGGTTTTGTAGTTAGAGGATAGGCTGTAAAATTAGGCAAACTTAACTCCACCTCTTAATAGCTGTGTCCTAGAGAAAGTTACTTAAGCTTTCTGAACTTTAAGAGCTATATCTGTAAAATGGACACAATGGTATTTCTCTTGTAGGAATTGTCCTACGGATTAAGATGAAAATTAGTATTGTGCTTTGTCAATGAGAGCTGTGACATTCAATATACAGTCACTATTTTTGTTGCTACTATTTTTATTATGCGGTCTGTGGTAATGTTCCCTGATTTTAATCCAGGTGGATACTTGACCCAAAGTGTTTCAAAGAACACAGGTTTTGGGTCAAAGGTACTTGAGCTGGAATCTTGATGCTGTTTTTATTAACCATCCATGTGACTTCAGAAGAATCACTGGCATCTCTAAGCTTTAGCTTCTTCACCTGTAAAAGATGGTGACTCTCAATTGCCTTGCAGAGTTGTTGTGAGAATTGGATGGGAAAACCCAATGAACCCTGAGCATTGTCCTGGCAGGGAGCAGGAGATCAATGAATGGCAGCTCCTCTTGGCTGTGAGGAGGGGGTGATGTGGATGGATGGGGAAAGAATAGCTGAGTTTAACCTCAGGTATGACTGTGGAGAATGGGTGGCAGAGAATACAGCAGGTCACTGAAGAGATGGCTGAAGTCAGTTTATAAATGAAATGGCTATAACATGTGGGACTATTTGATACTGTATGGTTATTTTATCACAATTGTAGCCTGCTGCCTCTAGATTATATTGGAGGTTGAAGCTATATTTATTCAACAAGTATTTATTAACTACTAACCATGTGCTAGGACCTGGGCTTGGTACTGGAGTTGCCAATTGATTTATTATGAAGAGAGAACCATTGGTGAGGGATACTCCTGTTATCAGGAACAAAGAGAATTCTATCTTTCTCCTGCCCCAGCCCCAGAAGGGCTCAGGATCCCAATGATACAAAATCGCTGAAGCTGGGGGCTGGGGACTTTTGCAAATATCAAATTGCTGGAGTTACAAATATAGGATTCTTTTGATATAATATACATTCCTCACACATGCTGTTTCTTGCCTGGAAAGTTCTTGCCAACCCGCATCATTCTTATACATCCTGAGCATAGATCAAGGATCACCTCCTCCATGAAGCCTTCTTGGACCACAAACTAGACTAGGTTCCTGTCCTCTGCAACCCATAGTTCTCGCTCTGTGCTTATTTCCCACTAGATTAGCACATATCACTTCGTGTCCTCTAGTCATGAATGTCTTCATCCTAGACCCCAAGCTCTTGATGGCAAAGACTGTGTCTAGCCCAGGGATTGTCATGTGTTAGGGGTAGTAATGACGAGATTTGAATGTGTTTGGCATTGCATACTTACAAATCACAAAGAAACGCAATAATAGTAACTGTTCTTATGACTATGCTAATATTTACATAATGCTTTGCCGTTTACAAAGCACTGTCTCAGCCTTTCCTCACTTAATTCTCGCCCAGCCCCATGAGGCAGACAACATCGGTAGAGCAGAGACTGCTTCCCTATTCCTCTGTCTTTCAGATGAGGAAGACATGTCAGAATGATTGTGTGAGTTGTGCAGGGTTAAGCAGCATCAGGGTTTGAATTTAAACCCAGGTCCATGTGATTCCAAACGCTTTCGCCTTCCCTATTACAATAGGACTTTTGTGGGCTTGCTTGCTGTTTTAACAGAAGTCTTAAGGAAAGAGTAACATGCACAGAACCATACGACATACACATATTCACGTGCAGAACCATAGTGGTCAGTGCAGCATGGAAGGGTCTTTAGTAAGGAGTCTCCTTTCCCTAAATTACACTTACCCTTGCTTAAAGGTAAATGTCATTTGAGACGTGACATCTCTCCACAAGACCAAAAAGCTAACAGTACAATAGAGTTTGAGCTGTGAATATTAAAAGTACCCCAAATGACAGCAGATTTCTCCTGTGGCTCATGTGCTCAGAAGAAGGACCAAGTACCTTGCAGAAAGAGACAGGGACAGCTTAAAAAGGGGGGGAAGAACAACTTTGCTGCCCTCACAGCTCTGCTGTCCATGGATCTTTTTCTGTGTCTGTTTACCTTCTGCTTTTTACCTGCTGAACCAGGGCCAGCAAAGTAGGAGCTCCATCCAGCCACCAGGCCAGTGCTTAGGGAAAAGCATCCTTCCTGGGTTGGAGTCCACCTGAGGTAAGTGCATATTCCAGGGGTCTGGAGGTAGCACAGTTGGCAAGGAGTTTAATAATGGGGCTGTGGAAAGCCAGGTAGATGTGGGAACTGCAGCCTGACCTCAAATCTGAAGGACAAACTCATCAAGAATTAGAAGACATGTCAACATCTTATCTTGGAGTTTTGTGGCCCCGGAAAGCACATGGACACTCCCTTACTGGGTTTTGCTTTGAGCTATTTTTCATGCCTGAGTTACCCCCTACTCTCACCAAAGTCAATACGACCTCTGAGGTTCTCCTCTGCTCCTGGTTGAGCCAGGCCTTCTAGAAAAGAGGGAGAAATGTACAAAGTGAGTGGTAGAAGATGAGCCCCTTTCTAGTGTTGAGCTATTTTGTTGTGATGTCTCCAAATCAAGCTCCATTTTTAAGAGGCAGTGTCGGCATTTTCTCACATTCTTTCTCCAAGAAAGGCAGTGAAGTGCAGTGGAAAGAATATGGTATTTAGAACAGAGAAAGATCCAGGTCCAACTCCAGCTTCGTAATTTACTATCAATGTGATATTGAGCAAATTAATTATTTCTGTCACCTGGACTTTGTTTTTTATAAAAATGTGAGCAATTGCACCTCTCTGGCAGCATGATTGCTAAAAATGAGGGATGATGTCAAGTGCCTAGCACATGGTAGGTGCACAGTATTTGGCGGCATTCTAGGCAGAAGGGAGAGAGAGCATGTTGCAGTAGAGTGAACTTGCATTGTAGAGAACCAGGGCCAGGGATCCAGTCTCAGCTCAGTTCCTGGCCTCCTAAGCTACTAAGCATCTCTTGGCATCTCAGATGGCAATCTTTTTAATTCACAAAATTGAAATCATAATATTTTCCCTTCCTTTCTCTGAAGGTTTTGATGAAGTCTAAGTGACTGAGCTAATGAGCCAGCTTCACACCTCTGCAATGAGAATGGCTGGGGCTGGGCTGTCCTGCCTGCCTGAGGGTCCACCGCATTGCAGGTGAATCCACATGGTTCAATAGTTCACAGCCTTGGGCTGCATATTGGAATCATCTGAGGAGCTTTAAAAACTCTTCCTTCCTGCATCTCACCTCTGCAGAGGTGCTGATGTCATCTGAGGTGCAACCTAGGCGTCTGGATTTTTCAAAGCTCCCCAGCTGGTTCCAATGTGCAGCCAGGGTGAAAACCGCTGCTTCAGGGGCAAGCAGAGCTAAAGAAATATATGCGGCAGCCCATATTTAATTCGATCCGACTCTACCAGTGTATATTGAATGCCTGCTTTTAAGATGAGTTCATTACTCTGTGTAACAGCAACCACTCACATTCTTATTGGACTAGATTGAATCAGATGTGTTTTTGGCTTATACTTAAGTCAGTGAACTACACTTCTTTGTCCAGTGATGTGTCCCAAATGATCTTGGTTATATCACGACTTGCCTGGACACTGGACACTTCTTCAGTTCTATATCTGAAACCCAGTGCAGATGAAGGTCATTTCTTTGTCTCTGAATTTGGAAAGAGGGAACAGTGGCATGTACTTAGAGCCTACAGAGGGGTCTCAAACTTTAGATGCATCAACATCATTCAGAGGCCTTGTTAAAATGCAGGTTTTCTGGGCACCAGCCTCAGGTTTTTTGACTCAGTGTGTTTGAGGAAAGGCAGATAATGTGCATTTGTAGCAAGTTTCCAGGTGATGCTGATGCTGATGCTGATGGTCCAGGGGCCACCGTTTGAGAACCTCTGTCTAGGCAGCCTACATCCTTTTATTGTTGTGTTAGCTTATTTGCATTGCTATGAAGGAATGCCTGAGGTTGGGTAGTTTATAAAGAAAGGGGTTTATTTTGGCTCACAGTTCTGCAAGCCGTACAAGAAGCATGGCACCTGACTTTTGCTTCTGACGAGGCCTCAGGAAGCTTACTAACATGGTGGAAGGCAAAGGAAGAGCAGGTGGCATCACATGATGAGAGAGAGAGAGAGAGGAGGAAGTACAAAGCTCCTTTAAACAACCAGCTCTCCTGTGGACTAACAGTGAGAACTCACTTGTTAACAAGGGGAAGGCACGAACCCCTGCATGAGACAGCCACTCCCATGACCCAAACACCTCCTACTAGGCCCCACCTCCAACATTGGGAATCACATTTCAACACGAGACCTGGAGGGGACAAATATCCAAACCATTTCAATTATTTACCTCTAATCTCCAAAAACTACTTGAGTAGGTGCAACTGTCTCCATCTCAGGAAGATCAGATTGATAAATAGTTTGTTGTTTTATTTTCCTCTTCTGCAAAGTAACTTGATGAGGGACACACCTTTAAAGTGGCAAAGTCAGGATTGAACTCAGGACTGCCTAACTCTAAAATCTTCCCCTTTCTATATAGCACTCTGCCTCCAGGTTGGATTGGATTGAATTCCTGCTATATTCCCAGCCATGTTCCAGGCAGACTGAGTGACAAGCGACCCCTCCTTAACTTACATAAAATATTTTTTATGGCCTCCGTCAGGGAAGACAAAAAAAATTCTAGTTATCTACCACAGCAATAGCAATAGGGACTGATCAAGGGCCCAAAGGCTCCTGACATAAGACACCTTCTGTGGAGTCAGTCAGGGTGGAGAAAGCTGTGGGCTGCAGAGGTTAGGAAAGCCTTCTTAGATGAAGTCGGTCTTGAAGGACATAATGAAAGCAGAGAAAGAGGTATTCTATGTTCTACCCCTGCCTCAGTCATGGTTTTTGTCACAGGATGAGTCTGAGAGGAGGTGGGGATCTCTGCTTCTGTTTAATGCCCAGTCCCTGGACCTGGACTTTGTCCTAAATCCTGCCTCATGACTACTGGGATGTATACACTGATTCTGAAGGTCCCACCTGGCCTGGTACAGTCCTGTTCTGCCTCTTGCTTTGACCAGATGGAAACTGCTTGCCATCAGCAGAAGTGGGTGGTATCAGGACCATGCTGGCACTACTCGGAAGAAGGCACAGGCAGGAGTGACAGAGATAGACAGGGGCTGTTTTAGAGGAAGGATGGCAATGGCTGTGTATTCTAGGAAGTTATTATTGTTGAGTTTTTGGAAAGCCAGCCTGTCTTAGGAGAATAATGGCAATAATAGCAAGCCAGACAACCCCTTGGCCTGGCCAGTACAGGGAACAGCTGCTAACAACAAAATCTGCCACTGATCTCCTAAGGGTGGTCACCTGGTTAGTGTCCATGCCTAGCACCGGCAGCCAAGCTAGTCAGTTCCAGCATCTTATGCTGCCCGGGAACCCAGCCTCTAGCCCTCCTCAGACCTGGCACATGCACGCCACATAGCATAACTCTGTGCATAGTGGATGGGGCTGGTGCCCATGGTCTTTGCCTTGTGCTTACCACCTGAGGATGAGAAGCCAGCGTTTATGCTCCACCAAGCTCCCTGCCACAGAGGGCTTTTGCTTCACTCCCTGGAGGGAGTTTCATTGTTTCAGAAGCTGCGCTTACCCCAGAAGGGGTCTTGTCCTGAGTAGTTTCCCAAACTTGTCTCGTCCAATTAATAAAGAAAACAAAAAATAAGCAAAAAAATGGAACTGTTCAACTGGGATAAAATGAAGCAGCAACTCCAGGACTTGAGGATTTGAACAACCTCACAGCATTCTTCCTGGCCTCAGTTGCCTCATTTGTCAGAGTCATATATTCATTTGCGATTTGTATAAGGAGACAAGTGGGCTAGGAGGTACACATTCTTCATTAAACTTTGGCGTTCAGATGTGTGTTTGCGAAGTCCCAACTTGGCTCATGTTGCTTCCTTCGTATTGATGCTGAGGGCAGGGCTCGTGGTTTCATTGTTAATTTCATCAGGACTAATGGAGGTATCTGCTTGAAACAAGGGATGTCCAAGGGAGGAAGCATCTGAGTGCAGAAAGGCCACTCATAGAGGGACCCTTACCCTGAGATGAGGCTCAGAGGACTGTGGGACTGTTCAGGCCCACACTGGGGCAGGCCTCTCAGTGAGAAGGCTTCGCACCACAGCTGTGAGGGGGTAGATTGTCCATGGCAAATGCTGAGAAGTTAGGCAGAGCTGGGCCGCCCTATCCAAACCCACACCAGGTGCCAGAACACTCTTGGGTTGCATCTCCATAAATTATAGCAAAGGTCATTTGTGACTAAGTTCTGCACCTGGATTTCTGTGTTGGTTTTTCTTCTTATTTTCACATTTCTTTTCATGTGACAAGAATTATTGTCATTCTGCCTTTATCTGGAAATTCCTGCTCAAATAATGACCAGTCGGTGCTGTTGGGTCCTTTCGTGACCTGGAGAGAAACCCAGAGAAGAAGGAGGTGGCATTTTGACCTTGGTTTAGCCCATTGTGATCTAAAGTGATAAGCACCTAATTTCCTTGGACTTCAGTTTGCCCAGCTGTAAAATTAGAATAACAGCACCTGTCCTGTCCACCCCACAGGAAGTCAGAGGTGATGACCCATTTGAAAGTGCACTGGGATTTTGTAGACAATTTTAAACTCTACAAGCCTGAGTAGCAGATCAACTTGGACTTGAAGCACCTCTACTACTTACTAACATTATGTCCACTGAGTTCTCAGAGCCATATTTTTTCATCTGTTTGATGGGGATAATAATACCCTCATCACGACAGGGTTGTTGGCTGCTATGAATTCCAATAATGTGTCTGCAGCATCTAACACAGTGCCTGGCATATAGAATAAAAACCTGAGATGGCAGCTGCTGTTATAATGATTATAATCATAATGACAATCATCGTCATGTATCTGAGTATAAGTATTTCTGCCAGGCAGACCTGTTTTTGTGTGCATGTGTGTGTGGTGTGAAGAGAGAAGTTCCGCAATCTCACAACATGCCATCTGCAAGCTGGAGAACCAGGAAAGCTAGTGGTATAATTCATCTGAGTCTGAAGGCCTGAGAACGAGGGGTCCGGGGTCTAAGGGCAGGAGAAGATGGATATCCCACCTCAGACAGACAGCAAATTAACTCTCCTTCTGCCTTTTTGTTCTTTTCAGGCTCTCAATGGATGGAAAATGCCTGTCCACATTGTTGAGAGCAGATTTTCTTTATTCAGTATACTGATTCAAATTGCTAATTTCCTCCAGAAACACCCTCACAGATACACCCAGAAATAATGGTTTACGAGCTATCTGTACATCCCTGAGCCCAGCAAAGCTGACACATAAAATTAACCACCACCAGATTCTCTCTGTTGTGGAGGGATGTTTCTTTTGGCTGGGTGTGCCCAGTCCCACCTACATGTGCCAGTCAGGAAGCCTGCCTAATCAGTTGTGTAGGAACTTAGGATGCTCTGATAGCAAACTTCCAACCCTCCTTTGCCTGAAGTCTTTGAAAGAAGTGTGAAGAAAGACATGTTATGATTCTCACTTTCCTAACCAGGGAAGGCGTGTGGAGGGTGCTGTGCTAATTAGCATGCTGTCTCACTCACAAAGTGCCTTTGTGCTGTCTGTCAGCTTCCGCTCTGTAGATACTAAACACTGTTAAGGCAAATGATATCATGACTGACAACTTAATAGATGTCTTTTGGAGTTGAATGTGCTCCCCAGTGCTCTAGACGGATAAAATTAACAGAAGCCTTCAAGATCATCATTTCCAGGCTGAGGTTTGTGAGAGAGATGCGCTAGCAAGAGCCTCCCAAATCACATGAAAAGCATCAAACTCAGTCAAGTTGAAGATTAGGGAATTGGATGTTTGTCAACAGGAATTGCTAAAGAACTGACTTCCACAGTTATTTCTGATGACAGGTAAAAATTCTGAGGGGTGGAGACAAATATGACTCCTGTTAATGTAAATGGACCTCCAAATGAGGATTGATGTTAAAAGTAGTCCCCCTAGAAGATTGCAGACTTATTCTGATTACATTAAAAGTACTTAAAATGGGCCGGGTGTGGTGGCTTACACCTGTAATCCCAGCACTTTGGGAGGCCAAGGCGGGTGGATCGCCTGAGGTCAGGAGTTCAAGACCAGCCTGGCCAACATGCTGAAACCCCATCTCTACTAAAAAATACAAAATACAAAAATTAGCCGGGCATGGTGGTGGGTGCCTATAATCCCAGCTACTCAGAGGCTGAGGCAGAGAGAATTGCTTGAACCCAGGAGGCGTAGGTTGCAGTGAGCCAAGATCGCGCCACTGCACTCCAGCCTGGGCATCAGAGCGAGACTTCATCTCCAAAAAAAAAAGTACTTAAAATGCTTCCACCCATCTCTTTTTTCCTAAATATTGCTTTCAGGGCCCATAAAACCAAAAGAGCAGATTAGGCTCAAAGTGCTATTTGTACTGGAAGTTAGTGATACTGGGCTCCTCTTCACACCCCAGTCCGTGCCACCTGGCATCTGGAATCCAGGTCACACTGAACTACTTCTATTCACCCAACAGGCTGCACATTCTTCACCTCTGGGCCTTTGCATGTGACTTTTCTCCTGTCTGAAACAACTTCCCTTTCTCTGGGGCCTGGATGCCTCCTTGTGAAGAGTTATTTCAACTCATATCTTTTGTGAAAGAGGCTCTCACCTCTGATTTCCCCCAGAGGACCATTTCCTATCCTCACGCCCCTGTGGGCCCTTATGTACTCATTGGTAGTTTTACCACCTTGGAATAGTTTGATTAACGGATTATTCCCCATACTGTGATTTCTTTTAAATCAGAGGACATGTCTTAACAAAATCCTCTGTAAATGGCCTTTTAGCACAACACCTGACCTATGGTGTCACTGTGGTAAATATTTATCCAATGACTACAGATAGCTGTAGATAGGAAAGATGGGTGAGTGGCTAGAGCTCAGGCTATGTCTTCAGAGAGTTCTGATTTCAAACTCCTTCTCTGGCCCATAGGAGTGAAGGAGCCCCAGGGAAATCCATAACATCTTTGAGCCTGGTATAGCCTGATCTGTATAAAGAAGAACATGATTCCTAGAGGCATAAAGTTTCTGGGGGAAATGAATGACACAGGTCAAGCACTCCGCCCGGCACACATGGGCACTGTAGAGCAGTTGCTGAAAGGTCCATAGCTTCTGAAGGAAGTTATTGAGAGAAGTTCTCCAAACAGTTTCAGCAAGGCTGAATCATTGGAATAAGAAGATTCCCAAGGGATTACTTAGAAGAAATTTCTCTTGACCATCTCGGCAGACACTGGTGTGTGGTGGGAAATTAAGCTTTGCTTTCTACTAGCCAAGGCTTGTTGTGCTTAAGCAGCACCTCTGCCCAGGGCTGCTCCTGCACCCTGACCGAGACCCCTGGTGGCAAATTGTAACATATTTCCAGCTTTTTCTGCATGCTCTCCTCAGCCTTCTGCAATTTAACAAGTTCCAGGCAAGATTCCAATGCCTCTTCCAAGCACAGGAGGGTTTCTTGGGTTCAAAAAATATTCTTGGAGCCAGCAGAGTGATCTTTCCAACACATCCCACCCATGTGGGACAGATGGCATTATAGAACATTGTGTCTGATGAAAATCATTGTCTATGAGTGAGACTGCCTGGCCTCTGTGATGGCCTGCCATTTCAAAAACACTTTTCCACAAGAAGCCTACCTTGTTTCTGGGAGTTAGTTGGATGGACTTGGACATGGGGTCATAAAATGCTTGGAGCCACAGTGAAGACTCCGGGAAAACCTTTCCCAAGACATCCTGAGCCCACCTGTCACCCTCTGGTGAGGTATAATTTCCTATGGCCCTGCTCGTTTAGAAAGCCTGGTGTAAAAAATGTGTATGAAGGAGCACAGAATTCATTACAGTAGTGAAAATAAATAAAACTGGAAAAAAGTGGAATTTAATAAGTTCAACTAAGCATATAATAACTTATAATAGCTGGGAGGCCCAAAAGTTGCTGAACACACAATAAGGGAGGAGGAATTTAACTGTAGTTAAAATGCAGTGTGCAACACAGGTTGTTTTTCTTAGGAAAAGGATATTGTAGAACTAGCAAAAGCTCAGCAAAGCATTGTTGGTTGGTTGCTGAAAAGCAGGCTAGGTAGCTCAGACAAAGCAAAAGAGAGAATGGGAAGTGAGATGAAAGGGTTTTGTGGAGGAGTCTGTACTGTAGAAACAAATGGGAAGTCCTTCTGTCCTCAAAGCCTACTCGAGGATTTGCTAAATAAAGCAGGTAGGTAATTCAGAGGAAGCTCATCTTGGGTGCAAGAAAAATTTGAAAGAAGTTGTATTGCACTTAAAAAGTGATAAAAATGATCTAGTACATACTAGCAACACAAAGAAGAAAAGATCTTAGTCCAAAAGAGTAATGGTGCTGGGAATAAAAGTTTTCATGTGCCTAGGATGGCCAAGTGCAGGAGACATTTCTGGTCATTTGGGATATTCATGTCAGTCCAGAACCAGAGACTTTAGTCACCATGCCACCATCCCCTCCTTCCTCCTGCACCACCTCCTCTAATCCCTCCAGCAACAGGGTTGCCTGGGAACACAGCCCTGTTTACAGGATAAGTTTCCAGTCATCCATGCATTTATTCTTCAACCCTTATTTAGTATCTATTCAGCACTAAGCTCTGTTTCAAACACTGGATATACAGAGACAATACAACCAGCTGGCACCATGAAAGGAACATGTTGACTGTCAATCTGTTGAACAAATTAATGATTGAATGAGTGAATGAATAAATGGATGGATGAATGGATGAGTGAATGGATGTAGACACTCCCCTTCCCTAGCAGAGGTCACAGTCCAATAGATAGTAACAAGGAAATACAAGACTACTTCCGTGCATTTAGGTAAATGTCTGTACAGAACCCAGTGGGTCCTCTGAGGTGTGGACTACTCACCCTAGGAAATCAGGAAGAGCATCCCAGTGGAGACTGGAAGAACCCCTGAGGTTGAGGCTTCAAAGATGACCTTCTTGCTTTATGCCCACCTTGTTTCTTTTCTCTAGCTTCAAATGCAGGCCCCATCCTTGAAGGAGCCTTGCTTTCGGGAATGTCAGCTTCTCTGTTAAATCCTTAGCTCAACTGCTTACACAGTTTTCCATAGTGCCAGCCCTGGCATCTGTCCCCTATGATTGACCCACACTCCTATGGACATGACAGGGTTTCCTGCAACATGGCAAGTAGGTGTCTTGATTAAACTACCTATTTGTAGCATGGGGCAGAGAGGAGAGTGAGGATTGCTCAGTGGTTTTGAGGGCAGCTGAAAAAAAATGATTTTCATTGAACAATGAATATTAATTGAGAATTAGGGTGGTGGGGTAGATCTAAGAGTATAGGCATGCTTCCAACACAGTACTGAGTGCTTTCTCTGCACCAGACTAGATCCCGGGATTACAGAAATGATTTGCACAGTATTCTACCCTCAGGGAGCTCTAGTTTTTCATCCTTCCCTCCTCGCAACCCCTAACACAAAGTATTGACTGTGTGCTGGCCATTGCTATAGTGCATTACACACTTTTTAGTCCATTTAATCTGCATTGTGGCCATATGAGGAGGTACTACTACCCTTGTCATTTTTTAGAGAATGTCACTGAGGTCAGATAACTTGCCTGAATTCATCTTGTATGAGTAGCTACCTATTTGCCCTTGAAGGTAAAACCAGGGGGGATGCGGATGTAGCTCATTTTTGATAGTCTGCGACTTATAAAGAGGATCACAGTAAAAACTAAATGGCTGAAATGGAAAGGGTGGAAAGGGCAGGATTAAAGTAGGGATGGAGGGCTTGCCCTACTGTTCACGCAATTGCTCCCCACCACCTGCTACAGCCCCTTAGCTACCTCTGTAGGACCTCAAGGCTGCCTGGAACTTTGTGGGGACCTTAGAGGATCCTCTCACTCTCCAGCTGGAGGCTGGGTGAGGAAGGTAAAAACATTGAGTGCTGTCATCAGGCACCAAGGAGAGCTCAGAGAACTCTCAGCTGGAGAGATGGGGGTGGACCTCCCCTTTCTCCCTAAAGCCCTTAATTGCTAATGACATTGAGTGGGATTTGTTAAAGCAGTTCTTTATGTTCAACCATTTTTTTGTTCGAAGTCATTACTCACTGTGGTTAGTTTGGATGTTTGAGACAGCCCAGCCTGGCATATTCCCTATCATGGCACTTTATAAATGTTCATGCTGATTAGAACTTTTATTTTTCATAATGACCCACTAATGTAATGATAATGCAAGTAATAGTCCATATCTAATAGCTTCTTGTCCAAGGGCTGAGGAAATTCACTTAATGTGTTTAGTGCCAAACTCCTAAAAGAAACCTATTTAGGCTGCTGCATTCACTTATGCATTTTTATGAATCTCTGGGTAATAAACGGGAATGGCTCCTCTGGAAAGTTGGGAGAAAAGGAAGAAGTGCAGGTCATTTATGGTAACATTTTTATTGTCGATATGCCATTAGAGCTGCTAAGAAAGCCTCAAGTTCTAGGTCAGCTTCAGGATGAGGAGTCCCTGAGCAGGAAGCTGAGACTATTGCAAAACTTGGGACTGTTTCAGATGCAATGGCACTGGGACTCCAGACTTCTTGGTGGCTTACAAACAGGCCATGAATGCAGCTGGTTGTTAGTAGGCAGTGGTTTACTATGGGGGAGAGGCCAGAGTGTTTTCCTTCAAGCCAGAGAGCGGAGGTCCTTGAGCCTGCTGGGCAATCCTAAAAGACCAAAACTTCCTCTTCAGGGAGCTGTACTGAGCAATATGGAGAAGCTCACCTGCCTTGCACACCACTGAACTCTTTTCATTCTGAGAACTTCACCCCCTTAGAAATGTCCATTCCTGGCTGTCCCTTCTCCCCATCCGTGCCCTCTTGTGTGTGTTTTCAAAACCTGCTCTCAGTAACTCCTTGAGAGTGAACAAGTATATCTCAAGTATCTACTCCTACAGGGGTGTCAGCATGGTAAGCAGAAACTTTAACTGTGCAATGATAAAGCTTGGGTGCAGGTAAATGGATGTCAGATAACAGGCTGGAACCGTTTGGTCCAAAGAAACTCTGTCACTGAAATCACCTTGTAGATAGAGATGGAAGCCTTCCTCTTCACCCATGAGTAGAGTTGCCAGATAAAATATAGAGCATCCAGTTAACTCGAATGTCAGATAAATAGCATTTTTTTTTTTAGATGGAGTCTCACTCTGTCACCAGGCTGGAGTGCAGTGGCACGATCTTGGCTCACTGCAACCTCTGCCACCTGGGTTCAAGCGATTCTCCTGCCTCAGCCTCCTGAGTAGCTGGGACTACAGGCATGCTGCACCACCATGCCCAGCTAATTTTTGTATTTTTACTAGAGACAGGGTTCCACCGTGTTGGCCAGGATGGTCTTGATCTCTTGACCTTGTGATCCACCCACCTTGACCTTCCAAAGTGCTGGGATTACAGGCATGAGCCACCGCGCCTGGCCAATAAATAGCATTTTTTAGTAGAACCATGTCCAGACTATTGTATAAACATACTTATGCTAAAAATAGTTTATCTGAAACTCAAATTTAACCGGGTGTCCTGTATTTTTATTTTCTAAATTAGACAACACCATTCACAAATCCTAGCTCTGGTATCATGTCTTGGGTTCGTGACAAGTAGGTATCTTTGTTAAACTACCTACTTGTATCATGGGGCAGGGAGAGGAGAGTGAGGATTGCTCATGATTTTTCGGACAGCTGGAAAAAATGAATGTGGCCTAGGATGAGGCATCACCCTTCAGTGAAGATAGAGGTGAATATACATGTTTGTGGCATATTCTACTCATGCCCCATATTCACCTGAGAATGCACTACTACTTCCTTTTGTCATCCTAGTTACTTTAAGTAAGCATAGGCACTTGTGGTCTATTGTGTGCCCAGGCATTGCTAGGTGAAGGGACACAGTGAGTCCCAATCTACCTGCTTGGAAGGAATGAGCGTTGCACAGTGATAGAAGCATATGCTGTGGAATCAGAAATGAGTTCAAATCCAGCTTTAGGGCTTTGGTCAGTGCAACTCTCACCAAGTCTCAGTTTCTCATTTTTAAAATGGAAATGACATCTACATCATTGGATTGTTGTGAGTTTTCAAAGTATATGGTAAACCCAGCAATGTGCCACCCAGCTCTCCCTTCACTAAAGTATTAGTTGTCCCAGATACTGGGAGAACTGTTGGCAGAAACAGTTTTTAATTGTCAACCCTCTCAGGCATTGCATCAGCTCAGAGAAGTACTTTACCCAAAATTAAACTTCCTGGGGTGGCCCTTATTCAGTGACTGATAAATGCAAGAATATAAAGGCCCATCCATCTTAGCCCAACTCAAGACAACCGGGAAAGGGCCATTCAAACTCTAGAGCATCCAGAGGTGTGTTGAGGCTGCCATTGGGCTGTATCACAGCTCCACTTCTTTCTCTGCCCTTGCTGCTTTTTTTTCTTCTCTTTCACTGATATTGATCCCAAGGGGACACCTAAATAAAGATCCTGCACACCAAATTCTGTCTTAGAGTCTGCTTCCCAGGGAACCCACCCTGCCATAACATGGTGCAATTCCCAGTACATAAGATAGGTGCTCAGCCCATATAAAATATTAATATTAATAATAAAAAGCAACAGGAAAGTCAAAATTGATCTAATTTTATATGGCACCTCCTGCACCTTGTTCTTAGAAGGGCTCCTTATGGTTTTATCACTGATGTTGGATTGTGATCTTCACAATGGAAGGCCTGTACCTGCCCTGTACCTTCTTGGTGGCTGACATGGGTCTGAAAACACAGCAGGTACTTGATAAATGGTTGGGCAGTGCTTAGCTACTTGGCCTCAGAAGAACAGATGGAACAATAAGATCCTTTTGGACAAGTAGTTTGCAAATATAAACAGCTTCAGGAAGGTTTGCTTTTGAGCTTCTGCACAAGAGATAAGTGAGTGGTTGTCACAGGAAAATTAGTGGTTCGGGGATACCTTTGACCTATGGAGGAAGGTCACTTAGGAAGAGTGTAATCCCTTAAGACCTCTGGGAATAGTGGGAGAGAAGCTCTGAGCTAAAGGAAGGGGTGAAGACAGAGCAGGGAATACCCATAACACCTCAGGTAGCTCAAGGTGTCAGAAAAGATTAGGCAATAAGTGGGAATTACAGACAAGCAGAGATTGCAAAATGAACAGCCTGTGAACCAGGCTAAGAAGTGGGATCTTTATACACGGGGTGACGGGAGTTGCTGGAAGGGTGTAATCAGGGAGGTGGCTTGATCTGGTCTGTGTTTTAAAGAGGCCGTGCTTCCTGCTGTCGGGAGGATGCCTTGGAGGGTACGACATGGGAAGACAATCAAAGGCACTCACCTATCTCTTGTGTATAAGCTTATAAGCAAATCCTCCTGAAGCTATTTATGTCTATAAATGACTTGTCCAAAAAGTGGTATATTGCTCTGTCTGATCTAAAGCCAAATAGCTAAGTGTCCCTAAGCATTTGTCAGACACCTACTGTGCTGCCAGCCCCACTTGTCCCAAGACAATCATGGGGACTTGGCCTAAGCAGTGGGGGTAGAAAGCTGATTCAGAGAAGATACATTCTTATAAGGAGCAATATACAGATGTGCTGAGAGATGAGCTGACTGATGGAAGAAGGGAGGAGTCTAGGTGGATATCCAGGCTTTTCACCATCTTTTGCTTCTCCGCCCACTCAGATTATAATTTAAGACCCAGCTCTGGCCCAGCCCCTGGCTCCTGAAAGCCTGTAAAGATGAATTCATCCTTGACCTCCCCTTCCTCTGAAGTTTCTACAAAATTACATCTGTTAGATTAGCTATTAATTAATGTATTATTACTAAAAATTAATGTATTTTATTAATTCATACACTAATAAATTACAAAGAGCCCTGAATCATGTTCTAATGTCCTTGGGAGCTTTTCCAGGCAGAGCCACCCCTTGTCTCTCTTGTCTCACACACTAGATCATCTCTTTATGATTCTTTCTCAGATGGACCAGTGACTTTTTCTCTCCTTTCTCGTTTCCCATGCTGTTCTCTCTTCCTGGAACATTCTTCAATCCCTCTCAGTTCACCTGTCATTTTTGAAGGGTGGTCCCTCTAATATTCCCAATTAGGTCACTTCCCCTTGACATATATTCTTAGGGGATCCTGTACTTCTTCACAATTATCCCAATTATAATTATGTAATTACTTAGTATAATTGGGCAATTATTAGTATAACTATTAATGCTGACCCTCCAATACCTGGCATAGTCCCACCAAACCCAATAGTTAGTAAATAAATATTTGTTGTATGAAATTGCTGCTGTGGACTACACTGTATACATGGGCAATTGGTGCTCACGTTCTATTAGTGCAGTCTCATTTGTGGGTAGGAGCTGTTTTGGAAGTGATTTCCAGTGGGAATAAAGCTACTGCTTTCCTTAACCCCTATCTCAGGATTAAGTATAAGGTTTATAATTTCTGCTTTACAGGTACTCCCCTTTCCTTCTGCTGTAGGAAATACCATTTTTCCTGCTCCATGCTTAGTGGAGTTAGAGATAATCTACATACCCAAGACACAAATGCTTCATAATCCAATAAATCCTTAACCTGCTGTGTGCAAGCCCTGAGGACAGGCCCTGGAGCCAAAGTCTTTTCTTACATGCACTAAATTTAACTCAAACATTCCTAATGGAATCCCGACTGGAGCCTCATTGGCTGTGGAGCTTGGGTGCCTTCCTGGTTTATGTGGTGTCACAGGTTGGTGTGCGAACATTTTGGAACTGAGTACCAGGGCACAGTGTGGGACTTGTTAAACTCCAGTGGAGAAAAGGGGTTGAGGTTTTGACTTCCACTGTTGAGAGAGGGGTCCTGGTACATGTCCCCTGCACAGCCTCTCTCAGCTCCCTTGTGAGTTCTATAGCTTGTGTAGCCAGGGGCTGCTTTATAAAGATGTAGGAGTGGAGGAACAAGTACACCCGTTGGCACTGGTAATATAAGGGGCTGCCAGGCAATTAAAAAAGCAAATTGTCCTACACGAAAACATGAGCATGCTCTCCTATTGAGTGTGTAACTCTTCAAGGCTGGAGCCACCTCCTTGCAGTGAGAATTTGGCGGGAGCTGTGGCTTGGGCATTCTGCCCAGCAGCAGTGCAGAGCAGGGCTTCCCCTCCAGTTCTGGGGCAGGCCCTGCTCACTCTTCTCCACCAGCTAGGGCAGCCAGTGATGCTGAAAGAGCTATGAAGCCTGGGTGCACCTGTGTGTATGTTGTAGACAGTGGGGGACGGGGTGGTGAAGTGTTGTTAAAAAGGAAATCAAGGCACAAGGGGCCGTTCTCAAATTGTTACCTCACCTCTGAATTCCTTCTTTGAAAGCTTCATCCCTTTTGAGGGTAAAGGGCCTTGGGACTTCTCAAATTCTCTTTGCACAATAATGAGAGCCTTGATGTGGGGAATGTCTGAGCTTGCTCCACCTCAGGCCTTGGGGTAATGGGAAGAGGAAACAGAGGGCTGTGAAGGCAGCCATGGGAGGTGAGAGAGAACACTGGTGGGAGTGGAGCTTCCAGAGGGAGCACAGCTGAGTCAGGAAGGGGATCTACAAGAAGAGAGCTCATGTCTGAAGCTTTTCTGATCTCACTGACAGCCATGATGGATGCTAGCTCATTCACTGACTCAGCATATATTTATTGATAGCTGCCATTTCCGGGCACTGTCTAAGCTCCAGAGAAATAGTGGTGCACAAAAGGGACAAGGTGTTTGCTCTCAGGACTTGGATTCCCAAGGGGCAAGGATAGATGACAAAATAGTCAAGACTTACAAAGCTTAATTTTAGGTGTGATCATTGTGATGAAAATAATAAAATTTTGAGAGGATCAGTTGTGGGGCAGATGGAGGATCCTTCAGATGGGGTCTTCAAGAAGGGGTTATCAGAGGTCTGAGTGGAGAGTGAATGATAATAAGGAGCCAGTCATGTGATGGGGAAAAGTATTTCTGGCCTTCTGGTTGGGGGAACATCTAGTGCAGATACTCCAAGGAAGGCCTGAGCTTGGTGAATTTGTGGAATAAAAAAGAAGCCAGTGTGACTGGGGGTGAGGGAAGGTGGTAGGAGATGAGTTAGGAGTGGGTATAATAAACCATGAGAAGTACTTTGGACTTTATTCTAAGTGTGGTGGGCAGCTGGATTAGTCCATTTTCACACTGCTATAAAGGACTACCTGAGACCTGGTAATTTACGAAGAAAAGAGGATTAATTGACACAGTTGGCTGGGGAGGCCTCCGGAAACTTACCATCATGGCAGAAGGTGAAGAGGAAGCGAAACACGTCTTAAATGGTAGCAGGAGAGAGAGAGAGGGGAAGTATCACCCTTTTTTTTTTTTTTTTTTTTTGAGACGGAGTCTTGCTCTGTCGCCCAGGCTGGAGTGCAGTGGCCCGATCTCGGCTCACTACAAGCTCTGCCTCCCGGGTTCACGCCATTCTCCTGCCTCAGCCTCCCAAATAGCTGGGACTACAGGCACCCGCCACCACGCCCAGCTAATTTTTTGTATTTTTAGTAGAGATGGGATTTCACCGTGTTAGCCAGGATGGTCTCAATCTCCTGACCTCGTGATCCGCCCGCCTCAGCCTGGGAAGTACCACACTTTTAAACCATCATATCTCATGAGAACTCACTCAGTATGATGAGAACAGCATGGGGGAAACTCCCCCATGATCCAGTTACCTCCCATCAGGCCCCTCCCTTGACATGTGGGGATTACAATTCAAGATGAGATTTGGGTGGGGACACAGAGCCAAACCATATCCACAGCCTTGAGAGGGTCTAAACGGAAATTGCCAGGACCTGCTTCCTTTCTGAAGCTATTACTCTGGCAGCTCCGTGGAAAGGGATTGCCGATGATTAGAGTGAATGGATAGAGGTAAACTAAGGGGTTCTTGCAGAGGCTAAGGTAGTATCATCTGGGAATGGAATGTTGGCAGGTAGAGAAAGAGAAGTTCTATGTTTTACTGTGTTGGTGTAGGAATGGCAAAACTTGCTGATAAATTATGTATGGTGATGTAAGAACTGCTTGTTAGGAAAAAGCAGAAATCAAGGTACATCCTAGGGTATTGGCTTGAGCAGCAATAGTGTGCCATTTTCTGAGATAGTGCCCATGAGCTGAGGAGCAGGTCTGGGGAGGAAAGTTGGCTCTTGTTCCAAAGTGGCAGTCAGAGGCGAGGAGTTTCCTAAATATTTGAAGGGGAACAATAAGTTATATCTGGTCAGGGGCTCATATTTAAGAAAAGAGCAGGTTACTCAGATTCTAAGGCAGAACATCTTGTCTTGGCTGTCTCCCAAAGCAAGTGACTGGGTCTAGGTTATTCTGAGTATGCCCATGATCCTGTTTGCTTGGTGCATTGGGAAATCCTAGATAATACCCAAGTTGTCATGATGCAAACAAGTCTTCAATCTGGTTCATCACACACTTGCTTGCTGAGTGACCACTCTTAGCCAGCTTCCCTCGTCAAAGACTTCTAATGTCATGGAACAACCAGTAAGTCAAGGGCTTCCAAAATTCCAAGACAGTCATGACAATTCAGTGCATTGAGATTGCCATCTGCTTTGAAAACCATTTCCAAGCTAATTAGGCCCAAGATACAAGAGTAAGAAGCTGACATTAATATCCTTAGCCATGCTTTCTCTCATTTTTTTTTTCCCATTCAGACAGATTTATTTCCAGCCCTCCTAGGGGCAATTTTATTGATCTTACTTTTGTCCTCCTTCTTCAGCGTTGTTACTTATTTTTGGTGTATAACGTTCTTTGCATTTCTTTCCTCCCTCATCCCACTGTCCACTACTCTCCTAGGACAGGGATAGCAAATAAGTTTTATCTTAGGTGCTATCTCTTATTAAAAAGAGGCTGCCACAAACGTTGTGTTGAGAAAGAGTCTGAGGTCATGTTCAGGGTCAGTGGGATTGATTACCCATGCCTGCCATGGGTCTGAAAGGAGGACAGGCTCTGTTCACTTGTTCTACGATGTTTCAATTACAATTTACTCTAAATCAACCACTGCTAGATATTTCCAGGAATATGCTTCTTTTCCATTTTATTGCTCATGCTGAAATAGGGCCTTCTGTATCATAGATTCTCAATAAATATTTATTGAATTGATGAATGGTATTTGCCAATTTTTTTAAAGTTAACTTTAAGGGAACTGAGGACCTGACCAGGCATTCTATATGGCAGCTCTGAGAAAGTTTCTCACAGACTGCAACTTCAGGGAGTGTAATGAGGCCCCAGCTGCTGGGCAGTGAAAGATCTTGGCACTAATGCCATGCCATCCATGGGTTGTCTGAGCCAGTGACTGAGTGTGGGGATACTGAGGCATACTAAAGCAGACCTTCTCCTCGAAGAGGTGAGACTCCTCTGACAGTTGACTTTGACTTGAGGACACTGTAGGTGTTGGTTTCATCACCTCCTACTCAGACTGCATGGAAGTCTAGGACACTTTTCTCACAATTTATTTCTTCCTCTCCCCTCCACTGGGGTTATGTCTGCATCAAGGTCTGACCTCTTCAGACGTTTCTGGCTCCCTCCTTACTTTCCCTCACAAAATAATTTTTCTTAATAAAATCCTTGCATGTTTAATCCTGTCTTGGTGTTTGCCTCTCGGAGGACCTGGACAAACACAACCCGCTGACATCAGAGAGAAGTAAAGGCTCTTTTGAATCTGATTAATCCTGTCAGATATGAGCCAGGACACAGGGGAGGTCTTGCCCCTGCCCTTTGTAGAGGATACAGTGTGAAGTAGATTGACTTCCTAGAAGTGCTCAATGAGGGGAAGCATCGCTGCTCAGAACTATTCAATCTTTATTTTTTTAAAGAAAAAGATTGCTAGCATTTTGTTGAGGATTTTTGTGTCTGTTTAGTGGAGATATTGGCCTAAAGGTTTTTTTTTTCCCCATTGTGTCTCTTCCAGATTTTCCTATTAGTCTCCAAAGAATTGGTTAGGGAGGAGCTCCTCCTCCTCAATGTTTTGGAAGAGTTTCAGTAGGATTGTTACCAGTTCTTCTTCATATGTCTGGTAGAATTCAGCTGTGAATCCATCTGGTCTGCGGATTTATTTGGTTGGTAGGTTTTTTAAATTACTGATCCAATTTTGGAACTTGTTATTGATCTGTTCAGGTTTCCACATTCCTCCTGGTTCAATCTTGGGAGGCTGTGTGTTTCTAGGAATTTATCCATTTCCTCTAGATTTTCTAATTTGTGTGCATAGAGTTGTTCGTAATAGTCTCTGAGGATCTTTGTATTTCTGTGGGATCACTTGTAATGTCATCTGTCATTTCTGATTGTACTTATTTGGATATTCTTTTATTCCTTTGTTAATCTGGTTAACAATCTATCAGTCTTGTTTAATCTTTAGAAAATCAAGTCTTGGTTTCATTGATTGTTTGTATGGATTTCTGCATCTCAGTTTCATTCAGTTCTGCTCTAATTTAGTTATTTATTTTCTTCTACTTGCTTTGGGGTTAATCCAGTAGAACATAAAAGCTAATACACCATGATCAAGTAAGCTTTATTCCTGGGATGCAAGGCTGGTTCAATATACACAAATCAGTAAATGTGATTCAGCACATAAACAGAATTAAAAGCAAAAACCATATTATCATTTCAATAGATGCAGAAAAAGCTTTCAATAAAATCCAGTGTCCCTTCATAACACTTGATCTTAGCCAAAAGGCCGAGAAGCAATGTCCCTTCATAACAAAACCCCTCAACAGACTAGGAATCAAAGGAACACCTCAAAACAATAAGGGCCGTCTATGACAAACCCACAACCAACATTACACTAAATGGGCAAAAGCTGGGAGCATTCCCCTTGAGAATTGGAACAAGCTAAGGATGCCCACACTTACCACTCGTATTCAACATAGTACTGGAAGTCCTAGCCAGAGCAATCAGGCAAGAGAAAGAAATAAAAGGCACCCTAATAGGAAAAGAAGTCAAAGTATCTCTCTTCACTGATGATATGATTATATACCAGGAAAAACCTAAAAACTCTGTCAAAAGTCTCCTAGAACTGATAAATGACTTTTTTCCATGATACAAAATCTCTGTACAAAAGCCAGTAGAATTTCCATATACCAATAACATTCAAGCTGAAAGTCAAATGAAGAACACCATCTCATTTACACTAGCTATGAAAAAATTGAAATACCTAAGAATACAGCTCATCAAGGAGATGAAAGATCTCTAGAAGGAGAACTAAAAAACACTGCTGAAAGAAATCATAGATGACACAAATGCAAAAACATTCCATGCTCATGGATTGGGAGAATAAATATTGTTAAAATGGCCATATTGCTGAAAACAGTTTACAACACTATATCAAACTACCAATGTCATTTTTCACAGAATCGGAAAAAAAGACTCTAAAATTTATATGGAACCAAAAAAGAGCCTGAATAACCAAAGCAATCCTAAGGGAAAAGAATAAAAAGTGTCACACTCCCTGATTTCAAACTATGCTATAAGGCTGCAGTAACCAAAACAGCATGGTACTGGCACAAAAACAGACACATGGACGAATGGAACAGAATCAAGAACCTGGATATAAAGCCGCACAGGTACAGCCATCTGATCTTCAGCAAAATAGTCAAAGATAAGCAATGGGGGAAAGAACACCCTATTCAATAAATGATGCTGGGATAATTGGCTAGTAATATACAGAAGAATGAAACTGGACCCCTACCTTTTACCATGTGCAAAAATTAACTCAAATTGGATTAAAGATTTAAATGTGAAGCCTCAAACTATGAAAATCCTAGAAGAAAACCTACGAAATATTCTTCTCGACATTAGCCTTGGTGAAGAATTTTTGGCTAAGTTCCCAAAAGCAATTGCAATAAAAATAAAAATTGACAGATGGGACCTAATTAAGGAGCTTCTGCACAGCAAAAGAAACTATCAACAGAATAAGCAGATATCCTACAGAATGTAAGAAAATATTTGCAAACTATGCATCCAACAAAGGCCTAATATCCAGAATCTATAAGGAACTTAATAATTTAACAAGCAGAAAACATCCCCATTAAAAAATAGACCAAGGACATGAACAGACACTTCTCAAAAGAAGATATACAAGCAACCAACAATCATATGAAGAAATGCTCATCATTACTAATCATCAGAGAAATGCAAATCAAAATCCCAATGAAATATCATCTCACAGCCATTACAATGGCTATTATAAAAACAAAAAACAGAGGCTGGTAAGGCTGTGGTGAAAGGGCATGCTTTTACATTGTTGGTGGTAATGTAAATTAAATCAGCCACTGTGAAAAGCAGTTTAGAGATTTCTCAAAGAATTTAAAACAGAGGTACCATTCGACCCAGCAATCACACTCCTGGGTATATATCCAAATGAAAACAAGTCATTCTACCAAAAAGACACACACTTGTATGTTCACTACAGCACAATTAACAATAGCAAAGACATGGAATCAACCCAGTTGCCTATCAACAGTAGATTGGATAAAGAAATGTGGTACATATATACCATGGAATACTATGCAACCATAAAAAGGAACAATATTATATCCTTTGCAGCAACATGAATGCAGCTGGAGGCCATTATCCTAAACAAATTAGTGCAGGAATAGAAAATGAAATACTGTATGATCTCACAAGTGGGAGCTAAACATTGGGTACTCATGGACATAAAGACAGAAACAATAGATACTATGGACTACTAGAAGGGGAAAGTAGCATGGGGAGAGGGTGTATGTTAAAAAAACTTCCTAGAGTACTGTGTTCACTAACTCGGTGGCAGGATCTATATCCTAAGCCTCAGGATCATCAATATACCCATGTAGCAAACCTGCACATATACCCCGTGTATCTAAAATAAAAGTTGAAATTCTAAAAATATAAAATAAACAGATTTAAGAAAATGATATTTAGAGTTAATGTATATTTAGAGTTTCTGTAAATAATCTTTATTTTCACTGACATACAGAACATTCAATAAAACACTACCAAAGACATGACATCTATCTTAAATTTAATATGGTGAGCCCTGCACAATTAATTGCATTTATCATGCTTATAGGAATTTTTTAGACTCTCCCAACCCTAAATGAGTTCTTTGCTAGTAAATTTATGTGCTTTTTGCATATAATATGTATGTCTTTTTCACCACCCAAATGTTTCATGTAAATATGATTTTATGACTCAGGAATGACTTTTCCTCCTGAGACATTCTCAATTTCATGGAATTCTATAGCATTTTTCTCATTCCATGCTGGACTGTTCTAGGCCAGTGTTTACTGTCTGCCGATTTCTTTTATCTACAGTGTCTATTCATCCTATTTTTTTTTTCCTTTTCCTTGTTTCTTTCTTGTCTTATTATCCCCAGAAGTATTGGTGTATAAGAAAACCAAAATTCTCTTGGTCAACCAAAAGTTGTTCAGAAATAAGTAGGTCCCAATCTCTACCACATGGTGGGGAAAGATGCTGGGTCTTTTATGTCTATATCCCTAACCTACCACAATAGCTTTCAAAATACACCCAGGAACGCTTGGTGGGGAGTCCCTGAGTCCCTTTCAAGGGTCCATCCACAAGATCAAAATGATTTTCATAAAAGTACTAAGATACTATTTGCTTTCTTTGGTTCAGATAATCATTGAGGAGGAATCACTGTGTGTCAGTCTTTGCTCAGATAATAACAAGCAGTCAAAGCTTATTCATTCATCTTTTAACACACACTTAACACACACGGAGCACCTACCATGTGCCAGGCCTCAGGATTACTACTAGTAAGAGCAAAGGTCTCAGTTAGCAATTTTGGGATGTATGCCTTAGGGATTGAGAGACTCCTCCAGCTGGCAAGTACTTGTTCTATTTACCACTAGGAGACATTGACACCTTCAACAGTGGAATTACCCTTTAAAATCTCCAAGATCATGATTACTCTTTTGAGACACAATAGTTGCCTCCTAAACACTCTGAAAATTCAGAGTCCAAATGTATTTCAGAAGTTCCTCACAATGCTTTTAACCTTTGATGCCTTTTACAGAGATGATTTATGAAGTTTGCTTATTTTTATGGCAGTTTCTCCAACCAGGTTGCAAAAGATATAAAGACTGTGATTTCAGACAATTATTCTCCTGACAGCATGCACTCAAGTTCATACAAGAAAAGATGCTCCCCTTCCTTTTTCCAAAAGAATCAGAGGCTCTATTACCTACACAGTATCACAAAAATTGATGTGCTAGTGATCCAGTCAACAAGTTACTTTTCCTTCACAACCAGAACCGGAAAAAGAACCAATCTTGTCACTGCATTGATCAACCCTCCCTAACTGAGTTAAATCTAAGAAATAATTATGTAAGTCTTGCCTGGATAACTTTGGTTATCCTTTCTTTCTCTCCCCTCCTACTGTCCCTTTCTTCTCTCCCCACTCTCTTCCTCCCCTTACACTCACACTCTTTCCTACCTGAGCAGCATGTGCTGTGTTTCAAGTCCTTTGACAAGCCACATACTAAACTTTTGGTTTCTTAACAAGTTAGCATTCTTAAATGTTAACAAACCCAAAGAGCTTTCGTTTTGTAGGTTATACCTGTTACTATATATTGCATTAGCAATTTAAACTGACAAAATTTAAAAATCTATATTTATTAATTTACTTATAATTAACAATAAACTCATCAAATATTGACCAAAATAACAAACTTTTTACTTAAAACAACTGTTGACAAGAATTTTAAAAAACAGTGGGAAGAGTCTCATTGTTTTACATTTTTGCAATTATCTTTAATGTCTGGCTTAATAGAAGACAGCTGGATTTTTATATCTGCTTATAACCTCTGGAAAACTGCTCTAGAGAGAATAAAAGCAAAGAAAGCAAATACTATCTTAGCACTTCTGTAAAC
The DNA here is from genome assembly GCF_000001405.40 of Homo sapiens. NCBI lineage: Eukaryota > Metazoa > Chordata > Mammalia > Primates > Hominidae > Homo > Homo sapiens. The sequence continues at coordinate 140,162,186 of NC_000003.12, forward strand.
ATAATTTTGACCTTGTGAACCCCTGAAAGGGTCTCAGAGACCCTCCCAAGGGTTCCTGGCCATATTTTGAGAACTTTTGTGCTGGGTTAGGGATATAGACATAAAACACACAGCATCTTTCTCCACCATCTGGTATAGAAAAGGTACAAAATGATATTTACATCCAGTATAGTACTTGCTATGCTAGAGATAAGCAGGGGACTTTGGGAGGACAAGGAGAGGGACTTAATTTAGTCTTGGTTATGTATCTAGGGGTGGAAGAGTAGAGGAGTGTCAGAGCCCCTGTCAGTGGTGCCTGAGCTGAGCTGAACTGAGCAGGCAGGAATGCAGACATGTGGATGCAAATAAAAGCAAATTCTCTGATAGACTGACAATCAGATCTGATTGTGGGGATGACCTAGGGTATTCGCTTGCAACTTTGTTATAATTATGTATTTGGCTGGGTGGCGGGGGCCTTTTTGCTTGTCTTCTACCTCTTATACTCTGTATCTTTTCAGGAAGGAGTCAGAGCTGGGGAAATGCACATAACAGTTCACATAAATAACAAGCAAAATTGGCCTGCCAGTGCTTTCTTTCTGAAGCATGGAGAAGCAGGCAAGCATTTTGCAGTGAATATACTGTAAACCAGATAATTGTCATCCATCGTTCTGGACATCTTAGAATCTAAGGCGTGAAATGGAATTCGCAGTAAAAATGTATCATGCATTTGCTACCTTCTAGAACAAAGTTGGTAGCATAAGCCACAAGGGTTTTATTTATTAGTTTGCCAGTAGAGAAACAAAAGTATAGCATTTCTTTCTAAGCTTTAGAGAAATTTGTACTATCCTATCAAATCTTCTCACTCAGTTTGAATACAGCAGTCTTAAAAACTTCTTCAGTGCATGTGATGATTAGTTTGTGATATGTCAAATTGTCTGGGCTGTAGTACCCAGTTATTTAATCAAACACTAGTCTAGATATTGCTGCGAAGATATTTTGTAGATGTGCTGAAGATCTACAATCAGTTGACTTTAAGTAAAGGACATTACTCTCACTAACATGGATGAGCCTCATCCAATCAGTTGAAGAGCTTTGACAGCAAAAACTGTCATTTCCCGGAAAAGAAAAAAGTTGCCTCAAGATTGCAGCATCAACTTCTGTCTGGGTTTTCAGCCTGCAGGCCTGACCTACAGTTCTCAAATTTGCTAACCCCCCACAAAATGCATGAATCAATTCTTTAAAATTTTCTATCTCTACACACACACACACACACACACACACACACAGATGTAGAGCTAGATAGATATAGATTTAGAGAGATTGTTATGTACTATTGGTTCTGTTTCTCTGGTGAACCCTGACTGTTCATTCCCCAGTCCACTTTAGTCTTGGCTATATTGTCTCTTTGTACCCTACCAAGCACTTGGTCCACAGTTTGACCCACAGGAGATGGAACTGAATGTGTGCCATTGCATTGACTTCTTGTGGGGAGAAGGATGACCATCCAGGGAGGAAATTTCAATTCTTCCATCTAGGAGCCGTGGCCTTGCTTGTATGAGTTCCTTAAGCTCTCTGAACCTGTTCCCTCATCCATGAAGTGGAGCCAATTCTGCCGTCCTGCAGGGGTGCTTGTGAGAATTTAATGAGAACACGACCGTAAAGGCTGGCACATAGTAGGCCCTCAGGAGTGGTGGCTTCTGGTTAGCTATGTTAATGATTCTGGTTTGTCAATGGCAATTACAGAAAGTTTTAGACAATTACATTTATTAGCATGAATTCCAAAGTAAGTTAAGGACTATCTTAGGGGTTAAAGATGTTTAAAATGCAATGAAGTGTGAGATATTGAAGTAATAACAATCTTGGAGAATTAGAGATATAACAATTTAATGCACACTTCAGTCCAATAATGTTCAGTAGGTAAAATATTTTGTGTAAAAAATGAGCTGACTCTAGCAAGTGAATGTGAGCATTAAACAATCACAGTCCCTTTTTCCTTGCCCCTTTTTATTCGAAATGATCTTTTTCTGCATGGCTCCTGATCTTCTTCTGCATGGCTCCTGATCTTCTTCATAGACTTAGTCTAATTTTTCCAGCCCTTGGGAGTTAAGCTTAGGGTTCTGTTAGGTCTTCATCCTACCAATGGATTAGTTGGGTTGTGGGCATGCTGGGTCCTGTGTGGGTCCTGATTCCAGCCTGTAGATACTGAGGTGCAGAACTGAAAACCTTTGCTGGCAACCTATAAAGTGCTAGTCACCAATGAGCCAGCTCTAACTCAAGAGTCTCATTTTATCTTCCTCTCAAAAACCTTGCAGAATTGGTATTACCTCCATTTTGTAAAAGAGAGTGGAGGCCTGGGACGTTTGAAAGACTTAACTAAAATATCCTGTTGGTATGTAAAGGCAGCACTTTGACATTAATTGCAATACCCCTTACACTCAACCTCAGGGTCTGTCTTAGGGTGAACTTTGGCCAGTTGGCTTGATCCAGATGACTTGTGTAGAGACAACTTAAAATTTAAGTTTCATAAATCTCACATGGTACCCCAGTGCACAATTTTTCCTAGCCTTGCTCTTGGTTCAGATGTCACTACCCAAAAGGATATTGCCATATAGTTCATTCCCAGGCTGGAGAAATTAGGTAAGTTCTTTGGGATTGTCCACACTCTAAACAATTGAGTATTTATGGGTAGAAAATGATAGTTGGAAGGAAAGAAGAAAATAGGTATGGTGAGTGGACAGATGGCTAGGTAGATGGGTGGATAGGTAGATGGGTGGGTGGATGGATGGATTGATGGATGGAAAGAAAATAGGAAAGAAGTGAGGAAGGAAGGAAAGCAATGTTCTGCCCCCACTGAAAGCACCTATCAAGCAGTTAAGGATTAATGACTCAGCCATCTGTCCTTCAAATACTTTTTCAATCCAATTAAAATAGTGAAATGTAATCTCATCTTCTGTGGATATTTTTCATGTATGAGTCACACACATGGGATTTGTATTTAAAACTCTCTAATTGGTACCTCTAGCAAGTAATATAGGTTGTCTCTGATTAAGTGATGGCAAATGTCACCCTAAGATTTGGGAGGCATGCCCTTTCTATTTGCGTGATACAGGAATACCTACTCATTGGAATCAAAGTGCTGCTCTTTGCTTCAGGTATTGGAGATGCTGGCAAGGAAAACGTGTGCTCACTTTGTTTACCAGTGACTCACTATATGCTGGGCACTGTGTTAGGAACTGTAGACATCGTCATGATTAGAATGGTGCCTCCCGGTCAAGGGGCCTCAGGGTTCTTCAGGAAATGGGAACAAGGAAAGATCCAATGGCGACACAGTAGACCTGTGGCATGAGAGCAGACAGTACAGGGTGACGGGAGAACAGGAGGGCAACCGGGGGAGGGGAGTGAGCTGAACCTGGAAGAATGAATAGGAGTGTAGGCACAGGGGTAGACAGCACAATTATGGCAAAGGCCTGGATAACCTAGAGAGCTTGGGGCCTAGGGTAGCCTCATCTGATCTCCTAATGGAGGGCAGGACAGCTTCCTAGCCTGGTATCCTAGTGGGGGAAGGGCAGAATCAGATTTGCCCTCCTATCCTGGCCTGACTGAAGCAAAGAATAAAAATACTTTTCAAAATGCTATTATAATAATTATAGTTAGAAATCATTTTATTACAAGAACAGATACTCAAACTAGCACAATTTTTCTTTTAAAAGTTGGAGGAGAATAACTATTGAAAGGCTTCACTTGGCAGCCTCACACACCCCACAGAAGGCTGATGAGTCTGTGAAAAGTGAGCAGGGGATGGGCTGGAAAACAGGAGTGGAGAGGTGCCTCTGTGTTGCCTACAGCCATCTGGGGTCCATTTCTTCTCTCTGCCTATCTACTCTCAAACCTTGTGTCTCCTGGCAGATGGCTGTCTCTCATTTAAATGGATTTTCAGCTCCCCCTAAACTTTGAGTGCTGATTGCATGAATGCTAGCCCCAACTCCCTATTAACTTTTGTCTCAAGATTTCAAGTGCCCATTGCCAAATGAGCTCTAGTTTCTGGCCTGTGAAATGAAAGTTTCAAGGTCTAATACATTGGCCTACTCCACCCATCAGTTACCCCAAGGGTCCAGTATCTATCTTGGCCTAAGCAGTTCTACTAGGAGATCAGATCAGAAGAGGAAGTTGAGCATGGCAGGCAAAAGACCAGCCTGACAATTGGAATAATATATTTACCAGAGTATAGTTAACCTTGTTAGAGCATTTTGCAATCAGTAAAGCATGTTTTTTACTCATAGTTTACTTTCACTCAGGGAGCAGTATTGGAGTTTTAAAGATCCAGGGTTGTCCAGAAAGGTCAGAAAGTAGCCAGAAACGTCATCTTTAGGTAAAAGCATAAAGATTCAAAAGGTAAATCATGAGCCGCTTGGCCCTGCTGCTTGGATGGAGCATTAATACACTTTTTTTGCAGTGTAAGCAAAGAGAAGAGAGCTGAGGAGCTCTCCTGAGGAATGCATCTGTGCTCTAGTTAAAGGCACATTGGGTGGCAAGACCTAATTTCTGTGTAAATGGAGCAGAAATATCACACTGGTGTTTCCTCTGCATGAGTGCAAAGACACGGGCATTTTCCAAATGCTGAAACATCATGGAAAAGAGATAAGAAAGAGGCAAGAATTAGTCCTAAAGGGGCATGATATGACACAGCTCAGCCTCCAGATGGGATGTGCAGAAAACAGGGATATTATCTTGTCAAGAACTGATAAAAACTTAGTTCTTCTGAAGTTAAATTCAAATGAAGCGAAGCATGAGCTGACTAACCTCGCTCTGTTGGAACAAAAAGACAAAGCATTTTGTTCAGGGAGGGAACATCAGGCTATGGAACAGATTAAATAAGGAATAACAGCCAAGCCACAGGCATCAACAGCCACTACTTCTTTCTGGAAAGGAGATGGTTCTCCAGCATCCCATGAAGCCAAGGTTTGGAAGTAGCTCCTGGATAATTTCTGTACATGCCAAAAAGCACTGGGTAATGTGAATGCCGTCTCAGTCCAGCACTGTGGCTGGCCTTGCTCCTTCAAACTCTGTTCTACAGATAAACCAAACTATTTACATTTCCCCCAAGATATATTAAATGCTTTTATCATTGGGCCTTTGCCCATCCACGTTCTTCTGCCTGGAGCCCTCCACATCCTTTATGCCTGCTTAATTCCTGCTGCTCATGACTTAGAGTTTACTTTCTCCAGGAAGTAATCCTGGGTTAGCTTGACTGAGTTAGCACTTCTCTTTTTCCATAGCACTCTGCTCTTCCTCTTCTCACCTACCTCTTACCATACTGTTTACCTCTCTAGTCTGGGAGTCCTTTGAGTACTAAAACTTTGTTCTTGCCCCACATGTATTGCGGCATAATTTACACAGACAGAATAAGAGTCATCTTTTTAAGTGTGAAGTTGGATATGTTTTGACAAACGCACACGTGCAGAAGTGTAACCACCACTACAATCAAGATACAGAATGGTTTCATCGTCTCAGAACATTCCCTTGTTCCCCTTCACAATCAAATCCCACCCCACCCCAAACCCTAGCCACTACTGATCTGTTATCTGTCCCTATAGTTTTGTGTTTTCTAAAATGTCATATGAATGGCATCAAATAGCATGCAGTCTTTTTTGTCTGACTTATTTCACTTCATTTCACCAGTGAAATGCTTTGGTGATTCATCTGTTTTGTTATATGGATCAGTAGTTGTTCTTTTATTGCTGAGTGGGTGTCCATTATCTGGATATTCTGCAATTTGTTTATCCATTCACTAGTTGACGGCCATTTTAGTTACCAGTTTGGCACTAAGTATTCTGAATAAAGATTCTGTGATCATTTCTATACAAGTCTTTCGTGTAATTTATGTTTTCATTCCTCTTGGGTAAATCCTAGGAATAGAATTGCTGAGTCATTTTATAAGAAACTATTTTGCAAAGTGACTGTATTAGTCTTACATTCTTACCAACAATGTCTAAAAGTTCCAATTACTTTACATGTTTATCAGAACTTGATATTGTCAGTTTTATTTTAGCCATTCAACTGGTGTTGTGGTGATATCCCATTGTGGCTTCAATTTACATGCCCCTAATGACTATTGATGTTGAACAAATTTTTATGCTCTAATTTGCTGTTTATATATTTATTTTAGTGACAGGTATATTCAATTTTTGCTTTTTGAAAATCAAATTGTCTTATTTAATTGAAAGAATTATTTATATATTTTGGATACAAGACCTTTATGAAATGTTTTGCAAATATTTCCTCCTAGTCTGTGGCTTACAATTTTTTTAGAGTTTTTCAAGAAAATAAGAGTCTATCATTTTTATAAAGTTTGATGTTATCAATTTTATCTTTTATGGGGCATGCTTTTTTTTGGAGCCTTCTAATCTAACCCAAGGACACTAAGATTTTCTGATATGCTTTATTTTAAAGGTTTTATAATTTTGACTTCTACATTCAGGACTATGACTCCTGTAGAGATAATTTTTGTTTGTATAGCACAATACAACTGGAGTTTATTTTTTTGGCATATAGATATTCATTTTTTCTCTAGCAGCATTTAATAAACTATTCTCCTCCCCATTTAATTGTCTTAGAACCTTTGTCAGAAATGAACTGACCATATGTATGTGTCTATTTCTGGACTGTTTCTTCTTTCCATTGATGTATACATCTATCTTTATATTAATACCACACTATCTTGATTAGGGTAGGTTTGCAGTAAGTTTCAAAATTAGGTAGTATAAGTCCTTCAACTTTGTTCTTTTTTCCTAAAATTATTTTTAGCTATGTCAGGTCTTTTTCATTTATATGTACATCTTAGAGTTTGCTTATTCTTTCAGAAATCCTGCTGGTAATTTTGGTTGGAGTTACATTAAATCTATATATCAATTTTGGGGAAAATTAACGTCTTAAGTATATTGAGTCTGCCAAATAATGAACACTGTGTATTTCTCCATTAAAACCTCTTCAGATCTTTAAATTCTTTCAGCAGTGTCAGGGTTTTCAGTGTACCAACTTTTGCATATATTTTCTGAAAATTATTGCTAAGTTTCATGTTTTTGATGCTATTGTAACAGTATTTTTTTAATTGAAATTTCCAATTGTTGATTTCTTCATAGAAATACCATTGCTTTTTTAATATTGACTTTCTATCTTCTGACCTTCCTAAACTCTTATTAGTTCTAAGCATGTTTTATTCCATAGAATTTTTGCATTGATTATCATGTTCCCTGTGAATAATGACAATTTTACTTTTTCATTTCCAATTTAATATTTTTTCTTGCCTTATTGCACTGGTTAGAACCTACAGTACAATGTGAATAGAAGTGCTGAGAGTGGGCCATCCTTGTATTCTTCCTGTTCTTGGAAGGAAAGCATTTATTCTTTCACCATTAAGTATGATATTAGCTATAGGTTTTTGTAAAAGTTCTTTATCCAGTTAAGAAAGTTGTTTTCTATTTTTCATTTGCTAATAGTTTTAATTATAATTTTGTCAGATGCTTTTTAAAAGACTTTTTTTCTCATTTTATCTCAATATGTATGTTTTCTGTACATTTTGGATACTCCATTAATATATATTGAAGGGATGAAGCTGGGTAGAACATTTCTGAGAGTGCAAGGGTACACCTTAGCTACCCAGGATCATGAGATGGGGTAGGGGGAGTTATGAGTATTTGAATGCCTGCTGTGTTCCTGGGTACTATGTTTGCATACATCATTTCATGCAATTTTCACGACATTCCTGAGAAATAAGTATCTTCATTTTACAAATGAAGAATGAGTAATGATGGGATGATTTACAAGCTATAACATAATTGAGCTCAGAAGAAATTTTATGTTTCATTACTCAATAGGAATAAAAAGGCAATAATCATTAAATTCAGGAAACAAAAATATACAAGGGAGGCTGCTTCCAAATGTGATGCAAGCTGTGATCATAGGAACATGATTCAGCCATTTGATGGAGTAAAAAATAAAGAATCCAGTTGATCTGGATGCAAATAATGTGGTCCTCAAAATGATCATTTGACCACTAAAAAGAATAAGTAATTATTGTACAATACTTGGCTCATCCATGAATGATATCTTCGTAGTCGAATTAACATAAATTAAGTTATTGGTTTGCAACCCTGATGATTTGATCTATAGACAAAGGATAGAAGGCAATTTTGTTTATGAATCAATCTTGACAAAGCAAAAATCCTGATGTGAGGGAAATTAGAATGTGGGAAAGAAGGGAGAAAATTTGGGGGATGTTAGCATTCTTACTTTCCAAAATGAGAACATTTAAATCCCTCTAAGCCTCAGTTACTCACCTGCAAAATGAGAAATAAATTATTTCCCAAAGGGGTTGTTGTGAGGATTAGTAAATGTATGGATGTCAAATACCTAATATGTGATAGGTACCCTAACTGAAGTAGTGACAGAGAGGAGTAAAGGAAGGCAGACCTGTACATAGAAGGAAGTCAGCTCATTTCCTAATGAGGGAAAAACCTCAACTTTTAAGTTGGTCTATAAATCACCTCTCCTGCAGACATTGTCACTGCCCAGCAAGCAGGGTGGTAAGTCTGAGTAATGAAAAAGCAGCAGCTGTGTGTCTAGCACAGGACATATGAATGACAGAACAACACTGTAAGTGGCATCACCATCAGCATTTTACAGTCGTGGGAACTGAAACTCTGAGAGGCCAGAGGATTCACATAGGACCAGGCAAAAGTGGCTAAGTCAGGGCTAAAACCAGGAACTGCAACTTTAGATTTCATTGCCTGCCACTGAGCCTATCTAATTTAGACCATTTAGATAGGCACAATGAATCTGAAGCACTGGGTGAGCTCCTGGTGTATGCTTTGTACACAGTTCTAATGGACAGGCCCCTAGGTTTAATTAAGGGGAAAAAAAGATTTAATTGTTTCTCCCAACAGCTGCAAATTATTTACATTGCATTTGTGTTGATGGCTAATAAAAGAGCAAAGGAGTGTGGGGACAGCCCAGTGTGGTTATAATTTTTCCAGGGTCCATAATGAAGCATCAGTCCGAATGCCAAACTGTGAAAATGGATGTACCTACTGTCCAATTCACACCTGCAGTGGCCAGAGCTTCTCTCTGCCCTGGGCATGGTCCAATCTGTAAAAATGGGTTTCAGGGGCCAAGACCTGAGAATAGCAAGGCATATGTCCCTGCCTCATTAGACTGCTTTCCAGTTAGTTTGTGATTGCTGTGGAATGGGTGAGAAGGAGCAAAATGGTGGCCTTGGTTGAGTCTGCCACTGCTCCTGGAACAGCTCTGAACTGACCTTTTGAAGGATGAGGCAGGAAGGGAACAGCCACTGCTTCAGAGCTGCTCTCAATTCTATAAGCTCTCACTTTGCTGTGGCTACTGAAAAATTTGTAATGTAATATATAAAATATATACTGTATAATGTGCATTATATATTATATAATATGTATTATATATTATATATAATACGTATTATATATTATATATAATATGTATTATATATAATATATATTAATATATAATATGTATTATGTATTATATATTATATATAATATATTAATATATAATATGTATAATATATAATATATAATATGTATTATATAATATATAATATATAATATGTATTATATATTATATATTATATATAATAACAATATATAATATAATATATATATTATATAATAACAATATATAATATATATATTATATAATATATATTATATATTATGTGTGTGTGTGTGTGTTTGCACTTCTCAGATATCACAAAGTATGAATTTCTGGTTTTCCTACTTATTAATTTTTAACCATATAATCACCTTGGGAAAGTTACGCTTTGTGGAGGTAGTTTATTCATCTTTATAATGATCATGCCTACCTCACAGGATGCTGTGGGAAGCACTGCATATGTGACCACACCTTTTAAACTATGAATTAGGGTGTGAAGTTTGGCATCGGAACAATTTTGATTATTCTAGCCCCCCTCTAACCTGTTATTTTGAATCTGATGTACCTACTCTATATCCAGACTTCTGTGAGGGTATTGGGGGTGAGCGGGGGGGACTAAAAAAGAGAAACCAAGTAGCTCACAGTTAAGTAATCAGATTAATGTTTTAGAAAGATCACTCTTGATACCAGTGTGCAGAATAGAATGGAGTAGGGCAAGATTTCCAATGGAGAGACCAGTCAGGAGACCCCTGCTGCCATCCAGATAGGAGTGGGTTGGGCTAGAACCCATCAAACAAGACATAGAAGGGGAAGGATTTGGCAAGAACTGGGTTCTCACCAGATGAGGTGAAAACTCCTGGCACAGTCTTATTTCAGTTCTCTACTCTTCATTAGTACCTGCTGATATAAGTATACTGTATTGATTTGCTAGGGTTGCTGTAACAGAGTACCACAAACTGGGTGGATTAGTCCATTTTCTTGCCGCTGATAAAGACATACTCAAGACTAGGCAATTTACAAAAGAAAGAGGTTTAATTGGACTTACAGTTCCACGTGGCTGGGGAAGCCTCACAATAATGGCAGAAGGCAAGGAAGATCAAGTCCCATCTTACATGCATGGCAACAGGCAAAGAGAATGAGGAAGATGCAAAAGCAAAAACCCCTGATAAAACCATCAGATCTCGTGAGACTTATTCACTACCACAAGAATAGTATGGGAGAAACTGCCCCCATGATTCAATTATCTCCCACTGGGTCTCTCCCACAACATGTGGGAATTATGGGAGTACAATTCAAGATGAGATTTGGGTGGGGACATAGAGCCAAACCATATCATTCTTTCCCTAGCCCCTGCCAAATCTCATGTCCTCACATTTCAAAAACAATCATGCCTTCCCAACAGTCCCCCAAAGTCTTAACTCATTTTAGCATTAATCAAAAGTCCACAGTCTAAAGTGTCATCTGAGACAAGGCAAGTCCCCTCTGCCTATGAACTTGTAAAATCAAAAGCAAGCTAGTTATTTCCTAGATACAATGGGGATGCAGACATTGGGTAAATACAACCGTTCCAAATGGGAGAAATTGGCCAAAACAAAAGGGCTACAGGGCCCATGCAAGTCCAAAATCCAGTGTGGCTGTCAAATCTTAAAGCTCCAATATGATCTCTTTTGACTCCATGTCTCATATCCAGGTCACCCTGATGCAAGAGGTAGGTTCCCATGGTCTCGGGAAGCTCCACCTCTGTTGCTTTGCAGGGTACAGCCTCCCTCCCAGCTGCTTTCATGGGCTGATGTTGAGTACCTGCAGCTTTTCCAGGCACAGGTGCAAGTGTCAGTGGATCTAGCATTCTGGGGTCTGGAAGACAGTGGCTCTCTTCTCACAGCTCCACTAGGCGATTCCCCAGTAGGGACTCTGTGTGGGGGCTCCGACCCCACATTTCCCTTCTGCACTGCCCTAGCAGAGGTTCTCCATGAGAGCCACTCCCCTGCAGCAAACTTTTGCCTGGGCATCCAGGCATTTCCATACATGTTCTGAAATTCAGGTGGAGGTTTCCAAACCTCAATTCTTGACTTCTGTGCACCTGCAGGCTCAATGCCATGTGGAAGCCACCAAGACTTGGCGCTTGCACCATCTGAAGCCATGGCCTGAGCTCTATGTTGGCCCCTTTCAGCCATGGCTGGAGCAGCTGGGATGCAGGGCACCAAGTCCCTAGGCTGCACACAGCTCAGAGGTCCAGCCCATGAAACCATGTTTTTCCTTCTAGGCCTCAGGTCCTATGATGGGAGGGGCTGCCATGAAGACCTCTGAACATGCCCTGGAGACATTTTCCCATTGTCTTGGGGATTAACATTGGGCTTCTCGTTACTTATGAAAATTTCTACAATTGACTGGAATTTCTCCTCAGAAAATGGGATTTTCTTTTCTATCGCATTGTCAGGCTGCAAATTTTTCAAACTTATCTGCTCTGTTTCCCTTTTAAAACTGAATGCTTTTAACAGCACCCAAGTCATCTCTTGAATGCTTTGCTGCTTAGAAATTTCTTCCACCAGATACCCTAAATCATCTCTCTCAAGTTCAAAGTCCCACAAGTGTCTAGGGCAGGGGCAAAATGCTGCCAGTCTCTGCTAAAATATAACAAGAGTCACCTTTGCTCCGGTTCCCAACAAGTTCCTCATCTCCATCTAAGACCACCTCAGCCTGGAGCTTATTGCCCATATCACTATCAGCATTTTGGGCAAAGCCATTCAACAAGTCTCTAGGAAGTTTCAAACTTTCCCACATTTTCCTGTCTTCTTCTGAGCCCTCCAAACTGTTCCAACCTCTGCCTGTTTCCCAATTCCAAAGTCACTTCCACATTTTTGGGTATCTTTTCAGCAATGCCCCACTCTACTGGTACCAATTCACTGTATTAGTATGTTTTCATGCTGCTGATAAAGACATACCCCAGACTGGGCAATTTACAAAAGAAAGAGGTTTAATTGGACCTCTTACCATCCTGTCTTACATGGATGGCAGCAGGCAAAGAGAGAATGAGGAAGCCGTAAAAGCGGAAACCCCTGAGAAAACCATCAGATCTTGTGAGACGTATTCACAACCACGAGAACAGTGTGGGGGAAACCACCCCCATCATTCAATTATCTGCTACTGGGTCCCTCCCACAACATGTGGGAATTATGGGAGTACAATTCAAGATGAGATTTGGATGGGAACACAGAGCCAAACCATATCACTGGGAATCTGGGAACAAAAACTTATTGTCTCACGTTTATGGATGCCAGAAATATGAAATCAAGGTGTTGGCAGGTCCAGGTTCCCTCTGAAGGCTCTAGGAAAGGCTCCGTTCCAGGATTCTCTCCTAGCTTCCTGTAGTTCCTTGGCCTGGGGCTGCACAACTCTATTTTCACATGAGATTCTCTCAGTATACATATTTCTGTGCCACAATTTTCCCTTTATACGAGTACACTAATCATATCGGATGCGGAACCACCCTAATGACATTTTAAAACTTGATTACCTCTGTAAAGATTCTATCTCCCAATAATTCACATACTGAGATTCTAAGTGTTAGGATATCAATGTATTTTTTTTATGTAGAGGACACAATTCAACCCATAAAATATATTTGATATGTGTTTTCATTGTATTAATTGTTCATTGGTTAATATTTAATTCAGCTAGTCAAATTATTGAAGAACAATTTAAGTTACCAATAATTTAGACCACTGAGATACACAGTTTTTAAATGATCAGAAAATATTCAAATATCTGTTTTATCTTTGCATATATAATGATATTTATACATATGTGTGTGTATACATGTATACATGTATTTAAAATGCAGTAACTTCTAATGATGGATCAGATTTGGTTGAGGTCAGAAAGCTGAGCATACATAGTAGTAACTGCTAGTTTATTGAGTGACAAAGCACTTTAACTCTGAAACATCTATTAATAGATGGTAGCATTACAGAATTAAAGCTTTCAATCAGTTCTCAGTAACATCTATCTGTACTGGGTATCCAGACATACAAATAATGGGATTTTGACGAGGTGAAGAATCCGTGGTCTTAGAGGCAAAACAAACAGTGTTTGATAGTCAATGCTGTCTCTCACCTTCTGAGTGGCTTGGGTGAGGTGTTGAACCTCTTCCCGCACTTCTCTGAAGCTTTTCTGGGTTTAAAATGGGATTAACATGTTCCATGTCTCTCATGGGATTGTTGGATGAGAGTCTATGATTGGGCAAATATACAATCTTAATAATACATTATTATGGGTTTGTTATTTAAATAATGATCCTTTTTGTTTTTTCCCCCTTATTTTCTAGTCAATAAGCACAAGCCATGGATCGAGACTTCATATCATGGAGTCATAACTGAGAACAATGACACAGTCATTTTGGACCCACCACTGGTAGCCCTGGATAAAGATGCACCGGTTCCTTTTGCAGGTGAGATTATGGCTTCGTACGGCTGGGCCTGGCTCACTTTGAAGATGTGCTGTGAAACCTCCACAAAGCCCAGAATATGGCTTTATAGCTATTGTCACCACCCTGTGCATCTCTAGATCAGCCTGTGATGTTAAAGCTGTATGCCTCTTATTTCTGGGATGGATTCTGGCTGTCCTTATGTTTTTGTTTGTTTGTTTTTTCCTTCATGTTGCCTCCAGTGCAAGACCCTTGTTTCTTCTTCTTCTAAGGAGTGGTAAATTGCTGAAGTGGCCTGTGGAGTTGGAGAAGTTGGGCTAGTAAGGTTCTTAGGGGAATTTTACCCATAGAGAGAAGACCTATTGGCCGACTACCCACATGTAATTGATAAGTGGAGACTCATAGCTTGGTACATTGGCAAGAGAAAAGAGAGAGAAAAAAAGACCAGGAAATATCTGCTAAGAGTGGCACAGGGTCTTGTCCTTGAGCTTCCAAGTGGGTGTGTCTCTGCAGGAGGAATCCCAAGGCAGTGCCATATTTCCCTCTTGTGGCTAGAGAGCCTCTCACTATCATCAAGGCTACCTCTGTTTCCTCCTCGGACCCTCTTCGAGGGGTAGGCCCCAGGAGGGGTGAGTGAGGAACTCGGCTATGCTTCATGCTTCCATGGATTTTGGCAAAGAGAAGGGACTGGTCATGGCAGTGGGAGGAGGGATTAGACAAAGGATTTCTGAAGATGCCTGCATCATGAGTAATATTGTTAACATTTTATAACTGTCCGGAGAAAGACAGGAAATTTAATGAAGGTTTTCAAGATTTCTAGAAGATTGTTTTATGATAGATGGGTGCCAGGCTGAGGTTTTCACCAGGATGAAGTCTATTTTTTTCTGACAGTTTGCCTGCTACATTATGAGCTGCTTGGGCAGAGAAAAGGGGGTTCTTTTGCACTTCTAAGAGATAAGCTTTGTGAAGACATCTTTCATTATGGAATATTATAAAGCATGGAGCGAGAAGGTAGTTATATTAAATGGGGAAATTCAGTATTATGTGAAGATAAACCCATAAGCATTCTTGCAAAGAGTGAGGGAGATACTCTATTCTCAGAAGAAAGCTTTATTTTATGTAGAATGAAAACCACTAAGGGTACCTGTGACTTCCGTGATGTTTAGAATTGAGGCATTTCCATACATTTCCCAATCACCCTTAGAAGTCCCAGTTTTACCAAATGCCTGTTGGAAGTATAAACTCCTTGCAGTCTTTACCACAAAAGATGAAGTATCTTCCCTAAACCTTCTTTGCCAGTCTAGGAAGACTCTAACACATCTCTTTCTTGGACATAGCTAATAATGGTATTAGTCAGTAATTATCAGCAACCTCCGGAAATGAGATTTTTAAACAAATATTAGTAAAAATGTTTGGGTCATGGAAATGTTTGGTTTATTATGCACTTAAAAAA
Organism: Homo sapiens; assembly: GCF_000001405.40. Classification (NCBI taxonomy): domain Eukaryota; kingdom Metazoa; phylum Chordata; class Mammalia; order Primates; family Hominidae; genus Homo; species Homo sapiens. Next base: position 140,177,503 of record NC_000003.12, read on the forward strand.
ATAGATGCCAGATATAGTGGCTCATGCCTGCAACCCCAGCACTTTGGGAGGCTGAGGCAGGAGAATCATTTGAGGCCAGAAGTTCAAGACAAGCCTGGGCAACATAATCAGAACCCATCTCTACAAAATAATAATAATAATAATTAGCTGGGCATGGTGGTGCATGCCTGGTCCTAGTTTCTCAGGAAGCCGAGGCAGGAGGATCGCTTGACTCAAGGAATTTTAGATGGCTGCTGTGAACTCTGATTGCACCAACTGCACTCTATCCTGTGTGACAGAGCAAAAAATAAATAGAAACAACATTTAGAAATTGAGAGATTTAGCATAAAAATGCAGGATTATGGTTTATCTTGATAAATCTGAAATACACAGCTGAATAGTGGCTTTCCTTTTTCCACTGAGCATGAACCCCTCACTTCCCTCATCCCCTTTCCTCCCAGCCTATATGCAGAGGCCCTTCCACCAAGAAGATCCTCTCATTCACCTTTCCATCTGAACATATGACCCCTCTTTCAAATATGACAGAGAAAAATAAAAGACAAACAGGAAGTAATCAGATGACATGAAGTCATTGCAGTGTCCTGAGGCTGGCACTTTAAAAGATGAGCAATGTGTCTGATTGTATGTCTGCCTTTAATGTCCTGTTCTCATCTAATAGTGAAAGGGAAACCGAAGTCGTTGAATAAGCTGTTCTACAGTAAAGTTATAAGCTCTCTAATGTACAGACCACAATAGAAAAAAAAAATACCTCAAGCAAATCTGGTATTTGAAAGTTTGGACTTACAAAAGGTTATTTAAGTTTGTTGGTTATAGGGCCGAAGAAGAATTAAATGTTTCATCTGAAGACTCACAAAAGGATTTCCTTAAGTCAGAAACCCACCAAATGCCTTTAAACTTGAATTAGTATTCTGACCATTAGATGCACCCACAACTGTTCAGACACTTCTTGAAACCATAGTTTCCTTCTAAGCCAAGTCTTGAGTAGTTATTTCCATTTAAAGACAACTTCTATACTTCTATGATTTGCAGCTGCCTTAAAAGAGTCTAGCTTAATGCATCAAGATATAATCCTCTGAGCTCTTAGGAGTAAAAAATAAAGGTGGTTTTAGAATGGCCAGAGCTATTTTTCTCAGTGTTATTTATGATCAGCTCTAAGACAGGACACAGGCACTAGCCATCCATCCATGCTGCAGGCGTTTATTTTAAAACATTTATCTTAAAAAGAAAATACCGAAGATTTATTTCAGATCCCTATCGTTCTCATAAAATTGAAAAATTCATATCTGCCAACTCCATCACTCCTCGAAGTCAACTGAAGCTTTTAGTCCTCGCTTATCAGCTGCTTTTGTATTGTGTGTCAGTTTTCCCACCCCTTTCCCAGTGGTCTTTATTTCTCATTTAGCCCAGGAGGTAGGCTCTAAGCTTTGTGGAAAACAATTTCATCCATACCATTTGTGCTCTTATTTCTCTTATCTGTCTCCCCCTTTAATTTTTTTTAAGAAAAATGTTTTACACATAGATTCTGCCATCTTACACATATCATTTAGAATCATACATGATCTCACGTGATTTTTATTTAAATAAATATTATGATTGCATTTTGTATATAAGTGCAAAATTCAAAGATTTAACATAGCTTTTATGGTATATCTCCTGATTATGACAAAAACAAGTGAGATATACAAGTATTTATTGTAGAAACTGTGGAAAATACAGTGAAACACACAGTAAAAGCATGAGGTATATGTTTTCACAACCCCAGAAAGGCTCTTTTAACATTTTAGTATATTTCCTTCTTGTCATTTTTCTACCTTTTTTTTTTTCAAAAATTGTGATCATGCTGGGTGCTCATGCTTGTAGTCCCAGCACTTTGGGAGGCTGAGGAGGGGAGGATTGCTTGAGCCCAGGAGTTTGATACCGGCCTGGGAAACATGGTAAGATCTTGTCTCTACAAAATAACAATAATAATAATAATTAATAATTAGCTGGGTGTGTTGGCACATACCTATAGTTCCAGCTACTCAGGAGGCTCAGGTAGGAGGATCAATTGATCCTAGGAAGTTGAGGCTGCAGTGAGCTGAGATTGTTCCACTGCACTCCAGAGCAAGACCCTATCTCAAAAAAAAAAAAAAAAAAAAAAAAAAAAAAAACCTTGCTATTATACCTCATTTTGAATACTATACCTTATTTTTTCACATTAATGAAAATTTGCCATTTTATTACATATTTTTCTGAAACTTTTTAAATGACTACATGATTTCCTATTTAATGAGTGTTCTAGAGTTTACCATTCTCTGACTGGCAGTTTGTCTATTTCCAATTCTCTTTTATTATAACATGTGTCCACATTTCAGATTCTGTTGTTTGGATGGATTTCCAGAATTTTAGTTGGCCAAACATTTTAAAGGTTGTAAAACATGTTAAATTGCTTTCCAGAAAAGTTGTATGAGTTTGCAGTTTCATTCACACCACCCAAGTCGCTCAGTCCCTGGCCGTCATAAGGTTCATTCTGATGGTGTGATTTAGTAGTAGCCTTGCTGTCATCATCTGTAAAAGAATATAAGCTTTCCAGGGCTGTTTGTTGTTTTGATGAAATTTAAAGAGTGTCTATGACACATCTTGCAATGATTCAAGATATAGGAGAAGTTTAATAAATTTGCGTTTCCTATTCCATACCCTCCTCCCTGCCAGTTGGCAGGGGAGATAACTAACTCAGAGACGCTAAGCAACTTGCCCAGAATCCCAGAACAGGCTAGCCTGGGGTTGAATCTAGAGCCAGGGCTTCTCAGCACTTACTCTAAGTTCTCTTTCCCTGTGATGTTTCCTTTTCATCTCTGCCCTACCTGATTAGTAAAGTGCTGATGCTCAGTCAGTGAAACCTCCCTCAGACTTCAGTCAAGTCCACTAGACTTGTCTCAATTCTTAACCCAGTGTCTGAGCTCTGTAGATTTGACCTTCTTAGAGAATCAGATACAGAAAAGAAAATCCTTGAGTAATAATGAAAATGCTGTCCGCTGCATGGCAAAAAATGATAATGAAAGCAAGCTGGGCACACCATGAACTTATTAATTTCTACCTGTGCCCCACCGAGGTCTGTTAGGAAACTGTGGAGACTTTTAAATTTCAAGGGAATTAGATTGCCTTTCAGAGATGATAGAACTGCTCATTTGTCTACATTGGGCCAGTCTGGACTTGTCTTTTATAAGGACAGGGCTGCAGAGAATGATCAGGCATAATTGGCTGACTTCTCAAGCTGGGTGACTCTCTGAGGGCTGCCCAGAAAATTGCCTGGGACGTGATTTGGCCTGGTTTTGATTAGCTGGTTACAGTGCTGGTTGCAGCTGGGAATGCTCTTTCATACATGGTTAACTCTGTTTGTCCTTTTGTTCAGGGCCTGCTAGTGTATCTGCCTCCTTATCTTGGGACCTGCCTCAGGGTCTTGTTCATGCCTCAGGCCCTATAGGTGCCTGATGGCAAAGACCCTCCCACAGGGATTGGGATAGACCCTTGGCAAAGCCTCTCCCACATGCTTGGGATAGCCATGTGTCTTATAGTGAGAAGGGAAGGCAGACATTGTGAATGGTCACAGGGCTTTGGCCCAAACTCACATAGGCTCTGCCACTTACTAGCTGTATGATCTCAGATAAGTCACTGAACTACTCTGAGGGACAGTTTCCTTATATTTAAAATGGGGGTAATCATAGTACCCACTCCTGGTGTTAATATGTAGATTAAGTAAGATACTAATGCAAAGTGCCTAGAGCTCTCTCTGGTAGCCAGTAGACACCCAATAAATCATAGTTGTGATAATCATAGCAATGATAATAATGAGGGTAATCAGAGTAATTGAAATTTGTATTATTATCAGTAAGCCACAAGTGTTTGATTCATTTGGGTTGATTACAATAGTGCAATTATAATCTGTGATTTTTTTTAAAAAAGAGAAAAGTTTTGAGTTTGTTCTAAGGCTTGATCACCCATTTGTACTGTCAAGGTATGTTGCCTAGATTGTTGGGTAGTGTAATGGTGTGGGACAGTCAGTTAAATAATGTAAGGGAAAATAGCTTGAAAATTGTTCAGGATTCTACAAATAAATATCAGTTAAGAATAAATTTTCTTACATTCTACCTATAATGTATCCCTATGGAATAATCTATTAGTTGAAAGATACAGTTTCAGACTGTTGCAAACCATGTGTCCTTTTATTACACACACACACACACACTTATGTCCAAACCTTACCAACCTTGGGGAACAGGTAGGTCAGCTATTATGATTCTGTTTTGCAAATGAAGACATTGAGGCTTTGGGAAATTTCAAATACTGTTCAAGCTTACCTAGCCAGGATGGATCAGTCCTGCCATTCAGTTCCATACTCTCAGACTCCAAGTCCTGCCTTCTTTCTCCTCTGCCAGTTTTCCAGTGTGTAGGACTTATGTCATTGGAAGTACAAGATTTACATGATACACAGATATAGCATTAAAGAGTGCTGAATCCCATGCTGAGTGAGTCATTCCCCTTTAAATTCTCTTTCTGATCATGTCCAGGAGAAAGGTGCAGCTTGGGAAGTTCAAGACATCTTCAATACCACTCAAATACTTGTTAATCTCTCTTTTTGACAAAGAGGAAGCAAGTTATATCACCAAGCCTTCAGTAAGCAACAACATCAAGCTAGAATTTTAATAATATTCGGTTGTATTTTATTTAGGTTATTCTCTATTCAAGGCAAGGATTGCTGGCTTTTCATTTTAGTCATTCTCTTTTAAAATAAATGCACTAGAGTTTTTAAAAACACCAAATTAAAAAAAAAGTAAACTAATATTTAGGCAGTTTATGGAAGCAGCAAAAATGATGAAAGAGGTCTGTGAGTGAGAACCACATGGGATATTGGGGAATAACCACATCAGGACCTCATTTCCCTATCCAGCGCCTTCAGGATCATGGGCACAGGACCCAGCCTTCTTCAGTCTGTCCTGCCCCACAGCTCTCTGAGCTCGGACCTCGCAGCAGAGATGCCATCCACATTAATCTCACAGTAGATGTGCCTTTGCATTCCAAGCTGGTTTGTTTGGGGGCCATTCCTGAGGACCAGAAGGCAGGGTGTCCCCTGGTATCCCACTCTGCTTCCCACCCAGTCATGAGGCTTCAGCCAAAGGTCAATTCTTCACCCTCCCTGCAGAAAATCAGCTCCAGACCTATCTGGAATCCACCATCTGGGCTACTGCCTCTCACCTACAAGAGTCTATTGTGTACTTCTCCATCATATTCTGTGCTCAACCTTGATGCCCCAGTTCTGTCCATGGCATCCTGATTGGAAGGAGTTTACTGGCAGTAGCTGGGGACCTGTGAAGATGGGCATACACAGCTCCTCCTGTGCTGAGTGGTCAGAGACAGGCTCTGAGGGCACAAAGCCCATGGAGGAAAGCTGAAGAGGTTGCCTCAAGGGGATGGCTAGAGGAGGGACTAAGAGCCAGAGTACAGAGGAAGGATGACAGGTGCAGGCTTCAGTGAGCCAAGAAGAGGGTAAAAGGTCCCAGGTAAATACCTACAGCAGGGACCATGGGTTTCATGGTCTGATTGATGGTAGAAGGTGAGGGATGGGGTCAGCAAGGCCTGTCACACCCATGCACCAGTGACCCTTACCCAGAGCTTTTGGATTTTCTTAATAAGAAGACTATTGATAGATCCTGCTTTAGGCCAAACTAATGTTTAGGGGACAATCAGTGGATACTTTTGGGCCATTTTCCCTCATTAAGGTTGAAAGGGGACACCCAGGGAGACAGACTATCCTGGTTTGCTTGGAAAGGAAGGATTTCCTGGGATGTGTGACTTCTAGTGCCCAAACCAGGAAGGTCCTCGTAAACCAGAGTGAGTTGGTCACTCTAACAGGAGACATGTGGAGTTTCAGGTTAGAACACTTGAGCACTGGCACTAAGAGATTGCTTGAGAGAAGCAGTTGAATGTAGGAATTTCAAGTTTTCTGGGACTCTGAGTTAATGACAATACTCTACTAAAACAAGATGAAAAGTGAATAATGAAATCAATAGTAATAGCAGATCTGGTGCCAGCCTATATACTAACTGTGCAAATTAGAAACAGGTGCCCCTTCTTATAGATGGACACTGTCTCACTCCAGAGCCCATGGCTTGGCAAGTAGAGAAAAAGGTGGATTTCTGCCCCTACTTGCCCCCTGGGCCATACATCATTGTACTGAAAACAACTTGTACACAACAGCACTGAAAATTAGCTAATGTTTATACATACCAGGCATTATTTTGCACACACTATATCATAATTTTAACAACAATCCTCTGAAATAGGCATTATTATTATTTTATAGGAGAGACCGATGTTAAGTCAGATTATATAATTTGCCAAGAACACAGTAGTAATGGTGAAGTTGTAATTTCAGCCCAGATGTCTGCAAGTATTGCTGTGCAACAACCACCCCAAAACTTATGAGCATCAAACAACAACCATTACTTCTTTCTTATTGGGCAGCTTCCTGCTTATTGGGCAGCTCTGCTCGTCTGAGCCAGGCTCAACTGATCTCAGCTGGGCTTGTTTATGTCTCCACCGGCTGTTAATGAGTAGGCTGTAGGCTGGCTGTTCTGTATGGTGACTTTGGCTGGGATGACACTGTTCTCCGTGTGTTCTTCCAGCAGGCTACCCTGAGCTTATTCCTTAAAGTGCAGAAATGTAAAAGCACATTGGCAAGCAGCTACTTATGAGAAGTTTGTTACTGTCTGTATTAGTCCATTTTCACACTGCTATGTAAAGAACTTCCCTGAGACTGGGTAACTTATAAAGAAAGAGGTTTAGTTGACTTACAGTTCTGCCTGGATGGGGAGGCCTCAGGAAACTTAAACTCATGGCAGAAGGGGAAGCAGACATGTGGTAGCAGGTGAGAGAGAGAGTGAAGGAGGAAGAGCCCCTTATGAAACCATCAGATCTCATGAGAACTCACTATCATGAGAACAGGATTGGGAAAACCACCCCCATGAGCCAGTCAGCTTCCATTAGGTCCCTCCCTTGACCCTTGGGGATTACAATTCGAGATGAGATTCTAGTAGAGACACAGAGCCAAACCATATCACTGTCCCACTGGCTAAAGCAAGTCTCATAGCCAAGCCCAGAGTCAGTGCAGGAGTGGACTACTAAAGGGCGTGGGGGGTAGGGTCATCAATGCAATCATTTCATCACAGCTTAACTGTAGGTCAAAATTATTCATACCCCTATTTCATGTAAAACATGCTCATCCCTATTCTAGAGACCCCCAAAATGTATCTAATCATGGCATCTGGCTTAAAGATCAATATTTTGTGATCCTTATCAGAACTGGATGCAGCTCCTCTTGATCCAGAGGCCGATAAATGACAAATTTTCTTCCCGCACATATACACCATGGGAAGGAAAACTCAGTAAGACTCCCACTCCAAGAGGAGAAGAATGGGAGGCACATAGCTACCACTGGTGTGGCCCATAGCAATTCTGATATCCTGCTGGAAAAATGTTGCCAGGTATCCCCCCATTTTAAGAGTGATTCTGCTCCTTAAAGGGGGCTTCCCTGTTTATTGTTCTCTGCTGCTCCCTGTTAACTTCTTTCATCATCATTTGGTTTTATTTGCTATATCCCAAGTCCGGGGGACTTGGCAAGAGTCTGCAGAATCCTCCTGAGTTCAGGATCCTGGGCTTAGTCCCTAAGAAAACTCTTTTCATTCATCTTCACATCAGTGGCTGACTCTGTCCGGCCTCAGTGCAAGACAGTGGTTCAAACCTGGAACTCCAAAGTCAGGGCTCTTTATACAATGAATCAGGAAAAACAAAAAATAAAGAACAAGACCCCCAACCACCTTTCTTTTTTTCTATTGGAAGAACACTTTAGAAGACTCAACAAGCTCCAAGCTTAAAGACATTCTGGGATATCAGAGAATTTAAATCAATGGCATGCTTCGTCGACAAGTAATGATGCAAACACATTATGGTATTTTCTCTGCTCACTGACCCGGTGGTCAAATTTCAAGCCCCATGACCCAGCCCACCTGACCAACTGTGATTGGGCCAGGGGTGGGCACCTGACCCAAGCTGCAACCTAACTTGCTAGCTGGATTGAAAAGATCAAATAGTGCAATTGGCTTCCTGTTTGAATGCTGAGAGGTTAAAAGGATGGGGGTGCAGGGCAGATGGAGATGGTGGGGGGCACGTGGGGAAGGGGGCAACTGTTGCAGGTGAAGCTTCCATAACATGCTCAAACTGCAGTTAGGAGTACCCTGTCAGCAGAGGGAGGGGAGGACAGTGGTCCCACAGAAGCAGATGTGCCCAGATGGGAGGGAGTGTGTGGTCCCTGAAGGGAATGATAGCCTCAGTTGCTGAGTGGTCCTGGTTGTCATATTGATCCTGAATTTCCACAAAATCATCTTTGTTGTTGCACTTTTATCCACTCTATCTCTTGAGATGGGTGAGTAAGAATAGCTCTGTCCTTGGAAACCAAAGAGGCCTAGTGAAAACTACCTGTTATATAGTTTACTGTGTTAAGGGGACGTGGGGCATCATTAAAGCTGAAGAAGAGTGAAAGACCCAAGAAAGCTCAGATAAGATGGCAGCATAGAGAAGAACGAACTGGGAATTTAAAACATTGAGGAAATCGTCTTTTAAAAAGACATAACTGGCAATCATCATAGCAAAATCAATGATATTGAGAACCAGCTCCTACTGCCAGTAATTGGACTGCTTAATAACAAGCTTAGACAAGTTAATACCAGGTCAAATTTCTCCTCCAGAAGCCATTTCTGTGGCTTACTGCAGTAGCCATATTGAATAGTCCTGGAATTGGAGCCCACCACAAATATTAATTATGAACATGAATTTTTAAGGTTAATGGTTTTACTTTAATGGGAATTTGGGGCCTCTGAAAGTCCTAAATGTCTCAGTGAACTTGTTTGAGATCACAAACCAAAGAACAAGAGTGCAACCAGATATTTATAGTTTATTCTGCTTGGCAGAGTGTCCAGAGTGAGATCACTGAATACCTTGGCATGAGTTCAGAGCTTGATTTTATTATCTTGTAGCTGCCTGTAATCACAGATGAGGCATCAAAGGCCAGCTGTCCCCCATGAATCTTGACAGTCTATATAAACTAATTACTTCTTTATGAGCTATCCTTTCAGAGGTTTGAAGAGAGGGCCTATTAAGCCAAGTTCAATATGATCTACAAACTTTAAAAATTATTATTTATCTAAGTTATAGTGCTGGGCCACAGTAAGTGACATCATTTGCAATGGTTGGCTTGGGTGGCTGTGACTTCATTGAAATACAATTTGTGTATTTTTTTTAATGGAAAGGTGAATCCCAGTGTGTTAGGGATTCTTTCTGCACATTAATGATACCAATAGCAAATTTCAAAGAGCAAGGAGTTAAAAAAACAAAACAAAACAAATTTGGGAAGTGAGGGCACAGAGGCACATGAGCAAATGGCTTTTTTTCTAACTCTACCAGGCTGTGGGTTGCAAGGGGAAAATCTTTATTCTCTTTGTCCCCAAATCCACTGCATGGCCCTTGGCCCTTTCCTTTTTTTGTGCCTTTCCCTTGAAGTCCCTAAAGAGGTGAGACACCAGGTATAACACTGCAGCCTGCCCTCTGCCACTCCTTGGGCCATTCCTCTTGGCTGCTATTCCCTGTTGCCTGTCATATCTGCACTGAGGCTGCCTTTGCTGCTCTGTCTCCCTGAGATGAGCCTCCACACCAGCCTCATATGTAGCAGGCTGGCCATACCACTGGGGTGTATGCTCTCAGCCTCTGCCTCTTGGTGACCACTGCCTGCCTCTGGATGCTTGTTACTATAATGCTGTCCTCACCAGCCCACCCTGATCCTGACATACCCCTGGATCATGCTGACCTCCCTTAATCGCCCCTCTCCCCAGCAAGGAGGAAAAGGCCTTTCTCTTCTGGCCTACTCTTGCTCAGGAGCTCCATCAGAGATGTTGTTTGAACTCTTAGTGATACTGTTCTTTCTATAATCTCATAGTCTTTCCTTTTCAGAGAAGGCTTGATGCTCCCAGGTTTTAGGTCTGAGTGATATATTCAAATACAGGCCTGAGCTGTCCTGTAGTAGGTAAACTTCCACTCAAGTATCTGCTGCTGATTCTGACCTCTGCCTTCTCAATTGTTTCTCATGTGTAGTGCTTTTCTTTTCTCTCAAGAGCTGATATTCCTGGCTTTCATCTGGTTTCCACTGTGTCTGTCCACTCACTCCTCCTCTCATGCCCACATTCAGTTCATCAGACATCATTATAAATGTATCAACTTGATTTACAAGAGGGCACTGAGCCAAATGCAACCCAACGTGGTGTAGTCAGACAGCAGGGGAGTGCTGAGATGGGCCATATAATTCCACCTGCTCCATATCAAAGTCTCACTTCCACCCCACCCAGGACTTGATATCAGCACTGATCAAAGGAATCCTTGAGTAGCATTCCTTTGGCTTCCATCCTCATGGCCACAGGTCCTGAAGTGCTCTCCTCTGGCCCAGCACTTGCCACAGTGGAGTGTACTTGTCTATTTGTGAGCCTGCCTTCTCACTAGTCTTAAGGCAGTTTCTGAATCCATTTTGTGTTTCTAGCACTGAGCACTGAGTAGGTGCTCAAAGTTTGTTGAATGAATGAATGATAGATTGTTACATTACATGCTTAAGCTGACCTTTCACCTTCTATGCTTTGGCGTGTTTGCTCCTGGGCTCAGTCCCGAATTCGGCAGCACTTGCAATGCAATCTATTTCAATGTCTGCTCCCCCTACCAAAGCAGGCTTGTTTATCCTTATGTCCTAGCACACCAGTTCGCTTAGAAGTTCTCAGTAAATATTTGTTGATTTGAATTGAAAAGGACTGAGTGGCTTACAACCTACCACTAAGAAGCATGGTGGTAGGGAGAGAGGGGCATGCCTCATCCTGATGCTTACATTGCACCTTGCAGGGGTTAATCCCAACTCCTCGTGGCCCTCTGGTTACTTGGAGCAATGCCATCCCAGCTGGTGTGCTTCCCAGATCACCATGCACATGCTTAAGGTAGCCCAGTGAAGGAAGAGGCCTGGCTAGGGTAAGTCTGGACTAGAGGGGACTGTGGTGATTCAAAGAGGAGACAGAGCAAGGAAAGAGACTGATGCTACCCAGCATTGGGTGATTATTTTTTAAGAAAGTTGTTTTTTAAAAAATTAAATTCTTTATTTTGAGGTAATTACAGATTCATATGCAGTTGTAAGACATCATACAGAGAGATTATGTGTATACCTTACTCAGTTTCCCCCAGTGATAACATCACGCAAAGCTATGGTAAAATATCACAACCAAAATATCGATATTACTACAGACAAGATACAGAGCATTTCTATCACAAGGATCCCACATTGCCCTTTTATGGCCATACCTACTCCCTCCCACCTACTCTCCTTAACCCTTGGCAACAACTTACCTGTTCTCATTCAGTAATTTAGTCCTTTTAAATATATGATATGAATGGAATCATACAGTAAGCAACCTTTTAGAATTGGCTTTTTTTCTCTTAGCATCATTTTCTGGAAATTCATCTAAGTTGTTGCCTATATGAATAGTCTGTCCTTTTTATTGTTGAGTGGTAGTCCATGGTATGGATATACCACACTCTTTTTAACCATTCCTTATTACCCATTTAGGGCTATTTTGAATAAAGCTGCTGTAAACATTTATGTACAAGTTTTTGTGTGAACATAAGTCTTTATTTTTCTGGGATACATGTCAGGAGTATAGTTGCTGGGTCATATAGTAGTTGCCTGTTAAGTTTTATAAGAAACTGCTGAAGTGTGTTCTAGCTGTACCATTTTTACTTTCCCACCGGCAGTGTATAAGTGATACAGTTTCTCTGCATCCACACCAGCATTTGATCTTGTCGCTGTTTTTTATTATAGTCATTTAGGTGTGTATGTATTATCTCATTGTGGTTTTAATTTGCATTTCTCTAATGGCTGATGATGTCAAATGTTTTTACATATGCTTATTTTCCACATGTATATCCTCTTCCATGAAATGTCTTTTGTTCATTTTATAATTGCATTAGGATTTTTGTTATTTATATTCTTACGGTTGAGTTTTGAGAATTATTTACATATTCTAAGTACTAATTCTTTGTCAGATATGTGGTTTGTAAATATTTTAATTTTTGTATAAAGTAAAACACTTTTGTATAAAGTAAAACCTGTACAGTTAGGTTGAGACTCCTTTATTTGTATTTTTTGCCTATGGATATCTAATTCCTCCCTCATCCATTTGTTTAAAAGTTTATCTTTCCTCCATTGAATTGCACCTTGGTCAAAAATCAGCAGGGCATCGTCTGAGTTCATTGAAGCTGCCATAAAAAAATACCATAGCCTGAGTAAGCTTATAAGCAACAAATTTATTTCTCACCGCTCTGGAGCCTGGGAAACTCAACATCAGAATACCAGCATTGTTGATTTCTGCTGAGGGCCTTCTTTCTCCTTCATGGATGTCACTTTTAGCTAAGTCCTCACAGGGTAGAAAGGGGAAGACAGCTCTCTAGGGCCTGTTTTATAAGGGACCTAATTTTACTTATGAGGGCTCTGCCCTCATGACTTAATGACCTCCCAAAGGCCCCACCTCCTAATACTATCACCTGGGGGATTACGTTTCAACATATGTAATTGCTGGGAGGACACACACATTCAGAACATAGCAGGCATGTTGTATGGGTCTATTTCTGGATTCTCTTCTCTCATCCATTAATCTTTGTGTCAATGGCCCCACCAAAATTATATAGTCTTGATTACTGTGGCTATATAAGCCTTGAAATTGTGTAAATGGATTACTCTCAATTTTTTTTTCAAAACTGTTTTAACTATTCTATTTCCTTTACCTTACCAAAAGATTTTAGGATAACCTCATCTATAGCTACAAAAAAAAAAAAAAAAAAAAAAAATCCTGCAAGGATTCTGATAGGGGCTGAGTTAAACATGTATAGCAACTTTAGGACAGTTGACATCTTACCTCGTTGTGTCTTCCAGTGCAGGGGCATGTTATATCTCTACATGTGTTTACATTTCTTTTCTTTCATTAGTGTTGTATAGATTTAAATATATATTCCTGCACATGTTTTCTTATATTTATATCTAAGTATTTCATTTTTTGAGTGACTGTAAATAGTATTGTATTTTTAATTGTGTTGTATTTGCTATTACTGCTGACATATAGACATACAATTTTTTTTATGTGTATGGTGCTATGTTTTATGTTATGCAACCTTGCTGAATTTAATAGTTCTAGATTTTTTTCTTGTAGATTTCTTGGGACTTTCCATATGGACAATCAAGTCATGTGCAGTTTGGGAGTTTTATGTCTTCCTTTCTGATCCTTTGGGTTTTATTTCCTTTTTATTGTCTTTATACTGACTAGAACTTCCAGCATGATATTGAACAGAGGTGATGAGAGAAGATATCCTTGCCTTGTTCCCAGTCTCAGGGGAAAGCATATTCAGTCTTTCACCAGTAAATATAATGTTACCTGTAGAGGTTTTGTAAATGCCTTTTTCAAGTTGAGGCAGTTCTTTATTTTTGGGTTTCTGTGAGGTTTTTTTAAAAAGTATAAATGGGTGTTGATTTTGTCAAATACTTATTTCCTGCATTCATCAATATGAATATGTAATTTTTTTTAGTTTGTTAATATAATAACACTGATTGATTTTCAAATGTTGAATCAACCTCACATCCTTAGACTAAATCCTACTCAATTGTGGTATATCATTCTTTTATAGCTTGCTGATTTCTATGTGCTAATGTTTTAGTGAGAATTTTTTAATCCATATTTATGAGGAATATTAGTCTGTAGTTTTCTTTGTATTGCTATTGTCTAGTTTTATGTCAGAGTAATACTACTTCATAAAGTGAATTGGGAAGTGTCCCCTCCTGTTTTCTGGAAGAGATTATGTAGAATTGGTATTAATTTTTCATTAAATGTTTGTTAAAATTCCCCAGTGAAATTCTCCATGACAGTGCTTTTAGGGGAGTTTTTAAATTATGAATTCAATTTCGTTCATAGTTACAGAGCTCTTCAATTCTCTATTTTATATTGGATGGGTTGTAGTTTCTGTTTTTCAAAGAATTGGTCCATTTTGTCTAAGTTGACAAATCTATGTGTTGACAAATTTATGTAGTTGTCTGTAGTATCCTTTTGATATCTGCAGGATCTGTAATATCTGCCAGTTTGCTCCTCATGTTGATAACTTATATTTTCACTATTTCATATTTAGTGCAGGTTTATCAAGTTTATAAATCTTTTCAAAGAAACAGCTTCTTATTTTATTGATTTTCTTTATTGCTTTTCTGTATTATTTCCTTCATCCTACTTGTATGGGCTTATTTTGCCCTTCTTTACCTAGATGTTTAAGGTGGGAGCTTTGATTATTGATTTGAGATGTTTCCTTTTTTAATGTTATAAATTTTCTTCTCATCACTGCTTTAGCTGTATCCCACAAATTTTGATGTGTTGTGTTTGTATTCAGTTATATGTACTAGCTTATTTCCACTGAGACTTCTCTTTTGGCCCATGTGTTTAGAAATGTGTTGCAAAGTTGCTAAATGTTTGGAGATTGTCCTGTTATCTCTCTATTATTGATTTCTAGTTTAATTCCATTGTGGTTCAGAAAGCATATTTTGTATGATTTCAGTTTTTTTGAGGTTTACTTTATATTCCAGTATATAGTCTATCTCAGTAGATATTCTGTGGGCACTTACTACAAATGCATGTTCTGCTTTTGTTCGGGTCTATAAACGTAGATTACATCCTGTTATTTGATGTTGAACTTTTCTGTATCCTAGCTGATTTTCGGACTAGTTCTATGAATTATTGAGGAACGGATGTTGAAATTTTAAATTACAATAATAGACTTATTTCTTCTTTTAGTTCTACCAGTTTTTCTTCCCATATTTTGCAGCTCTGTTGTTTAGTACATACACATTGAGAATTGCTGTATCATATTTGTGAAGTGGCCCTTTAATCATTATACAATGTCACTCTCTGTCTCCAGTAATTTTTTTTTTACTCTGAAGTTTGCTTTATCTGTTATTAATGTAGTCACACCGCTTTCCTCTGATTATTGTTTGCATGATATATTCTTTTTTTTCCATTTTTTTTTGTTTTACTTTCAAACTGCCTCTGTTGAAGTAAATTTTTTGTTAGCAGCATGTTGGGTCATGTTTTTCAATCTACTCTGCTGAGATCTGCCTTTTCATTGTTGTATTTAGATCATTTATATTTATATGGTAGGGTTTAGATCTGCCATTTTATTTTTGTGTTGTTCTATTTTTTGGCGGGGTAGGGGGAGGTTCTGTTTTCCTGCTTTCTTGTCAGTTGGACACATTTTAGAACTCTATATTGATATAACTATGGCTTTTTGAGTGTATCTTTTTGTATGGCTTTTTTTAGTGGTTGATCTAGGTATTCTACATAACTTATTATAGTCTATTGGTATTGTCATTTTATCAGTTCAAAAGATGTATGGGAATATCTCCTTTCCATTGCTTCTTCCTTCTCTGTTTGTAATTGTCTTAAATGTCTCTTCTATATATGCTTAGAGCCGTATCAGTATTATAATTTTTGCTTAAAATGTAAAATGTGATTTAAAGAACTCAAGAGGAGAAGGAAGGGCTTTTGTATTTACCATTATTTTTGCTTATCTTGTTCTTTCTTCTTTTCTGATGCTCCAAGGTTTCCTTTTTTATAGTTTTTTTTTTTTTTTTTTTTTTGGTTTTGAACACTTCCTTTAACCACCTTTCTTTCAGAATAGGCCTGCTGGTGACAAATTCCTTTTGTCTTTCTTCATTCAAGAATGTCTTGATTTTCTTTTCATTTTTGAAGGATACTTTTGCTGGATATAGGATTCTGGGTTGAAAATTCTTTTCTTTCACCACCTGAAAAATGTTGTGCCCTTCCTTCTAGCCTTTTTTATTTCTGCTTAGAAATCCATTGCCATTCTGTTTTTGTTTGTTTGTTTGTTTGTTTTACTATAGGTAAGGTACCATTCTGGTTGATTTTAACTTTGTCTTTTATTTTCAGTTTAATTGTGATGTCTTTTCATGAACTTCTTTGAGTATATCCTCTCTGGTGTTTGTTCAACTACTTGAATCTATAGGTTTGTATCTTTTGCCAAATATGGAAAGTTTTAGCCATTTTTGCTTTGAGGATTTTTTTTAGCACTGCTTTCTTTTTCCTATTTAGGATTCCAATGCCATGAATGTTGAATATTTTGTTATAGTTCCATAGGTTCCTGAGGCTCTGTATTTTGTAAGTCTGTTTTCTCTCTAATAACTAATTGAGTTATTCCTATTTTTCTCTTTTCCTGTGCATTGATTCTTTCCTCCATTCTGCTGATGAGCCCATGCACTGAGGTTTCTACTTAGGTTATTTTATTTTGTAGTTGCAAAGTGTCCATTTGGTTCTTTATATTTTCTATTTATTTGCTGAGACTTTCTACTTCTTTTCTTGAGCTTTCTACTTTTTCTTTTGATTCATCTGTGTTTAGAATTGACCATACATGTGTTTTTATCATGGCTACTTTAAAATCTTTGTCAATATCTTAGTCCATTTAGGGTGCTAGAACAGAATACCATACCCTAGGTGGCTAATAAACAACAGAAATTTATTTTTTGTAGTTCTGGAGTTTGAGAAGTCCAAGATCAAGGTGCTGTCAGTGCCTGGTGAGGGCTCATCTCCTGGTTTACTGAAGGTCATCTTTTCACTGTGTCCTTACATGGTGGAAGGGATGAGGAAGCTCTCTGGAGTTCTTTTTATAAGGGCACTAATTCCATTCATAAGGGCTCTTACCTCATGACCTAAGCACCTCTCAAAGACCCCACCTTGAAATATATCACATTGGGGATTAGGTTTCAACATATAAATGAGGAAATGGGGGGACATAAACATTCAGTCTGTAGCAGTTTGATGATTGTAATATCTCTGTTTTCTCAGTAGTGGCATCTACTGATTTAAAAAAAATCAGTTGAGTTATTTCTGGTTTTGAGGTAATGAGTAATTTTTCTATTGAAATCTGGGCAATTTTGTGTTATGCTCTGAGACTCTGGGTCTTATTTAAACTTTCTGTTTTGGTTAGCTTTTTCTGACATTGCTTCAGCAATGGGGGCATCACCTCCTTACTGCTAACTGGAGGTAGAATTCCAGGTTCTCTCCTTGGGCTTCATTGACACCTAAGTGGGGGTATCACCTCATTATTGCTGGGTAAGAGTGGAAGTTCCAGCTTCTCATATGGTATCCAGTAATACTGCAGTGGAAGTGGCTTTATTAAAAATGAGCAATGGTGAAAGTCCTAACTCCTCAATTAGCCTTTTCTGATACAACCCCAGTGGGGAGAGGATAGAACTCCTCATTACTGCCAGTGATGGTGGACATACAGGCCCCTCATGTAGTCTATAGGAGGTTCCTCATTGTACTACGGGAGGGTCCTCATTGCTGGCCATTGGGGATGAAAGTTCTAGCTTCCTTCTTCACTTCTCTGATATTCCTCCAGCTGGGTGTGGGAGCACCTCATTACAGCCCCATGAGTGTGGATGTCTAGGCTTTCTACTTACTCTTTGCTGACCTGGGTAGGAGTGAGGCCACAATTCTTTATGCCGTGTTTATCTGAGTAGAGCAGCTGTTGTCTGAAGGTTTTCTGTCTGCTATGTTGCCATTTTCCTAGCTCTTTGGCTAGAGAAAGCAGCCTTTTCTTGGGTATTTTTTGGTTTCTCTTTGTACCAGTTGTCATTTCTGAGTTGCTTTCTCCTTCTGCTCCAAGTTTTGGATGTATGAGGTAAGAAGAAAACCTAAAGAACTCACCACTGTGTCATTTCTTGGGTCTCAAGGCCCCTAGGTGGTCTGCCTTTTTCTCCCCAGCATTCAGAATCTTCTTGTGTTTGTTTTATATATTATGTCCAGGGTTTTAGTTTTACTTAGTGGGAAGAATAGTTAAGAAAAATAAAGCTAATTTATTATAATAAAAGAATGGTTATGAGAAAAAAATAGTTTTTAAAAAAAAATCTGGAAAGGCAAGCCCAAGGCTGCCAGATCTTGTCATTTTCCAGAAGAAGCCAGAATCCAGAGTTTTGTGTTGAATTTCCAAATGTATATTAAAAAGTAATTTAGTTTTATCTATAAAGCATCATGTAGAAAAAGAGTTTACAGATTAAACAATACTGCTGACTGTATTTCACTCCAGGCAACGAGCTTGTGAATTTTACTTGAAGTTACCTAGGCAATACAGGATAAAGGACTGTGAGTTTGGTACACTCAAAGGTTTTTACGTCTCAAAGATGGGTGCTTTTCCTATCCCACATTCATTCATATATAAGAAACTATTACCTATTGCATATAAACTATAAAGGGAATGAATGAGACAGATAAGGACTTCTCACTATGGAGCTTATATGAATAAACAAATGAAACATACCCTTCTATAGTGGATGCTGATGGAGAAGAGGTTTCAGAAATAGATGCGATGATGGGCAGCTCCCTAGTTGGGGCATCTTCCTGATGGTTAGTCCTAGGCGGATTTTCTCAAGAATCCAAAGGCATCTTTCGTGTTACCGAAGAAGAATGCCTGGGAACAGCCACACTAGCTCCAATAACAGCTGAAAGAGAAAAAACAGGCACCTTTTAGCTACATCAGGTTCTGACTTTGAAGGCATCCTTGTCCTGGCAGCTGGTCATTGTCAGAGATGGCGGAGCTTTCCCAAATCTCATGACAGAGGAAGGCGGGGGAAAAATCCAAGTCACACTAACGAAAGTCCAGGAAGGAAACAGGAGGGCTAAGGTGCAGATGTAGGATTTGTTCATGAGTTATCATTCCTGGGCAGGTTCTGGAAATGGGAGTGAAGGCAGAAGCAGTTGTCTCAGCATGTACTTGCCTGATCAAACCAGGTTGCTGGGAGGAACCAGAGTGGAATGGGTATTACTTGCTGTTTCCAGGGGAGAAAGAAGTCAGGGATATACCCATGAAGTCTCCAGCACACATTCCTTTGACCCTTGCTGGTCATCAGGGTGGATATGAGATAATCATTGCTGGCTCCGAAGATGCATATGTGCCTTTCAGTCCCGTGTAATTACAACCAGCATAAACATCCACAGTGGGGGTAGAAACAGAAAGAGGCAGCCAGAACAGACAAAGCTGTCCACTCTCATCTACTGTACAGTCTTAGACTTCTTCACACACAGGTTTCATGGGGAAGCCAAAGTTTGAAAACCCCAGAATTGAAGATTCTGTTCATATTCATATAGCACTGTGATCACAATAGCAACATGGTTATTTTGTTATGAAAAACATTATTTCTCTCCTGCTCTTGCACCTAGGCCTTTTCTGTCCCCAAATCTTGAAATTTTCAGAGGTCGTTGGCAATTCCACATTTTTTATGAGTTTTGGCAATGAAGGAGTTGACTTACTCAGCTAGGAAAAGGATGATAAATACAAATTGAATTTTACTTTGCAGAATCCTGCAGCTGGAGATAAGGAAGCTTAAAGACATGACAAAAACAAACAAATAGCATGTAGTTTGTTTTCCAGTATGGGCAAATACAACCCTGCCTGGCTTGCAAGCACTCTTTCTTTCCTCTAAATGTGAGAAGGCCACAGTCTCAGCTCACTGCTGCCAAGGTAGCTGTCCTCACTATGAAATGATTGTTCAGTGGCATTTACAGAAGATTGCAGAGAGGAGAAAGAGCTTGCTGGATATCAACAGCCTGGACCCTGATGTCAGGCCATCACATCTTCTAAAAGTAATAAAAATCATAGCCATTTCCAGTCTATTATGTGCCTGGTGCTGTACTGGGGGACTATACATATATGTGAATCTAAATAAAATCACTAAATATATATAAAATTTGTTTTATTCATTTTCACCAATCACATGAGTTTGTACAGGTGGCATTATTTTTCCTTTTTAAAGATAAGGAAACTCAGGCTCAGAGAAGTTAAGTGACTTGCTGAAATCACGCTGTCAGGTAAATGTTAGAGTGCAGTTCACATAGATGGGCATTACTCGTTCTGATCGCTGGTTCTCAACTGAGGGTGATCTTACCCCTCTTACTCTTCAGAAGCTTGTTAACAATGTCCAGAGACATTTTTTGGTTGTCTTAATGGGAGATTATAGGTTGCTGTGACATCTAGTGAGTAGAGGCCAAGGATGCAGCCAAACGTCCTACAATATACAGGATAGCCCCACACCAAAGAATTATCTGGCTCAAAATGTCAATAATGTTGAAGTTGAGAAATCCTAGTTCAAAAGGCAGAAGACCTCAGTTTTAGTTTCTATTCTGCATCTAGCTCAGAATGTATCCCTGGAAAAATTATTTCCTTTCTGTGATGCTGAGTTTTTTCATGTGTAAAACAAAGGGCCAGACTGTTTTACTGGATGATCTCTAAGGTATTTCTGGCTTTGTTATCCTGTGGATCCTGGGCAATTAGAATTTTATTTGTGGCTCTTGAAGTGGTCTTGAAAGTCCTCATGAATTGTACCAGTGTTTCAAGCAAAAGCAATGGAAAGGTTTTAGAAGGCATCAATAAATACATATAGACACTTCACATATTCTGCAATAGGAAAAATGTCTTTATATCATACTGTATCTGGGCCATAGTGGATGGTTGCTCTTAAATTTTATCTTCTTACTGTAATTAAGTTGCCCATTCTGAACCAGACAATGACTGTGTCCACAGTCCAGCTGCATACTTCATGTTGTGTTGGTGCCTTTGGGGCACCTGTATGAGTTTTGTCTTGCAGTGTAACAAAGCATCACACATTTAGTGGCTTAAAATAATACCCATTTGTTATCTCACAATTTTTGTGCATAGGAGACTGGGCACAGCGTGACTGGGCCCTCTGTTCACAGTCTCACCCAGCTGAAAGAAAGGCTTTGGCTGGGCTGCACTCTCCTCTGGAGCTCAGGGTCCTCTGCCAGGCTCACCAGCTGTTGGCAGAATTCAGTTCTTTATTGTCCTAGGGTAAGGTCCCGGCTTTGTTGCTGGCTGTCAGCTGGGGGATGTTCTCAGCTCCTAAAAGGTTTTGGAAAGATAACAGCAGGTAGTACACATATGCCAAGCACTTTATTTAATCCTGTAAAGAAGGGGTCAGCAAACTTTTTCGTAGTGGATCTAATAGTAAGTATTTTAGGCTTTGCAGGTCAACAGGTGACGTTTAGGCCATTATGTAGGTACTTAATCTAACCATTTAAAATGTAACCATTTAAAAATGTAAAAACCATTCTTAGTCTGCAGGCTCTAAAACAGTGGCTGAATTTAGCCTGTGGGTTGTGGCCTGCAATTCCCTGTTCTGAATAATCCCAGGAGGTTAACGTAGGTATGGATGAAATTATATCCCACTTTGAATGAAATCAACTGAGAGACAGGGCCTCTAGTTTACCTGCCTGGCTCTCAGCATCTAGGGAGGTCTGATTCTAATTCCCAGGTAGGATTCTCCAAGGCCCGGATGACAGCCCCTGTGTGGGGAAATTATTTTCTCATATTCCATGGAGATTCTAACTCTGAGCCTTTCTCTCAAGTCCTCAAGAAAGTGTCAGGGCCAGAAGATGGAAAATCAGTCTAGTCTCGGGCCTATCTTTCCATGTGTGAGTTTCCTTATCTTGTAAGTACGCAGAATATTGCATCAGACTTTTTCTCCCACTTTGGGCAAAGAACACTGGCTGATGAGGGTGGCTGGGAGCAGCTAGGGCTCTTTTGAGGGGGAAATGAGAAGAAACTATGGTGAATATGTAGGCTTTCTTCATCAGAATAACCCTTTATCTCATCATTGATTTCCTTTCCTGACCATCAGAATCACCTGAGGAGCTTTCTAAACACATTCTTGGGCTTCACCCCTTAAAAAAAATTAATTTAGTATGTCTGGAGTAGACCTGGTCAGAATTGGTTTGAAACCTAGTAGGCATTTCTGATACAGGGCCAAATTTGGAAGCCACTCAAGAGGTGGGTGTTTCCCAGAAAAATCCTCTCTGGTGGTAAGAATCATCAGGGGTGCTTATCAAACTAGGAGCCGCCCAGGCCCCTGCCCACCTGGTTATTGTCATCAAGGATGGTTGGGATATACTGCACATTTTTTTCTTTCAATCTCTTTCTACCCCAGATTTTCCACACTTGACTGATACAGCTGGCCTTCCCAGAAATGAGGCCAGTGGGCCTGGGGTGAGTTCTGGGTAGCTATACAGCTAATAAGCACCCCAGTTGAATCTGATGTTCTCCAAAGTGTGGGAACCACTGGGAGGAACAAACTGAGTAAGTGCCCCTGGCCATCAGGTGGACTCAGAGTTGGCTGCTAGTAAACACTTAATTAGACTTTAATGACATTTAATCCAAGCCAAACAGTGTATGTTTGAAATTGCAAAGGTCTTTTAAATTTAGTGGCACTGAACCCAAACACTATGCACAAACACAGTTCAGATTCTGACTAGAGGGCATTATTTATGCCAGGATTAAAAGCAGCTGGTGGCTCGCTGGGTACCTCCTACAAGGCCTTTAGTCCAGGCATGAAGGCAGTTCAGATTTAAGAGTCTGTATTCTACGTCTCCCCTTATATTTCTTTCCCTGGGAACTTTGTTCTAGGCAGGGGCTGTATGAACCAGTCCCAAGTTTGATCTTGATCAAGGCTATCATGAAAGCCAAGATTTCTTTTCTCCTCAGAGGCCTTGGTTATGGTATGATGCAGTGGTTTGTACATATTTTAAGATAATTTTTTTGAAATATAATGAAGGATACAGAACTTAGTGCCGTAAAAAATTCTTGGAGAATTTTACATAAGTTTCAGGGGATTTATGGATCCCCTAAGTCATTTCAGGAACCCCATCTTTAGACTCCACGTAATGACCGCCAAAAAGAGCCTGTGTTTGAAAACAGAGTCAGTATGCCTGTCAGTCAGCAGTCAACAAGCCATACAAGAAATAACAGTTTATTTCTTAGTCTGTGAAATGGCAATGCTAATAGCATGCTCTTTATATCTACAGGATAGTTGTGAAAAAAATATGCCAGGGATGTGAAAGCATCAGGAAGGGTTAATAAGGCTATATTGACACGCACAATCCTGCTATTAAGTTAAAACTTCTTTTTTTCTTGTCCTAAGGCACTAGAGTTTTTCCTCAATCTCATTAAGACATTGTGTGTATATAATCAAACATTTGAAAGAGCATGAAAGACAGAACATTTCTCAATGATCGAATTGAATTTAACACATATTATTGAGTCCCTTGCTGGTCTTTACTCTTGGACACCTCCCCTCCCCCACCTGCCTCCTCTTTTAAACACCTGCTCTTTCTTTGGGTCTTGGCTCAGGTGTCACCTCCTGTGTTAAGCCTTCCCCAGTACACCCCCTCCCTATCCAAGTTGACACATCACCAAAGGACCTTGATAGCATAACCTTGAAACTGCTTGTTCCCCTAGGAGTCTCCTCTCCCAAAGGGGCATCTTGAAGTCAGGGAGGTTGACCTCAATCCTAGCACAGAACAGAACTGTCTGTTAAATACAAATCTACATAAATGAGCATAAAGCCCTATACTTGTTGGCTGAGATGAACGTGACAGAGGCCCTGCCTTCAAAAGTTTTATTCAGAGGAGGAAGGAAGCTGACATGAGAGAGATACAAGAGAGCACTGTGTTGTTTAGAGACTGGTTTGGTGTCCGTTCAACTGGGGACATCAGGATAGGCTTTCTTGTGGGAGATGATTCTCGAAATAGCCATTGGGAGATGACTAGGTCTCAGGGGCTGCATTAAATAGAGCAGGAAAGCCTGGAGCAGAGACACAGAGGGGAGAAAAATGGGGCCTTGTCAAGGTAGCAGCTGTGCAGTCACTTTGCCTGGCACACAGGTCTCATGTGTAGGGGAAGTAGGAGCAACAATGAGAGAAGAGCACTGGGACAAAAATGCAGAGGATGTTCACTGACAGCTGGGATCTGTACTTAATGGAGAGCCAGGAAGGGTTAGAATGGCATGATTGGAATAGAGGCATGGGGAATCAAAGTGTCATACCTTAGCCACTGAGAGACTAACTCTCAATGTTCTACAACTTCTATAACTTCCAGTGGTGCAAAATACTAATTATTTATTTTAAAAATATTTATTAAGCACCTACTGTGTGCTAAGCTCTGTTCTAGAAACTTAGAATATATCAGTAAGCCAAAAAGTGTTCTCTGCCTTGGTGAAGCTTACATCACAGCTGAGGTAGAAGTGGAACACGGACAATAAATAACAGACATAGCAAATTATATGCACGCACACACACATGTATATGTGTGTGTGTATGTGTGTGTGTGTATATATAATGATATATAATAAGTTAGATACAAAATGAGGAAAAAAAACCTGAAAACACAGAAGAGGAGGAAAGGGAAGATTTAGTGTCAGGGTTTGCTTGACTGTGAAGATGATATTGAGCAAAGTTTCGAAGGAAATGAGGGGATGCACCCTGTGCTATCTGGCTCTGATGTTTTCAGCAGAGGCAACTGCCATTGCAAAGGTCTGGCTATTTAGGGAAAGCCTGGAGGTCAGGCAGTATTAGAGGTGGGCGGATCAAGCAGGGCTGTGGGCCATGGTCAGAACATAGGCTTTTCCTTTGTGAAATGGGAGCTACAGCAGGGGTTTGAGCAGAAGAGTAATGTGATCTGACTTACATTGTGATAGGGCCTCTCTGCTCCTATATTGAGAAGAGGTTACAGGGCTCAAGAGCAGTGTCAGGGAGACCACTTAGTAGGCCACTGCAGTAACAGCTGAGAGTGCCAGTGGCTTATATCAGCAGGTGAGAAGTAGTGGGATTGTGGGTGGGTATGTTTGGAAGGCCGAGCTAACAGGATTTCCTGATGTGTTCTATCTGAGGTGTGAGAGAAACAAAGAAGTCTAAGATGCCTACAAGATTTGGCACCTAAACAACTGGAAGGATGGAGGTGTCATTGCTGAGTTGGAGGAAGGATGCGGGTGGAGTAGGTTGGAGAAGGATGACCAGGCATTCACGTTAGAACGTTCTGTCTGCTGTGCCTTATAGCTTCCAAGTGGAGATGTGAAGTAGGCAGTTGGATGCCAAAGCCTGGAGGTTGGGAGAAAAGTCTGACTGCAGAAATAAATTTAGGACAATTGGTAAACAGCTAGTCTTTTAGGCCACGGGACATTCAGATGTTCAAGAGAAGAGATAGGATGAGAAAAGGAGATAGAATAAATGGCCAGTGTGTTAGGAGGAAACCAAGAGAGTCAAGTGTCCAGAAGCAAAGTAAAGACAGTATAGAAGGAGCGTGGAAGAGACTAGTGAGATGCCCACCCAACAGGTCCTTTTTTTCCTGAGCACATAACTAGTCTACATTTCACAGTCTCCCTTGAATTTGGGTCCATCCATGTGACTGAGTTCTGGACGGTGCAATGTGGGTGGAAGTGATCTATGCCCCCTCCTGGTCTAGCCAGTAAGATCTCCTGCAATCTTTGAGCAGTAGAGGACCCCGTAGCCTTCAGTAATAGTGGAACCCCAAGGTGGGAGGATCTGGCTCCTGAATGTCTACATGGAGTAGTACCCTCCCCTCCCAAATTGGAATGTGTCGTGGGCAAGAAACCTTTATTATTTTAAGCCACTGAGATTTGAAGTTGGTTTTTACAGCCTTAAGTGTACTCTGACAAAGATAGGGAGTGATCAAGTGCTGCTGCTAAGTCAAGTAAGATTAGGACTGAGAAAGGATCATTGCATGTAGCAACCTGGAGGTCATGGGTGACCTTGAAAAGTATAGTTTAGGGGAAAGGTGAACAAAAATCTGATTGAACTTGCTCAGTAGAAAATGGGAGGACATTAAAAAGGTGATAGTGAGGCAGGACCCACTCCATTTTTAGGAACATTACTGCAAAGGATAACAAAGAAATAGGATGTTGGCTGATGAGGGAAGAGGGGTTAAGAGAAAGTGTGGGTTTTTTTTTTTTTTTTTTTTTTTTTTTTTTGGTTTTTAAGATGGGAGAAATATGCACATCCTGTGCCATTTGTTGGTAGAAAATGTTAGCTCTTTTCCTGAGACCACGGTGCAATTTGGCGCATGGCCCGTGCCTCTGCCAGTCACCTGGGATAGCTATTTGTTTCTGCCTGAATGGCAAATGATATCATTTTGAAAGGCCTCCTGGTGCCTGATAGATTTGTTAGGGAGCCTGACAGCTTTAATGGACTTAGCTGACAAGACAATGGCTTCTCCTGGCAGTGCTTGTTTTGGAGAGATTCCAGGGATGGTAATGAGCAGTGGTAGGAACAATGACAGAGGAAGAGGAGGGAGAGGCTGCAAAGATTTTGCTTAAGGTAGAACCTGGAGCATGGTAAGAAAATAACCCGCAAGATTCTGTCTAATTGGCAGATGCCAGAGGAGGAAACAAAGTTGCTGGAGAAATGTGTCTCTCCAGGGTCTTGGTTAGGAGGAGGCAGCTAGGACCACTCCTTGAGAAGACATCCTCTTGCAGTTAATCTCCCTAGATCTCTTTCTTTCTGTCCCCCATTTTCAAAGAAAAAGTATCTTTTGGGATACAGTGTGGCATGTTAGACTCAGCTTTGAATTCCTGCTTCACCATTTTCTACCTGGGTGATCTTGAATAAATCATTTAACTTTTCAAATCTTTAATTTCTCTTTCTGGAAGATGGAAATAATATCTGAAATAGCATATGGCATGTGGAAGGTGTTCATAAGTGGTAGTTGTTTTTATTTGGGGCCACCCAAAAACATGTTTTGGCCTAGAGAGGCAGGGCAGGGCACTACCCAGAAGCTAAGACTGATGCCAGACCTCACGGCTTATCATCTGTCCCTTTCTCTCCAAACTTGCACGAGTTACTCACCCTTTCTCTGTGCCTTGGCTCATCATCTGTAAAGTGAGGTTTATCACAGTACCTACCCCACATCCTTGAGGGGAGTATTAACAAATGAATACATGTAAAGTACCTAGTATCTGCCACATAATCACTTCTCAGTAAATTAGCTGTTGGAATTATTTGCATGTGTATGTGTTTGTTTTTGTGTTAATTTGGGAAAAGGCAAATCCTTGGATTAGTTGATTGTAAAAGAAAGGCTTTACTGTCAAGGACAAAACTTGGGAGTGGCGGTAAGCTCTGGAACTAAAGGTAACAGTGTGATGATCAGCCTGTCACTCCAATATGCCCAAATGTCCCTGCCTGGGGAAACTGGATGTGCTGAGGGTAACCTTCTCTCATCTGAAGGGCAACGTGAGCCTTCTTGAGGTCCTTGCCATTGCCTAGGGTCTTATTCCCCTGGTTACTGCCACCACAGGCAGCTGAACTGCAGTGGAGGTTGTAATTGTCAGGTCTGTCTGTCCCGCTGTCCCCCATTCTGGCTATATGAGGCCACTGGGGAGAGATAGTCAATCCCTAAGGACAGTACATTGATGGGCCTCATGACACTATTGACTTGCTAATGATTCTTGAGGGGCTCAAATATGAAAGGGAGTTGGGGAATCAGGAGGGGTGAGGGGAGGTGGGTCAGAGTGGAAGAGGGAGGCTTATGAAAAGAGGGTAGGCATTTTCTGTAAGTTACGGCCCTTGTTCCATCCAGGAAGAGGGAAGACCTATTATTTGAATCTTCACGTTGAGGAAATCAAAAGTCAGATAGGTTAAGTAACTTGCCAAAGATCACACAGCATCCAAAGGTGTTTGCTGGGATTTAACTACCAAATCCTATGGGTTTTATTTCTTTATCATTATACCTACGTGTGGTTCAACTGAATTCAAATGCGTATTGAGCTCTCATGGAGTCCTTAGTGACACAAGGGAGACATAGATGCCACAGAGGCAGAAGGTGTGATATCTGCCTATAGGGCATGCACAGTGTAGATAAGAAGACAAAACAGATGTGCCTGAAGCACCTGAACATGGGATAAATATTTAAGGATTAAGTTAGTCACACCTTGAAGTAGGAGTTTAGAGGAAGACAATTTCCAGGTGCTACATGGTTCACAAAAGGTGGGAATATGGGAGGGAGATTAAACTGAGGCTGGAGAGCAGAAAAAATTAGGAAAGCCACAGAGGAGGTAAGGAGGATTGAGGATTGGGTACAGTTGTTGTTTGGACCTGACCCGCCCCCCACCCACACACACACACAGCCACCTGCTATGCATGTTCACAATTACAGGTCTTGTATAGTTAATGAGCTCATCAGTCAAAACACCACTTTCCACCACTCTATGATGATTGAGCCCCTACTGTGTGCAAGCACCATGTCACCAAAGGGCGATAAGGCAGGGTTGCTGCCCTAAGGAGCTTTTACTCCCTGATCAAGGCAGACAGCCATGACTCATGAAGCTCCAGACCAGCAGTCCCCACCGGTCAGTCCCTGGCTGCTACACAGGGTGGATGGAGCGCCTGTGTGCACTCACAGGTGCATGCACTGTGCCCCTGAGGGCTGGGAGCTCCATCTTCTCTATTCCCAAAAAGCACAGGAGCTCTCTACACTAGAAAGCACAGGAGTGAGGGATTTTATTAAAGATATAAACTTGAATCCACTCATTAAAAAAAGAAAGGAAAATCATTCACAAACTTCAGAACATTTGCTTTAATAAGTAACAAATTGCTGCCTGTAGAAGTACTGCTGCTGAGATCTAGAGCTGTAAACAACTCCCAATTAGTCTGTTCATGAAGTTGGGAGGGTGTATTATCTGGCACTGGAGTCAAGGGAGTTAAGAGAGGCAGGATGCAGCCCAGAGGGAGAGCTTCTCCTTCTCCAGAGTGCAGACCTGGTCTCAGCAGGAGGCAGAGGCATGGAGAGACACATCTCCTATAGATTGGGCTAGCCCTGCAGAGCTCCTCAGCTCAACCTCCCCTAGCTTGAGGGCAGAGGCCAAGCCAGAGGCTAAGGAAGAGTGGCAGGGCAGAGATTTGGCAAAGTGGCCCTAAAGGAACCTATCAAGGAATCACAGCCCCAGCCAGCAGGAAATGAGCTTGAAGTGCTTCAGGCTGGCTCTGGCTTCTTAATACCCATCGGCTCTTATCAAATATGAGGACACCTGACACGTGAAAACCAAACACTGGGCTCTTATCTTCCAGACCTAAATTAGCTCCCCAAAGCAACTCTTTAGGGCTTCCTCTTTTAAATAATGAAGTATCTGATAAATGTGCTGCCAAATGGATTTGAAGCAGCCGAGGAGAGAGGCTGAGACTAGGTTTAAAATCTCCCAGCAAAGCTTCCCACAAACTCTCCCAGGAGACATTTGTACTTGCCCTGTTAGAATCTCTGGGTAGAGAGAGTCTGATGGGCCTTTTTCTCTTTTGAGTGTGCTTGAAGTGCTGTCCAGGGTCCTTACAGAAAATGCCCAGTAGCCAATAGACATCTGGTGGGCAGATGCAGAACCTACAGCGCAGCTCTGGCCACCTGCCTGAGCTGGGAATTCCTATTCCCATGAGGGATCAGAACTTGCCCTGGCCTGAGTGGTACATTCAGCATTTGGTATTGGTTCCCTCTTTTTCCTGTAGTCCTCCTTTTGACCCATCCAGGTGCTTACTGTATACCCAGAGCCTATGGGGATGTCAGGAAGATTCTGACTCCTTTCTTCACATCTTCCCTAACTTCCTACTTCTCCATCAGAGCCAACCTATCACATGTCCCATTTCCAGCTTCTGGGGTGTTTGCATTTTACCTAATAAGCTAACAACAAAGAGAAGTGCTTTGAGAGTAGGCCCATGAAGTCGTTCTGAGAATGTTTGTATGCTACAGTGAGGTAGTGTCCCAGAATCATTATGTATGCCTTAGTAAGAAACTTCACCTCTCTAAATGCCAATTCATTAATTTTTAAGAGAAAGGAGTTGGTCTAAAGATTCACCATTCCCATCTTACCATTATATTTTCTGTCTTAATGGCATAATTTCAGACATCAGAGAAAACTTTGTGACCTTTAATTCAGGCTACACTCAACTTACCCTTTTGTCTTTCAGTGTCTTTAAATGGGGATAGAAGTAATAATGCTTTCCTCAGGAACTTGTTTTAAAAATTAAATAAGATGACATTTGTGAACATGCTTCACAAATTCAAAAGTTCAAAACACCTGTGAGGATTTATGTTCATGGTGGTTTTTAAAATAATCATGACCAGCTGAGAACAGGGTAAATAGAATATCCTGTGCCTATTGAAAATCCTCCTGTGTACATCTTGATGCACTTGTTTGATTGTTGCATAGGGTAAATACCTAGGATTCGAATTGCTGGGTCAAGTGTATACATCGTTAGTATTATTGCTACCCAGTGCAGAACTGGTTCTGAAAAAAAACTGGCTTACCAGCAGTTAAGAAGGCACCTGCTTCTCTTTGCTGTTTTGCCAGTTTGACAAGCAAAGTTGCTGCCACATTTTATTTTGCATTTTGTTGGTTATGGGGTGTGTGAGTTTCTTGTTTTGTAAGTTTAATATTCATATATATTTATAATTATAGTAATTATTGCTTCCCTATTAAAATGCAAAAATGTCTCTCTCTAACTTCTTTTTAATAGTAACCCATTGTCTGCCAGATTTTTTGCAAAAATATTTCTATTTTGTGCTTTTAAATTTTGATTGGGTTTAGGATATAAATTTTAAACTGTATTTGTCTAATCCATTCATGTTTTATCATTTTTTTCATTACTTTTTCTTCTAAGCAAAAACAAAGGTTCTCCAACCAAAACTCCAAACAATGCTAATATAGTTATTTCCAAGGTTATACATGGCTCATTTTCAAGGTAACTCTTTATTGAAATTTGTTTTGATGTACGATTGGAGGCTCAAACCTAATTTCTTTTTAATAGAAACAGTTTACTGCCTCAGAAATATTTATTAATCCTCAATAAATTTAGCTGACTGTATTTAGGAGAATAGACTTCACTAACTTTATCTCTTTTATGAAATACAATAAGATCTTTTAATCTTACAGTTATGATTAATTTTTTGTTTATTTTAGGCAAGGGGAATTTACTGTATCTTTGTTTACTGATTTCATTCTTTACAAATCCAGATGATGCTTAGGATGTCTGTTCTCAGTGCATGATGTGTTCTGACATTATTATTCATTACTTTGGTATTTTCCTGCCTTCTTATACATCTTCTCATTTTATTTTTTGCATCCCTGACTCAGTTTTCCAGTGTTCATTCAGCACCTGTGCACCACCAATGCAAATTTTAATTCTAAGGTTGCATTTTGGGATTCTGTCCCAATCCTTTTTATTTTACTCATCTTTTTTAGTTCATTCTCTGGGTTTTTCTTGTTATTTGTTGTTTTTAATGCAGTTCTGCCACATAAAGGCCGTGTGACTTGTTCTCTGTACTCAGGGGGTAGTTGGGAGAATAAAGGGAGTCAGTACTTACATGCTGCTGTAACCATGCCTGACACATAGGAAGAGCTCAGTAAATGTTATTCATGCCTCCACCCCACCGCCACCTTCACTGTCTGGCTATTTCACAGTCTGAAAAGATACAGTGTATATAGAAAGTGGCAATTCCCAGTGTGTAGTAACCCCAAGTGTCCTCACATCTTTACTACCATTGCAGCACCTTTCTATAAGAACAATTTATTTATGGAAAAAAAATCACTCCCATTCTGTCTACTCCACTCATCTTGCTCTCAGATTTTTTAAACCTGGGGACTCCAAGAATCAAAATCTATGATGTATGCATTATGATTGTCAGCAGGAGTTGGGGAGAGAACTGGAGAGGATGCAGCGAGCAGCACTCTGGCCACTGGAACTAGGCTCCCTTCAATAGAAAAGAGAGCTCAGTATTTGGGTAGGCATTGACTTTGCATCTCTGGATCCAGGGAAGACAAGGAATGAATGGACTCTGATCCCTTATGCTTTCAGGACAGTGGGTTCTCTTTCTTTCAGCTGTGTAGCTTTGGTGGCCATAGAGGGATTTTTATTTTTTAAAAAATTTCCATTTCATTGGTGCGAGATAGCTGCGAGATAGCACTCTCCTCTCAATTCTGGAAGTAGGTTAACTGCTGGGGACAGACTTTGGTGCTTTGGGGAGTGAAGGTTCATCCTATAGCTTTATACATACTTGCATGGGGTGCTGAGGGAAGCTGTGTTAGCTGCTGCTAGTCAGGAGCTTTTTAAGGCTCTGTTGAAGCCCAGCACTGTCCGTACTGCTGCCTGAACCTACAGTTCCCTGGGCTAAGGATGCAGAGGACACTGATACTCAGTGTCGAAAAGTTACACCCCCCTGTACACCACTCACTCCCTTGGGCTAGAAACTGGAGAGGACAAGTAACATAAAGGGGCTGGCATGATGAAAGGGAGTGAATTCAGTTCAGGTGGTGACAGAAGAGGGCTTTTCAGTGGTTCAATTCTGAAGTGAGTTGGAGCCTCAACCTAGTTCTCACTGCAAGCTTAGATTTCAAGGACTTTTCTAAGGACTTACAGGGCTGCAAATTAGAGGCCATTCAGGTGCTCATACATTCACTCCCTTGCTCATATTTATTGGGCTCCTGCCATGTACTAAATGCTGAGGTTACAGTGTTGGACCAGACAGAAGCTTCCCTGTCTCCTCTGAGAAAAACTACTCTTCATTCTATCATTCCATGACCTATGTTGTCACCCACATTTATTAAGAGACTTCTGTGCATCATGTCATCTGTGTGATGACTCTGGGAGGTTGCTGCTGTTGTCTTTACTTCACAAATAAGGAATCGAGGCACAAAGAACTCGCTGTTTGTGTTAGGGAAGGGCCAGAATCTTACCTTCAGTTTGCCTGACTCTAAAACCCTTAGCTTATGCTTACTAAAACCAATTCTCACATCCCATGAATGATCATATTATGTTTGCAAGGATGTAACTTATGAAGCAGAGACACAGTGTTCAACTTGATAGAAGCAGCAGTAGCCGAGGCAGGCTGTACATCTGGATGCTAAGAAACATCTGGAAGCAGTACACACTTTTAGGCAGGTGTTTGTCACCAATGAGCTATTCAACCCACATGATACACACCCTGCAGGAGAAAGACATTCCCAGCTGAGGTACAGACTTCTCAAATTTGAGAGCAATTTTTGGTTTTCTCGTGTTATACTGAGGGAATGTATATACCTTCCTGAGCTAAGGTCACAGATGCTTAAGGAAACATCAAGCTGCTTCTCTCTTGGTTGGATATTTTATCGCAGTGAATCCACACTGTGTCTGGACCAGTCTTCGCACCATCCCTGAGAGAGAATGCTACTTTCCTGGGTATTTCATCTTGGGTAGATCTTGGTGGACCCTGTTCATGCAGTGGGTTTGAAGGAGGAGGAGGGTCATTATAGAAACCTACAGAATGAACGTAATTATAACTCTTGAGGTGGGATTTGGATCAGGAAGACGGTAGTAACAAGCACCTAAATAGCTATGAATCTGAGGATAACTCAGCATTTCCTCAGCATCCTAGGAAGCTTTGGGTCTTCGATTCATAGTTCCCCCTCTTCACCAGCAAGTATTCCATCAACAGTGCACAGAGAATTCTGCTTACTATATAATTGTGAATATGATTTTAAAGAAAGATTTTGTAGGCTTGGGGTCGGTATGTGTGGTGGGAGAAGGTGTCTCATCCCTTAGACAGACAGAGCCTAGCTCTTTGGAGGGTCAATATGGTGAAATGGAAGCTCTGGACTGGCTGTCAGGAGAGTGGAGACCTGTGCTCCCATCTCTGTGCTCAGTAGCAGAGTGGCCCTGACAGATCATTCCCCTTCCTGGCCTCAGTTTCCTCCTTATAAAATAAGATCTTCAGATTGTATAATTTTAAAGGAACTTCCAAGCTCTATTATTTAAGATTCATTCCAGGGTGAATGGTTGGCAGGGATGAGTAATCAGTTCTCAATTCTCCATGACCAGTAGACATAAGGAGAGGCCTAAACCACCTGATATATGCTTGGTAATTCACACACACACACACACACACACACACAGTATATATATATATATTATTTATCAAAAATCACTAACATTCTGTCTACTCCACACTTATCTTGCTCTCAGATTTTTTAAACCTGGGGACTCCAAGGATCAAAATCTGTGTGTGTGTGTGTGTGTGTGTGTAGTGTGTGTGTGTATATATATGAATATATTTGTGTGTACATAAACATATTCATTTAATCCTCTGCAATAAAAGACTTTAGGTAGTTGTAATGCTTTTAGTACTAAAATGAAATTGAATAATAATACACATTTAACTTACTTGAATGACACCATATTTGAATAGGAAGAAACCTAAATAACCCACCCCTTACCCTATTTGACCATTTCTCCCTGAGCCCCTCAAACTAGACTTTAACCTCCAGTGAATCAGTAAAAGATGGGAAAAGAAAAAGAAGGAAAGAAAGAAACGGATGCTTTTGGGCTTCCAAGGGCCTAGTGCTCACAATTTAAAGAGGAGTTAAGGGTTTTCTTAAAGTGTAATTTTGACTGTGTTTAATCTTCAATTCTCAGCATGCCTACTGACTTTTAACTCTAAACCTGCATAGATTTTCCCTGCACCATCCATATTTTACATCAGATGAAGGAATGGATGAACAGGGATTAAGTAATCTTCCAAACATCATGGATCTCATGAGGGGCCAAAATTCAAACACATTTGCACCAAATGCTGACTCCACTGAATCCAAGGCATGATAGTTCAGTTCCTCGGGAACACAACAGGTGCTTGCTGTGAGCATTTCCTGAATGAGCAGTCATTTACACTCGACTATCTGGTGCATTATGTTTATAATTTTTAACAAAGATTTACCTTCTGGATTTGTGTTGGATCTGTCCAGTGTTAAAATGAGTTTACAGCCCTAGGGGAGCTGGTGACTGATGACAGAAAGGCAGCCATCAGTGTCCTGTGCAAGAATGGAAAATCGGTTTGGGGTAACATTTTTCATTTGCCACTGGTAATCCACAAGGTAATTAATCTGCATATAGATAATTACCAGTTGATTCTGTTATACCTCTTTGAAATCAAGACTGTGTATTTGTAAGTAGAATGCCTATAGGCCCTGTTCTGAGAACCACCCAAAGCCTCTCAGCCTTTAGCTAGCCTGAGATTGCTTAGTCTCATTTGCTTATAATCCTTCAATGGCTCCCCTCTGCTTTTAGGCTAAAGTCTAAAGTTTGTAACCTGGCCCATAAGGCCCTTTATTGTCTGTATCCTCCTATATCTCTTGTTTCACCTTTCACAGGTCCTCCTACCTCCCACTAGCTCTAACAAACTCATTTGATTTTCTCAAATAGGCCATGTTTCTGTTCACTCTAGATCTTGCCACATATTGTCGCTTATGCCTGAAATTCTAATCCCCCACCATAAGACCCACCAGGCCTCAGCCCTCAGGCTCTGGACACCCATCCCTGTGCTCCATGCCTGAGCTGTGTGCCCCCTCACAGTGCCCTTCATTCCCTGTTGTGATTGCTGGCTCTCTAGCATAGGCTCCTTGAGGGAAGGTGCAGTCTGTCTTCCCACCACACCCTGTCTCTTTACAGAGTGTCTGATTCCCAGGAGGAGCCTGATGGATATTGGCAAATAAATGAACCCATCATCAAGCAATTAAACTTCAAATAACTTCATAGCCATTAGCACTTTTCCTTTCATTTTTAATACCAGAAGTAATATATGAACATGTTCTCCTTGTTTAAGCAAAAAAGGAAGAAAAGAAACAGCAGATGAAGTTAAACTCCTCTCTGACTACCACCTTCAGTCCCAGGATCCTTCCCTAGATTTAGTATTATTTTTTGTAACATGTGTGTGTGTTGTGTGTGTGTGTCGTTTGTGGTGTGTTTGCATGTTTGTATTCATGTACCCACATATTACCCAAAGAAAATATGTGATATGATATGGAAATATCCAGGACTAGGCAGGGGTAGGGAAGCAATAAAAAGATCCTGAGAGTCCCTGGACAATACCAGTGAGCACAGGTTGCATAGGGCATAATCCTTCCACCTGCCTATTGCTTGGCATGAGCTGTGGCAGGAGCTAGTCCTAAGGAAGCTGAGAACCCAGGCCTTCTCTGCTGATTCTTAGCAGAGTAAAGTGAGGAGCACATGGCCCACAGGCCTGGGAAGAGATACAGGCCCAGAGCTGCCCAAGAAGCAGAGCTGAATGCTGTGCTGAGGAGTAGCAATTGGTGGACAGGGTCCCCTCCTCTGTGCTACATTTAGGAGGATGCCTGGTTTTAGCCTCATTCATCTATTCTAGGTCTGACCGTGTGATGGGGAGAATGCAGGGCCCCTTGGTTAGCGAGGAGGTTAGCAAGATGGTGGAGTCTCACTTTTCTTTGCAGAAGGTCAACATGGCCTTGTGTATTGGCTTCAGTAAGATTGGGGCTCGAATCCAGCCCTGCTCTGTATCAGTGAGATACAGAGTTGTAAGCAACAGAAAAACACCCAAGCTGACTGAAGTAGAAGAGGATTTGCTGGAGGGATATGAGAGCAGAGGGAGCTTACAGGCCTTGTAGGAGGTTGAACACTTAGGTTTAATTTCTATCCTTGAGCTAATCCATTCAATATTCAGTGATCAGAAAAGTTTAATTGGCCCAGCAGCTTAGTTTATAGTTCTAAAGTAAAATAAACAGCAATGAGTACAAGGTATCCCCAAGTCAACTCTACTAGATTTGTCTTAGATAGGGTTATCCGAGCCTCAACTTCCTTATCTATAAAAAAAAAATAGGCTAGGCATGGTGGCTCACGCCTGTAATCCCAGCACTTTGGGTGGCTGAGGCAGACGGATCACTTGAGGTCAAGAGTTCAAAACCAGCTTGGCCAATATGGTGAAACCCCATCTCTACTGAAAATACAAAAAAAATAGCTGGGTGTGGTGCTGGGTGTGGTGCTGCGTGCCTGTAGTCCCAGCTACTCGGGAGGCTGGGGCAGGAAAATCGCTTAAACCTGAGAAGTGGAGGTTGTAGTGAACCAAAATCATGCCATTGCACTCCAGCCTGGGCCTTGCAGTGAGACTCTGTCTTAAAAAAAAAGAATAGGTCCACTTTGAAGGGGTTTTTAAAGTACCTAGCATGAGTAGGTGATCAGTATTCTTCAGCTTCAAAATGTCCCAGGGACTAGAGCCAGAGTGTGCATCATCTCCAAGTAACCTGGTCACACTAACTCCCTTTCCCAACATCTTTCTAACACATCTTCACTACTTGCAGACTTTCAGTAAAGAATCCCCTAATTATTTAAATAGCATCTCCAAGGATTGCTTCTAGAGATCTAGGGGAAATTCCCACACCAAGTCATTGCTCATGTGGCAGACAGCTTTGAGAACAGGGAAAATACAGCATAGGGGAAGAAATTCAGTAACGGCATAATTTAATGAAAGCAATCTTTCTTTGACTGTCTGAAACCTTATCTGTTTTCTTACACTTTGGAAAAGCGTAGGTGCCATATATTTTTGAAGTCTTTATACAACATAATAAATTTAGACTATTATATGCACGTTAATCATAATGCATCAAATTTTTATCAAGCAACCAAAATAACTAACACTTATGGATTCTGCATTATAATGTAAATCTAGGGCAAGGGGATGAATATTTTAGTAACTGCACTTCTTGCAAGGAGAGAACTTGATCCCCTGGTAGAAATAGGAGGTGGGAAGATTCTCTTTTCTGCCTTTACTCTGATGTATGACTGGTAGGTTTTACAATAGGAAAAGCCTGTGGCTTTGCCGTCTTTCTCTCCTCTTCATCTTCTTGCCTTGACTTTTTTTCTTACTCTTCTCTTGGCCCCTTTTCCCTCATACACTTTCTCCCTCTCTTCCTCTTCAATCCTTCTCTCCTCCCATTTCCCCTTACTTGTGTTTTATATGGCAATACCCACCTATCCCTGGGCCTAATGGGATATGGCAGGCTCATTCTTTGGAATAAAACAGTTTCTTTGGTAAAACATAAAGAGCACATAGAACAAAAGGCAGATAACTCGTTCACAAACACACTTTAACTGTAGCAATTTATCTGTCCTTTTTTCCCATGATAGTTGTTTCTGTGCAGAAGTTTTGGAGAAAGAACCATTGGATAGGGGGTTGGAAATGAATGAGAATTCCTGCTTGGCTTTTGACTAGCTATGTAATCTTGGAGAAACCTGAGACTCCTTGCTTATTTAAGAATTTAGCACAATGCCAGGCATACAGTAAACATTCAGTAGGTGGAGAGAGTCAGTAGAGTATAGCAATAGTGGAGAGAGTCAGTAGAGCATAGCAATAATCATGCACAAGTAACTTACCCTCCCTGTGTTTCAGCTTCCTTATCTTTAAAAATCACAGTAATAGTGCCACCTTTCAAACCGCATTGTTATAAGGATTAAATGTGTTAATTCATATAAAATGCTTAAAACAGTGCTTGACATATGGTGAGTACTCAATATGTATTATCTAATATAAAGTAGGTGTATTAGTTTGGGTTTTGTTAAGAAAGTGGAAACACTAGGTATTTCAAACAAAAAGGGATCTCACAGAGGGAATTAGAGCAGGGGTCCCCAACCCCTGGGGCCTCGGGCCATTACTGGTCCATGGCCTGTTAGGAACTGCACGGGACAGCAGGAGGTGAGCAGGGGGTGGGTGAGCATTATCGCCTGAGCGCCACTTCCTGCCAGATCAGCATTAGATTCTCATAGGCGCATGAACCCTATTGTGAACCGTGCATGTGAGGGATCTAGGCTGTAAGCTCCTTATGAGAATCTAATGCCTGATGATCTGAGGTGGAACTGTTTCATCCCGAAACAACCCGCCTCCCACCCCCATCCATGGAAAAATTATCTTCCATGAAACCGGTCCCTAGTGCCCAAAACATTGGCGACCACGAATTAGAGGATACAAGATCTTTAGAGAAGCAGAAGGGATGAAGGAAAGGAAAAGCCACCACTAGTTCAGGAGGTGAGGAAGTACAGCACTAACGTGGGGGCTTCTCAGGAGGATGCCCAAATGTCGCTGGCCTCATTCCACTGTCTACCCTCTGCTGGAGGGCAGAGGAATTGCTTCCCACTACTGCTTCTGGAGCAATGAGTGCTCTGCTTCTCCTCCCCTTTAAGCTTTTCCACGTGTGCCTCTTTGCTGTGACTCTTACAAAAATTAAAAAACCAAACCTCTCAGTTGCTGATTAGAATGCTAGGAAATTTGGTTCTTGGGTGTTGAGACCCTGTGATTTAAGGGAAAGCATAGAGAAGAGAAAATGGTGCCTGGTTGTCCAAAATCAGACGGAAGGGAAATAATACTAGGAGCTGATGTGAAGATTATATGAGATGTAAAGTGCAAAAGCATTTTGTAAACTTCCAAGTTTTGTACAGATATTAGGTTTTGGTGGTAATGGATGTGAAATAGGAAGAATATACTCAGACAAGACCAGGCAGAAAAACCTGGGAAACTACAGTGAAAGGAGGTCCCACAGATAATCTGACATATTTAATTGACCATATGCCAGGCTCTGTCATAAATGCCTTACATATACTAACTCATAGTCCTTATAAAAACCCATGCAGTAGACATGGTTACTATACCCATTTTACAGATGAGAGAACAGTGGTCCAGAGAAGTGAAGTAACTTAACCAAGATCACGCTGCTGAAATGATCAGGGTACAATCTGAATCCCAGTGATGTGACTCCAGGGTGCAGTTTTTTTAACTCCCACATTCTTGTGGAAGGAGAGGATACACACGCCCAAATCTTCTGACTTTACAGTTTCCCTAGGAGTTTGCTCTGGCTGTAGCTGAGGGTCGGTTACATCTACCAGTGTAGTTTCACATCCTTAGAGAA
The DNA here is from genome assembly GCF_000001405.40 of Homo sapiens. Lineage (NCBI taxonomy): Eukaryota > Metazoa > Chordata > Mammalia > Primates > Hominidae > Homo > Homo sapiens. The sequence continues at coordinate 140,217,235 of NC_000003.12, forward strand.
CAGTTTATTTTTAAAAGCACAGGTTTATTTCACTCTTCTAGAAGCAATTTTGTGCCAAAGTTGGGGATGTTTTCTCCTACCAAGAAGAATTTGACAAGGTAACTAAGCACCTATGGTCCTGAATGGCTGCCCAAGGAGCTGTAACCTGTAACCTGCCCCCAAGAACTAGCTTTTCTTGTAGAATTTATCTTCATTCAACCCACAATGAACCTGCTCCATGGTTTTCCGAGATCCAGGAAAAACTGGTTATCATTCAACATCACCACATAAAAAAGTTTTGTTAATTACTGTGTTCATGACAAAAATAGGAAAATGTATTAAGCAAAATAATCCTTGTTTAATATGATGATTACGATAGTCTCTGTACCTTTTTAAGATCTGGAGGAAATAGAAATGGTTGCTGTCTTGAGAAAGGGTTGACGTCCTAGGATTTGTGGCATATATGACACATTTCTTCTAATAACCTTCCCTTCCCTTTGGTTTTCTCCCAGTCAGCTGCTTCTAGAGCAAAGGGGGACATATTTGCCTTAGAAAACCAGAACACTATTGTTGGGCAAGAAAATGAAACTATTCAAAAAATGCCAGGTGCAGAGGAAGCATGGAAGTTATGAGTTTAAATTTTAAAGGTTCTCTACAGCAGAAAAGAAGGAAGAAACCAAACCTAATTTCCTTCAGCTCAGAAGCACATTAGCAATTCATGTGGCCCTGAAATGAACTGTATCCCCACTCAAAACCTTAATTTGATGACTCAATATACATGAACTGATCCATTTATGAGCAGCAGGATGACCAGGCATAGGACCCTGTGGTCCTTTTCTAAGAATTTATCAAAAGGATGGAACTCAGGAAGTAAAACAAAACTGAATGTTGATGAGAAAATGTAATGGCTATCATTTTTTCAAACATAATATTTTATATTATTAAGCTCCTGTCAGCAGAAATTTCCCAATTCTTGTAAGAAAATGATTAGCTTGATTCGCTGAGAGATTCTGGTATTTAGAAATAAAACTCTCCCGAGCCACTGCATTTGCTTTTGTTTTGCTTGTATTAATCTCTCTGCTATGCAAGTAAAGATGCAACCTTACCTATCCCTTAGTTGCAAAGCTGTTTGGGATCTTGGGTGGTGTTTCTGCCATAATCCAGGCACTAAAAAGCTTTTGCTCACTTATTATTATCCTTACTTCTTGAGCTGAAAAGATCCATCCCAGGACAAAGCAGGAAGTGAAAGAAAGTGAGATAGCAGGTTGTCATTAGAAGCAGCACCCAGTCAATCATGGCTTTATTGGAATGTTGTGACCCCCTGTTGTTAGATAGTCTGATTTTCAAGAGGAACCTAAGTAGATACATTAAAAAAAACCTTCCTGATTTTTACATATCAGCAACTAGTTCAAATTTTTAAAAATACTGAGTACGTCAAGCAAGCATAGCTTTGGACCAATTAAGCTCTCAGGAACTTTCTCCTCAAGAAGCTTTCAAGATAGATGGCAGCTTTATAAAATAACTAAAGCCCCATGAAACCTGGAGCGAAGTTAGTGTTTGGGACACAATTTGTTGAGGGAAATGATGACTTGGATTTGTTTCTAATAACAGAGTATGTGGAATCCCCCAGGGGGACAAGAATATAGAAGCAGCTTTCACAAATGTGGTCATGTGAGGCAGGATTAAAAAGTGGTAGACAGACAGCAGAGGGGAACGTAACCTGAATGGAGAGGAATCTCCAAATGGTGGTGTCTGATTCATACACGAGGTTGTTATAGGTGTCACGTGAAGCTGTTTTGTTTTGTTTTTAATAATTGGGAATTTAATGCAACTAGGGCATCAACTCCATCCACGCCCTGGTCCATTTGGGAGCATTCCTGCAGTTCATGTATCATGTATCCAAACAAAAGGCTCGAACTGCAGGAATACATGATACATGAACTGCAGGAATGTTGGAGACATGTGTGCCTGCTGCATTTATTTCTAAAGAGTGAGGTGCATAGCCTTCCATAAAGAGTAGGGAAGAGGGTGCAGAGGGCCTCACATGTGCAGCCAAGGACTTTAAAGTTTCTCATCTTATCAAAGACCTTCTCTGACCTGCCTTCCCTGAGAGCAGGCAGGGAACCTCTGGGCTCACACATTAGTTGCGCGTGAGTGAGTTTTAATTAAAGCCCAGGGCTTTAAAAGCTCCAGATTTCCCGCAGGTAACCTTTCAAACCACAGTTCCTTAAATCGGAGAATTCAAAGCTCCTTAAGAAAACAAGATGGCATTTTATCTGGGAGCGATCTTGTTTCCGGAGTTCTTTTCTTCTTGATGTATTTTTAATGTTTTGTGGTTGCTGCTCGTCATTCGGAGCGAGTGTATCTTGCTGTCCTAGAGACTGGTAAATACAGTGGGAGGCCTCCTCTCCACTGCCACCCTCCCTCAGTGATTGCGCCCAGCCCTTCCAGGCAGCGCTGCAGATTCAGCTGTGGAATTGGAGACAGCAGGGCCTCCTGCATAACCACTTAGCAAGGTAAGTCCCCAAGAAGGCAATTCCTTAGACGCTTTGCTTCTTTCAAGCATTTTGTTTGGTGTTGGCACCTCTCTGTGGATGTGCTATGTAAAATAGTGGGGCACAGCATCATCGCTATCATACCTACCTCTTACTCAGTAAGAGAGGCCTTACTGAGTACTCTCTCTTTTCTGTACTGTTTGAAGAGCTTTGGGCATATTTCCTCATTCCATATCACTTCAACCCCAGGAGGAATATCCCCATTTTACAGATGGAGAAATGGAAGAAGAACTGGCTTAGGTTATATTGTCAACAACCATAAATGGCAGAGCCTGGGTTCAAATCTAGACAGGCTCTGGATGCTGTACTCTGAACTGCTATGCTATACTGCCTCTACTGCTTTTCCTGCAGTCAGCAAAATAACGTCTCAATGAAAACAATCAAATGCTTTCAGTCTCAGCACTAGTGCAAATTGGGCTGTCATAGATTGGAGGACTTCTCAAGGTCTTTAGTCTTTTCTGCTCACAGTGCCTCCTGGTGGAGATCATCCACCTTCCAATGCCATGGCATAATGATCTCAATCCTATATATGTCAGTATTGTGATGTATTTGGTCACTAGCCTGTAATGCTGGTGGGGGCAGAGAGTGCAAGTTCCAAGGATAATAGAATTGTGGGCATTAGCAGGACCATTATTTGGAATTTGGCCTGTCGTCTTCCTTCTTGAGCCCCATGGTTAGTTTATAGTTTCCACTTTCAGTCTTAAGTTGGTCTAGATGCCTTTAGCTTCAGAACCAGGCATCCTTGCCTGGGCAGCATAGCAAGCACATCCACCATGTCTGTTATTATTACCTGAATAACTCATGAAGGAGATTCTGGATGCTTTCAGAGGCACATTTGCCAAGAGACATTTCCATTCAATCAGTAGAAATATCTTCAAATTCTAAAGATAATGTGAGTGGATTGGCACCTGCTTCCATGATGCTTTCTATCTAATTAAAAGTCCAAAAGCAAACATCCATGAACTTAGTGAAGAGAAAGAACAGAACAAGACTGAATATCATTTTGTGCTGATTTGTGATGGGGACAGGGCAGTTTTCATGCAGAGAAGGAAAGGAGAGTGAAACTCATAGATGCCTCTATGTGCCCGGGACTGTGTTCCCAGTGCTTTTGCCTACACTGTGTCCTGGGCTTCTCAGTTAGGTGGTGAGTTAAACATTGTTATCTGTATTAATATATACTGCAACTGGAGCCCTGACTTCCATGGACCACCCACCATTGTCAGGCTCAGCCGACAGGCTGGAGACTCATAGACAAGGTCTAGGCAGAAACATTCTGCTGCTGAAATAGCAGAATAATATTCTGGTTATTATTTTTTAGTCACTGTACAGTCAGCCAGGAGCAAAGCTCAGGGGACCCTGGTAGAGAGGGCATTTTCCCCAGTATAGACACAGCAACCCATTGCAGGGGTATCAGTGAGACAGGTCAACAATCTTTTATCCAAATTTCATAAAACTCTGAAAACAGAAAGTGTTTTTCTAAGTTTAATGCCAAAACTCATTTGGTAAAAAAATTATTTATCTTACTTAATGTGAACGTGTCTATGTTTAGATGTGGAAATAATATTTTTGATTATGGGGTGTTGCCCTCAACTTTGCAGAGGGTGCTACATAATATAAATTACACACACCATATTACATTTTTAAATTCTAAAAAAAAAAGTGACTTGTGGAACATATCTGGCTACAATGACTTTGGATAATGAAATGTAGACCAGGAATAGCAATAGTGGCAGTTAACACTTCTATACCAGGAAACAAACAACAAAGTGAAGAGAGCCCACAGAATGGGAGAAAATTATTTGCAAACTATCTATCTGACAAGGGGATTAATAACCAGAATATATAAGGAGCTCAAATGACTCTATCGAAACAAATGTAGTAATCTGACTTAAAAATGGGCAAAAAATATGAATAGACATTTCTCAAAAGAAGACACATAAATGGTAAACAGGTATGTGAAAAGGTGCTCAACATCATTGATCATCAGAGAAATGCAAATCAAAACTACAATGAGGTAGCATCTCACTCCAGTTAAAATGACTTATATCCAAAAGCCAAGCAAGGATGTGGAGAAAAGGGAATCCTTATACACTATTGGTGGGAAAGTAAATTAGTACAAGTACTATGGCAAACAGTTTGGAGGTTCCTCCAAAAATTAAAAATAGAGCTACCATATGATACAGCAGTCCAACTACTGGATATATTCCCCAAAGAAAGGAAATCAGTATATCAGAGAGATGTCTGTTTTGCCATATTTATTGTGGTGCTATTCACAATAGCCAAGATTTGGAAGCAACCTAGATGTCCACCGAGAGATGAATGGATGAAGAAAATGTGGCACATATACAAAACGGGGTGCTGGTCAGCCATAAAACGAATGAGATCCTGCCATTTGCAATAACATGGATGGAACTGGAGGTCATTATGTTAAATGAAACAAGCTAGGCAGAGAAAGACAAACATTGCATGTTCTCACTTATTAGTAAGAGCTAAAAATTAAAAGAACTCATGGACATAGAGAGTAGAAGAATGGTTACAAGCGGCTGGGAAGGGTAGTGAGGGATGGGGGTGGAAGGGAGGTGGGGATAGTTAATTCGTACAAAAAGAAAAACTTAGAAAGAATCAATAAGGCCTAGTATTTGATAGCACAACAGGGTGAGTATAGTCAATAATTTAATTGTATATTTTAAAATAACTGAAAAAAATATAATTGGATTGTTACACAAAGGATAAATGCTTGAGGAATTGACATCCCATTTTCCATGATGTGATTATTATGCATTGCATGCTTATATCAAAACATCTCATGAAACCTGTAAATATATATACCTACTATGTACCCACAAAAATTAAAAATGAAAAACTTTTTAAAAGAATGAATAGAACCTAGTATTTGCTAACACAGCAGGGTGACTATGTCCAAAATAATTTAATTATACATCTTAAAGTAACTAAAATTATAATTGGATTGTTTGTAACACAAAGGATATCCCACTACCCTGATGTGATTATTACACATTATATGCCTGTATCAAAATATGTCATGTGACCTGTAAATATAGACACCTACTACACACCCATAGAAATTGAAAATTAAAATTTTAAGAAAAAAAAAAAAAACACTGCTATGCCAGGCCTTACTCCTAAATGCCTTATATCTTTCTATCTTTTCATCTTTGCCCAATCTTAAATAAATGTCCTCATTTTTATCCCAGTTGTAGATATGGGGAAACTGAAACCCAGAGATACAACACTTGGTGTTGTAGAGTTAAGAATCAGACCCAGACAATCTGGCTTGAAAGCTTGTCTTCTTAACCATGTCCCATACTGAATTGAGATAATGTTGATTAAGAAATGTCTTTCTCACTCACCCAGATGGCCCTGTTCACTTGGGCCAGAAGCAACATCTTACCTGGAGATAGCAACAAGTCTCCATCTTTGGCTCAAGCACAAATCACAGGAGAAATCATCAACTGGAGAAAGGAAAAGTTTGTTATGATTGTGGTGCAACCCTAATAACATCAACAGTTTATTCACGCTGCACAGGCTGCTTTTCCTCAAGGCAGGGCAATGCCTAGCTAAGTCTTTGTTGAGAGGGCTTGCAAAGCAAAGCAGCCACCTCCCAGCACCTGGACCAGCCCCTTGTGAGGCCTGGAGCTTGTTGCCAGCCCTTGGAGGGAGCTAAAGGGGGTCCTTGGGTACTGGGGCACTCATTCTGCATGCTCCGAGAGATGCACTTCCAGTTTCCGAAGAAGGATCCTAGAATGCTTTTTTGCACCCGGCTTTTTACCCTATCATCATTCATTTTCCTAGGCAGTTTTGTTGTTTCCTTTCTTCTGCAATGCCGGGTAGATGTCTCTCACAGACAAGCTAGAAATGCTGAGAGCTTCTGATACTCTGTTTCCTGTGCCTCTGTCTACTGTGCTAAAATAAATACTTCTAACTTCCTTTTTGGAAACCATAGCAATTATTTCATTGCTTTGAAGACCTTCATACTCCTGGTCCCCACCCTGCAACATGGATTCCTGTGGCTGCTTTCTTCCAAATGCTACAGTGCTCAGTGTTGACTTTTTCAAGATGACTCACATGTAACTTAATGAGGATCAAGTCAAATATTTCAGGTGACTCGTGTTCTTGGTGATGCTGCAGTTCCCACAGGAGTGTGTGCCGTCCTCTGTAGTGAAGAAGGTTCTAGACATGTGTTTTCTCTCCAGAGAACTCTGGAAGGCTGCATCCAGAGGTGAATTAGCCCTGGGAAATGGGATATTTTGGTGAGGCCACTTAGGCTAATACCCTTACAGTATAGTGAGTGGTCCCCGGGTATGTTTTGAATTCATATATTTATTTATCCATTACTTCCTAGAAGCAATAAAGTGGAACAGTTACCAGCATTGGCTTTGCAGTCATATCCATCTAGATTCAAGCCCCAGCCTGGCCCCCTCCTATTTGTGTGACCAATGGCGAATCATTTAACCATTGTAATCCTCCACTTTCTCATCTACAGAAGACAGTAACGATAGAACTCAGTTCTTGGGATCATTTTGAAAGTCAAACAAGATAATGACAGAAAAAGTTTACAGTAATTTCTGGAACTCAATAAATATTCTGGTTATTATTTTTTAGTCATTTAGCTAGTGTTTATTGAGTAGTTAATATGAGCAGGGACTGTCCTAGACAGTGAAGACACATCAGGGAACATAATGAGGAGCCCTGCCAGCATGGAGTTTATATTATGTGTTCATGTGCGTGCAGGCTTTATAGACATGAAGCAAGCAGATCAAAGTCCTCAAAGTGTGACCCACAGAACTTTAGTCTGGTTGAAGCATCACAAAAAGTCAGGTTCCTTGGTCAAATAGGTTATAAAAATTTTATTATAATCATATAATCAGTCATAACCATGGAGTCTTACATAATAATATAGACCTTCTGTGCCCAGTCCTGTGTCAGAGGATCTGAGCAGCCCTCCATAAAGACACTTATTTAGCATTGATTAATCCACCATTCCCCAAACTTATGTAACCAAAAAACTCTTGTTTGCTAATTCCTATTAGACTCCCATTGACCTATGTTCTGAGAAACACATGAAGGAAAATACTAAGCTAGAGATTAGAGAGACTAGTGAAAAAGCAAGTCCACAATATAAGAAGAAATACCAGGTGGTCTGTGCCTAAGCCAAGCAACCCAAGGAAGGGCAGCCATAGAAAAGGGCTTTCCCTGCTCCACCAGCAAGTGCGCCAGCCAGCCCTCCAACATGTCTATGCTGGGCCCATCCAGGTTGCACTATGTGTGAATTCAGTAACAACTCACAATGGAGCATCAGTTCCAGCCATCTGGGTCAGCAGCCTCCCAGCTCGGAGCATAGGCTCACACCAATCACAGAGCTATCTGGGCAGACTCTCCACCCTTCCCCCACCTGCTGCTTTATGGGAAGGGCCCTGCTATCCCTGTAAAGAAGGACTCCTGTCCTTCTGGTTGGTCTGCCTTTCCAGGTGATGGTGAGAGAGACACCAGCCACCTTTCCTGGGCACACATCCCATTATCTGGCTCCTGGAGTGTGATTACATTACTTCAGTTGCACTGTTTCCATCTGACTTGAGCTACACGAATTGTTTCTCTTGCTTGTTTAATTGCCCATGTCTTATTACAGAGACAATTTATTGTTTTAGTGCAGCATAAAGTTCAAATATTTTATGCAAGATGAATACGGGCACTGACATTTTTGTTTGTTTGTTTGTTTGTTTGTTTTGAGATGGAGTTTTGCTCTTGTCGCCCAGGCTGGAGTACAGTGGCGCGATATCGGCTCACTGCAACCTCCGCCTCCCGGGTTCAAGTGATTCTTCTGCCTCAGCCTCCAGAGTAGCTGGGACTACAGGTGTGTGCTGCCATGCCCAGCTAATTTTTATATTCTTAGTAGAGATGGGGTTTCACCATGTTGGCAAGGATGTACTCAATCTCCTGACCTCATCATCTACCACCTCGGCCTCCCAAAGTGCTGGGATTACAGGCATGAGCCACTGCACCCGGCCTTGACACTGACATTTTCATGCCCTTCTCAAACTCACACAAATGAAAATCACACTGGAAACTTTTCAAACTGTTTTTGGCCAATAATGACCAAGTGTCAAAATCTCCATAAGTTGATTTTTTTTAAAAAAAAAAGGACTCTAAAAGAATATGTTTTCTTCTATAATATTGCTGGGGATTTTATTGGGTGATACCAACACAAGCTTATGAATAGCTTTCCTAGGGTGTGAAAATGCCTTGGAAAACACCTTGGGAATTAACTGTTGATATATACAACCACCTGGGTGAATCCCTAGAGAATTACACTGAGAGAAAAAAGCCAATCCCAAAAGCCTACATACATGCTGCATGATTCCATTTATATAACATTCTTAAAATAACCACAGAAATGGAGAACATTTAGTGGTGCCAGAGATTAAAGACAGGGTGGGGATGGGAGGGAAGTAGATGTGGCTATAGAAGGGTAACATGAGAGGTCCTGGTGGTGATGAACTGTTCTGCATCTTGACTGTATCAATGTCAATGTCCTGGTTGTGATATTGTGCTATAGCTTTGCAAGATGTTATCACTGGGAAAAGCTGAGTAAAAGACACATAGGATTTCTCTGTATTATTTTATACAACTGTGTTTAAATCTATAATTACATTCAAAATAAAAAGCTTAATTTGAAAATGTTGGAAAATAAGGTGGATCGACAGCTAGATAGATGGATAGATATGGGATAAAGTGGTATATGGGTATTCATTATAGAATTCTTTTAATTTTTCTCCATATTTGAAATTTTTTATAATAAAATGTTGGAAAAAAGATGTTAGAAATGTGAATAATTGCCTAAGAGAGACTAGATAATGGAACAGGACCTAAACTATGCAGTGCTGGTGTATTAGTCCATTTTCATGCTGCTGATAAAGACATACCCAAGGCTGAGCAACTTACAAAAGAAAGACAGGACTTACAGTTCCATGTGGCTGGGGAAGCCCCCCAATCAAGGCAGAAGTCAACGAGGAGCAAGTCGTGTCTTATATGGATGGCAGCAAAGGGAGAGTTTGTGCAAAAAAAAACTCCCATTTTTAAAACCATCAGATTTTGTGAGACTCTTTCACTATCATGAGAACAGTGCAGGAAAGACCCGCCCCCATAATTCAATCACCTCCCACCAGGTCCCTCTCATGATACTTGGGAATTCAAGATGAGATTTGGGTGGGGACACAACCAAACCATATTATTCTACTCCTGGTCCCTCCCAAATCTCATGTCCTCACATTTCAAAACCAATCATGCCTTCCCAACAGTCCCCCAAATTCTTAACTCATTTCAGCGTTAACTCAAAAGTCCACAGTCCAAAGTCTCATTCAAGGCAAGGCAAGACCCTTCCACCTATGAACCTGTAAAATCAAAAGCAAGTTAGTTACTTCCTAGATACAATGGGAGTACTGGCATTGGGTAAATACAGCCAATCCAAATGGGAGAAATTGGCCAAAACAAAGGGGCTACAGGCTCCATGCAAGTCTGCAATCCAGCAGGGCAGTCAAATCTTAAAACTCTGAAATGAACTCCTTGGACTCCATGTCTCACATCCAGGTCAAGCTGATGCAAGAAGTTGGTTTCTATGGTCTTGAAAAGCTACATTACTGTGGCTTCACAGGGTACAGCTTCCCTCCCGGCTGTCCTCATGGGCTGGCATTGAGTGTTGGTGGCTTTTCCAGGTGCACAGTGCAAGCTCTCAGTGGATCTACCATTGTGGGGTTGGGAGGATAGTGGCCGTCTTCTCACAGCTCCACTAGGGAGTGCCCCAGGAGGGACTCTGTATGGGGGCTTAGAACCCACATTTCTCTTCTGCATTGCCCTAGCAAAGGTTCTCAACAAGGACCCCAACCCTGTGCAAACTTCTGTCTGGGCATCCAGGTGTTTCCATGCATCTTCTAAAGTCTAGGTTGAGGTTACCAAACCCTCATTCTTGACTTCTGTGCACTTGCAGGCTCAACACCACCTGGAAGCTGCCAAGGCTTGGGGCTTCCACCCTCTGAAGTAACAGGCTGAGCTGTACCTTGGCCCCTTTTAGTCACAGCTGGAGTGGCTGGGACACAGGACACCAAGTCCCTAGACTGTGCACAGCATAGGTACCCTGGGCCTGGCCCACAAAACCATGTTTTCCTCCTAAACCTCCAGGCTGGTGATGGGAGGGGCTGCCACAAATGTCTCTGACATGCCCTGGAGACATTTCCCCCCTTGTCTTGGGGATTAACATTTGTCTCCTCGTTACTTATGCAAATTTCTGCAGCTGGCTTGAATTTCTCCTCAAAAAATGGGATGTTCTTCTCTATCTCATTGTCAGGCTGCAAATTTTCTGAACTTTTAGGCTTTCCTTCCTTTATAAAACTGAATGCCTTTAACAGCACCCAAGTCACATCTTGAATGCTTTGCTGCTTAGAAATTTCTTCTGCCAGATACCCTAAATCATCTCTCTCCAGTTCAAGTTCCACAAGTCTCTAGGGCAGGGGCAAAATGACACCAGTCTCTTTGCTAAAACATAACAAGAGTCACCTTTGCTCTAGTTCCCTAAAAGCTCCTCATCTCCATCTGAGACCACCTCAGCCTGGACTTTATATTCCATATCACTATTAACATTTTGGGCAAAGCCATCAACAAGTCTCTAGGAAGTTCCAAACTTTCCCACATTTTCCTGTCTTCTTCTGAGCCCTGAAAACTGTTTCAACCTCTGCATGTTACCCAGTTCCAAAGTTGCTTGCACATTTTTGGGTATCTTTTCAGCAGCACCCCACTCTTGTAGTACCAACTTACTGTATTAGTTCATTTTCATGCTGCTGATAAAGATATACCAGAGACTGGGCAATTTACAAAAGAAAGAGGTTTAATTCAACTTACAGTTCCACGTGGCTGGGGGCCTCACAATCATGGCGGAAGGCAAGGAGGAGCAAGTCATGTCTTACATGGATGGCTGCAGGCAGAGAGAGTTTGTGCAGGGGAACTCCTGTTTTTAAAACCATCAGATCTCATGAGACTCATTAACTATCATGAGAACAGAGCAGGAAAGACCCGCCCCCATAATTCAATCACCTCCCACTGGGTCCCTCCCACAACACATGGGAAGTCAAGATGAGATTTGGGTAGGAATACAGCCAAACCATATCAGCTGGAGATTAAAGTTGACCACTTGGTCCTTGGCATGGAGAAGAGAAAGATTATGTGTCCATTCTGTATGAGTCCCTTGAGGTGAGGAATTAGAGATTCTCCTGGTCTTCCCAAGAGCCAGAGAGAGGAACCTGAGCCCCACCATAGAACTAGGCTGGGTGACTTCTGTGGAGCAGATCCATGAGCATAAGCATGAGTTCCAGGATTGCAGGAGCCTAGATAGCCCCAGGAAGGAGAACTAGCCACCTATCCATATCCAGGATTTCCTGGAGCAAAAGCTAAAAAGAAGAAACGAGGAGCTCATGATGTGTACTTGAAAATGTATACATAAGGCATTCAGCCAAACTGAGTTCCAAGTATTTCTCAACACTGTTTATACCAATGCTTCATTAGCAAAGTAATAAAATCCAGGAACAGTCCACTGTTCCACTCACTGTCTGTGTTCCAAACTGGTCACTTAGATGCTGGAGCTGCTGTGGGGTCTGAGACGCCACATTCCCACATTTCTGGGGACACTACATGACCCAGTTCTCCTGCTTCCCACCCTCCTTTTCCTTTTTCTCCATCCCAGGGCTCTGGGCCTCAGATCTCTATGTTGTCTTCCACTTGACAAAGCACGAACTGAACTGATGCTCCTCCTGATTATTCAGGAGAGCTAAAACCCATTCAGGCAGGCAAGGAAATAGGTACCTGAGTGAGTGAAGGAGGAAGGGGAAAGCTGCTCTGCTCACTCTGATAGGCTTAAAACCCTGCTCCCGCTCTCACCTTCTCCACACATTCCTCTGGGGCTGCATCAGACCCAGTTTTCAAGTCTTTTTCCTGTCAAGATCTTCTCTTATAAAGGCAAATGAAGCTCCTGCTCTCTGAAATGTTAAGTACTAACCATGAAGGTTCCTTCCTGCCCTAAGGAGATGTTGAGCTTTCAGTCGGCTAGCTTTTCTCATACTCACAGTGTATCCTGATCGTCCCTCTGAGCAGGCTGTGATGTGGTAGCCCAGTTTATTTTTTTGGTTTTGAAGTACAACCATATAGAATCTCTTACAGTATATTGGAATTATTGCATTCACATCTGTCTTCTCTAGTAGCCTGTGAGCTGCTTGAGGTATCTTTCTGATTCATCCCCTCACCCCCAGGGTAAGACTTGTAAAGTAGATGCACAGCCAGCGGATGATTGGAATGGATGGATAGAAGGGGTCCTGATGGAATATCAGGCCGCAGCAAGCAGGGGAAAGAGGCCGTTTTGGCATGGTTGCTGATGTATGGGACATTACATACTGATTGCAGTGTTGTGAGGCAAGTGTACTTGTTGGGAAGGTTTTCTATGGCAGTGTTGTGTGGTCAAATGGATAGCATCATAAGAGCAAAGGCATATGTCAAACCAGTGGGTATTTTAGACCTACCTATAATTTACTCAATGACTAAAGCTAGTCTAGTGCTTGAAGCAAGCTTCAAATAGTAAATATGGCCTGTATGTTCTGAATATTTGTTTTTCCAAAATTTATATGTTGAAACTGTAAAACCCAAATACCCCAGTATTAGGAGGTGGGGCTTTTGGGAGGTAATTAGGCCATAAGGGCAGAGCCCTCATAAATGGGATTAGTGCCTTTATAAAACAGACCCCAGAGAGACTCCCATCCTTTCCACCTTGTCAGACATATTGAAAAGAGACCATCCATGAAACAGAAAGCTAGCTCTCTGCAGACACAAAATCTGCCGGTGCTTTAATCTTAGGCTTCCCAGACTCTGAAACTGTAAGAAATAAATTGATGCTGTTTATAAGCCACCCAGTTCATGGTATTTTGTTATACCAGCCTGAACCAACTGGCACAGCAATTTAAGACACCACCTTTGGACATCATATGAACCCTACAGATGATGCTAAGCTGGTATCCGTGCAGGGAATCACTCCCAAAGCACTCCTTCATTATATTTAGGTTTCCCTGGAGTCTTGGATAACACTGTAAGGGCAAAGAACCTTGTAGGCTCTCAGGAGGCTTCACTGGCAGCGTGAGGTCAGCCTGGCAGTTTCTGAAGGCAATAAAAGGTCTCAAACTTGGTTTTTAAGCAAGAAAATAATTATCTGATTATAAGTCAACTATTTCTTCACAATGAAACATCTTTTATAGATCTTCCCCCACTTCTAACCTTTCTCACCACCATAACAGTCAAAGTGCATGGTGAGAAAAGTATTATCCAGAGGTAGAAGGAACCACTATTAAGTAAGGGAGGTCTCAGCTTCTTTTAGGGGGCTCCCACTATCTCATCATGTCACCCAAGAGCCCTTTCTAACTGAAGCAGACACACCCTCCCGTCTCCCTGGCTCCAGAGCTGTCAATATTCTCCCTCATCATCTACTGCGGGAGTTCCATGACTCCATAAATCCCAACTCTCTAAGTTATAAATGTCTAGGTCTATCCCATCACAAAAAGAGATTGAAAAACCGGTTTAAAAAAAATGCAGACTGTTTCATGAGCAGTGAATTAACCATCACAAAAATACCATCTACAGGAAAACACACAAGGGGAGACAAATTCAGGTCAAGGCAAGTCTAAAATATACAGTGACTGTTCCCTTAAATTGGGTTGCCCATTATAGCTCATCTCAGGTGTGGAAAAGTACTCCACACTGAGGCACTCGATAGAGGCCTGTATTCCTCTCAACTGGTTCCTAGTTCAAGTCTCCTCTATGATGTCACGTTGCTCCATTATCTCTTCGTTGTTTGTCTTTCCTAGATAAGATTGGGAATCAATTATAGAAGGCACTGGACTCTAAGATCCATTTGAGTAGGAAATGTGATGTTTTAGATTGTTTTTGAATTGTAGCACCTTACATAATGCCTGGTATATGATAATCACTTAACTAGCCTTTGCTGAATGAAAGATTTCAGGTCAATTCAAGCTGTGTAGTGTAGTAGTTAGGAGCACAGACTTGGCAGCCACACCTTCTCTGTTTAAATCCCATGTCTGTCACTTTCTAGCTTTGTGACTTTGGGCAAGTTTGTTTTATCTCAATTTCCTTGTTTGAAAAATGAGGAAATAATGTAACCGGATAATGGGTACTATATATCTTTGGGTCAGTGTGAGGATTCAACGAGGAAAAGTATTTAAAATATCTATAACAGTGTCTACAGCACAGTACATACTAAATAAATGTTAGGTATCAATTCTGTTCTGGAAACCTGTGATATAGCTTGTGAGATGGAAGTACACAGGCTTCAAAGAAAAAAGCAAATACATGGTTCAGTCCCACCTTCAAAACTTATTGATGCTGCAAACCTGGTCAGATGTCAGATTGCTATATCCCAATGAGCTCCAGTTCCCTTGTCTGTAAAATTAGCATAATTGGATCTAGCCATAGAGTTATTGAATGCATCACATGAGATTATCTATGAGCCATGCTTGACATTGAATGTTAGCCACTCTCTCCTGATCCTCATTCCCTCCTCATGGGTGCCCTTTTCCTTTCTTCTCATGGTTTCCCTACTCTGCCCATCTCTCCCCAGGGGTCCCCTTGGACTCTCTGCTCTTCTTTCCCTATGCATTCTCTTTGTATGATCTTATCCCTGAGATCCCACGACTTTGATCACAGTTCCTACGGGCTGATGTTCCAAATCCCAACCTCCTGCCCAGATCTCCCTGCTAAGGTTCTAGTCCCATGTGCCTACCCACTCAGCATGTTTACTGGCCTCTTCTGTTCCAGACACTCAAAGTCAGCATGTCTAAGACTGAACTTATTACTTGTCCTCCAAACATTACCCCCTTATTGTATTTAATATTGCAATGAATGGTACCAATATCCACCCAGTTACTCAGCCAGAAACTTGAGTGTCTTCTTTAATTATCTTCACCATTGACATCTCAATATTGATCAGTCCTACTTCCATAATTCTTTGTTATACTACCCCCTCTCTCTGACCTGTGTCACTAGCTTAGTTCAGAACACCAGCTCTTTCCTGGGTGACTGCCAGAGCCTGCTGACTGACCTCCCCTCCGTCGTGCCCTGCCTCCCCTCACTTCATCCATTTTCCATGGAGAAATCCTTAGTACCAAGCTTTCTAGGTTTTAAAAAGAGAAATGCAGATGTAATTTCTTGATGGTTTAGAAAGCTTCAGTGCACCCTATTACCCTAAGAATTGGGCCCCACTACTTCAGAGAGTGTAAATGCCTTTTGTCTTTGATACTCTGACCCTAGATTCTCCCTCTCCCCAGCACCCCACTTTTCCTTCTCAGACTCAAGTCTCTGGTTCTGCACTTGCATTGCTATAACTGCCTGTGTTTCCTCCCGCCTCTAGCTTTTATGCATTGCTCACTCTGCTCCACTGACACTTGGTCGACTCCGCATTCGCCAAGTCCTCAGGTCTCAACAGAGGCTGACCTTCTTTCTGTAAGCTGCTCCTTATCCCCGGATTCTGGGCTGTATAGGTGTTCTCCTCCAAGCTCATGCAGCACCCCATGGCTATCTCCATTCCAGGAAGCACTACCCTGGTTTGGTTGTATCTTCCTTCCTCCTCGAGCTATGGACTCTCTGAGAAAAGGAATACTTCATTATTTATCCCATATTTATCTTACCTGCCATATAGTAGTCATTCAGTAAAGCTGAATACATAAAAATTAATTGTATATGTTAGATGACATTTTCTTCTACTCCAAAGGGCCCATCTAACAGGAATTTGATATTAATGGGCCAAGTTTTCCCTGCCATAAATGGTCTCATACTCTTCTTGACTCTGTTAAAGCTTGTGGTGTTAATCTCAGATACCCAGTATCCAAAGCTTCCTTGCCCTCCACTGAAATATCCTGCATCCAGCTGGTTTTTTAATATATCTGTTTAGCTTGAAACATATTTTCTCCTTCCACAATCCCTCTTCCAGAGGGGAACAGCTGGTGCTCTAGAATGGGGTGCTGCAAGCTGTAGCCTGAGGGCCAAATGCAACTCACCACCTGTTTTCATAAAGTTTTATTGGAACACAACCACACTCATAGATTTATGTATTGTTTATGACTTTTCTCACGCCACAGTGGCAGAGTTAAGTAGTCATGACAGAAACCATATGGCTTGCAAAGCTTAAAATATTTATTCTTCATCCCTTAACAAAAAATAGGTTGCTGATACCTGCTCTAGAGCTTTGTTCATGAGCATCTGGGCCAACTCAGCCCTGTGCTGCTGAGATTCAAATATGCAAGGCATAACCCGAGAAAGGGTCACGGTCACAAATCCAATTTCCATGGCTGAAAGGCATTTCTAATACCTTTTCTTTGATAAAGCTTTATGTTTTTGTAAGTACTTTCATGTTCATTAAGGAAAAGATCTTCAAATACAAATACCACTGCTTGCAAGTGATGCTGCTGCTGCCGCAGCTGCTGCTGTCTAGACGACACTCTGAGTTCCCAGGCCATTGAGGGTAGGCTCTGGAATCCCACTGCCTGTGCCTAAATTTGGTCCACTGCTTACCAATGGTGTGAACTGGAACAAAATAAAAAACTTAACTCTCAGGGTCTCGGTTTTCGCCTCTGTAAAATGTGGTCAATGAAAGTAACATCTAGCTACCAAGGTCATAGTGGAGAGTAGATGAGTCATGTCAAGCTCTTATCACAGTGTTTGGTTTATTTTAAAATGCTTAATATATTTCAGCTGTTGTGGTCTTATTTGCCTGTGTGCTGGTACCATGACAAGAAATTCCCTATCACAGCCAGATTCCTAATGCTTGCTTTCGTTCATGCTATCCCTCTTCATGAAGGCTTTGGTATATCCCAATGCCTACGTGAGAAGATCAGAACTGTGGCTCTACGTGTTTCACTTGCTCTGATGTCACTCAGCCTTCTGTCCCCATTGACAGGTCTCCTTATTGCTCCGTGTACTGCCCTGGTTGTTCTTGCACCATTGCTTTATCCATGTAGCTCTCCCAAGCTTATATTTTCTTGCTCCTCCTCTCTGCCTGTCTCTTAATGTTCTGCAGCAGCTCCATCTTCTGCAGAAGCCACACAGACACTATGGCTACCGCCACAGAGTTCCCCTCTTTCCCGGAGCTCACACAACTCCAGAAGAAGTGGCTTCACTGGATATGAGACTTATCTCCTTGGGTGTTTATTTAGCTGTGTCATTCAGCCTCTCTGAGCCTCTATGTCCTCAACTACAAAATAGGAATAATATTAATTTTTCAAGGTGGTTATGAGGATTAACTATAATATGACAAGTATTTCTAGCACATCGAAGTTTCAAAATATATTCGTTGTGTCCTCCATGCTTTTAGTACATGGCTTTTTGCACATAGCTGGGCACAATGGACTGATTAATGTACATTGCCTAAGATAGTAGATTCTCTCCCCATGATTGAACCCTGAAGGCCAGATGGGGGCCCTAACAGTTCACGCCACCCTTATTACCCTTTCCTTTCCACGAAGACTTTCCAGGTCAGCCATGTAGCCCTCCAAGAAAAAGGATGGCAGTAGAGGATACCTTGAGTGCTGCTGGGTATTGAAGCAGAAGTGGTCTGTGTTGGCAGAAATTTAAGCACATGCTTGGTGATAATGGTGTTAACTGATAAACCAGGACCTAAGCTGTGTCCAGTTGTGTGCAGCTCTGGGGATCCTCCCGTGGGTCTGAGTGGCTCTAATTAGTCTTCTGGTTTGCTATGACTGATAGAGTCTGGTCTTCTTCTGGCTTACCTTACCACTATTCTCTGGTGAGAAACCTTTGCTGTCTACCTTGTCTGTACCAGCAGATTCCAGAGCTATTCAGCCAGTGAAGCTAGGAGAGGTAGGGGTTAAGTGGGAAGCCCTAGAACATCCCCAGGGTTCATAAACATTCTCCTACTGAGTAGATGAATGCCTTATGATTGGAGGAGTAGGTGGTAGTGGGGGGCTGATTAGAGAAGGTGAGGACAGTTTATTTGTGGGAAGGGAGAAAATGAAGATAAATACATTGCTTAACAAAAGCAAGAGGTTTGGAAAGGAGATAGTAGTGAAGAACAGCAGTGGGAATAAAGCTGGAGAAAATAGGATGGTTTGTCATGGATGGTGACTGTAGCAGATGGTGTCAAGAGGACCCATGAGTTCCTGCCTGCAACTCATTCTGTGTCCCTGAGCAAGTGTTAGCCCCATTCTGAGCCTCAAGTAATAACCCTGTAAAATCACAGATTTGGAATTGGTGATTTCTGTGGGCCTCTCCACACACCTAAATATCTTGTATCCCTTGGGAAACTCTATGACTTTATTTTTAAAAATTTACCAAATACCTAAATATCAATTTTTTGTGCCATTATAAGAATTTTAAAATAATAATTGCCTCTTTTAAACCTTAACATAGCCCTAAGAGTTAATTTCTATTTTTTAAACTGTACTTTAAAGATGTTGTTCCACTGTCTTCTGACTTGTATTGTTATATTGTTTCTGATGGAAAGTCTGAGAAGTCTGCTATCAATCTTAGTTTATGTGTAATTTGCCTTTTTATGGCTAATTTAAAACTGTCACTCTCTAATATTGGTTTTCAGCAAGTTGATTTTGATGTATTTTGTGTTTTTGTCATTTCTTCCACTTCAGCCTCATTGAGCTTCTTCTTGGCTCATGGTTTTCATCAAATTTGCTAAATTTCAAATAATTATTTCTTCAAGTGCTTTTCCTGCCTCCACTCCCGTTTTCTAAGGATTCAGTTATATGTATGTTAGGCTGCTTCTCTTCCTATCCCATAGCTCACCGATGCTCTATTCACTTAATTTTTCAGTTGTATTTTTCTCTATTTCACTTTGTATAGTTTCTATTGCTATGTCTTCAAGTTCACCACTCTTTCTCCTATGGTGTCTAATCTGTTTTTAATCTCATCCAATATATTTTTAATCCCAATGTTGTTTTTGTTCATTTCCTATTACATGTTATGTTATATAGTGTGTGTGTGTGTGTGTGTGTGTGTGTGTGTGTGTGTGTATATAAATTTCACTGTCTTACCTTCTCATGCTTCCTTTTTTCTCTTCCTTCTGGAACATATGGAATATATTTATAATATTTTAATGTTTTTATCTATTAATTACATTATCTGTGTCACTTCTGGGTCTATTTCTACGAACTATCTCTTCTCCTTATCATGAGTCATGTTTTCTGGACTCTTTGCATGCCAAATAATTTTTTATTGGATTCTGGACATAGTGAACTTTATGTTGTTTAGTTAGTAGATTTTTATGCATTCTTTGAAATAATTTGGTACTTTGTTCTGGAATGCACTTAAATTATTTGGAATCAGTTTGAGCTTTTCAAGACTTGTTTTTAAGCATTTTTAAGTGGGAACAGATCAGCTGTTCTGTTCTGTTTTCTAGAGATAATTTGTTCCCACTACTGACGCAATACTCCATGTGTCGTACATTACAAGGCTTTCCCTCACTGGCTGGTGGGAAGACAAACTATCTGTAGCACTGTAAAAGCTCCAGGGATTATTCTGCCAGCTCCTTTTTAGTAGTTTTTCCTCAGCCTTGGTAGTTTTCTCATGTGCATCTTCTGATCAGAGCTCAAGGACTTGAGGAAAACCTTCTGGAGATCTCCATGGTTGTCTCGCTATGCGTCTCCTTCCTCTCTTACACTCTTCCCCGTACATGATAACTGCCTTAACCTTCCTGAACTTCTGACTCTGACTTCTTAATGCAGGGAAACTGCTAAGCTCTGTCTGGGTACTCTCTCCTGGTACTGCAGCCTGGAAAATCTTGCCAGGCAGTAAGCTGAGACATAACATTTACCTTATTTATTTCTGTTTCTTCAGAGATCATTATTTTTTGCTACCTGTTGTACAATACCTGACAGCCAGTTTAATACATTTTTGCAGTGTTCTGTTTTTTTAAGGCAGAAAGCTTCTATTATTTCATCATAGTATGAAGTGGAAGTCCTATTAGATACTGTTTTTATATTTATTTTACAAATGGTGAAACTGAGGCACAGAGAGATTGAATAATTTACCCAAGCTTGCACAGTTAACAATTACTCAGTAATTTGAAGTCATAATCTCAACTTTAGGCTCTGCTGTCTCAAAAGCATTTCTGTAAATCAAGTCAAAATCTTAATAATTTGGTAGTTCCCAATTACAGAGCAAGGACATCAACATGTGTTTGCACATCAACCTATTCAGTATTCAAAGGGACTGGTCCATTCTGCTTATCTTTGTGTTCAGAGATAATCATGGATGCTTTTTAAGGCATTAACTCTAATGCTATATTTGCATCCTATCTTACATCTGAGGACAGAAGACATTTCTTCTGACCCTTTGGGGCCACAGGATAGATTTCCAGAGCCTCCACTTGTGACAGATATTTGTATTGAATAGAAATATAATCTGACTTTTCAGTGCTCTCTGGAAAATTCCTGTTTTTGGAGCACAAACCATTTACCCAAACAGTGTAAAGAGATTATGGTTCACTCTCTACACTGAATTATGCATGGTTTTCAGCTAGGTAAAGTTCTCTATTTTCTATTTTAGGAACATTCCTGCACAGAACAGAAAAAAAAAATCTATACTTTCCAGAAGCAACCATTCTTGATTTATTTTAATTCTACTAGGAAAAAGAAATAATAAGTCTGAACCCTATCCATTTTTTCTGCATCTCGTTTTATAATTGGTAATCAGAGATTTCTCTTCATTTTCAGAAGTAGAACTTTCTTTTTATGTTTCATGACATTAGAATAAAAAAAGAAGAACATTTGGCCCAACTTTTACAACATCCATTGCAGCACACTCATTATGAGATCTTTTTAGAATTAGAATGACTAATCCTGCTTAATACATGAGGAGTGTTTGTTATTAAGCACTGTGCCTTCTCAGAACACCATGTCAAAACCATTTTAATTTGAGTTAGTGGTGATTAAAAAATGTCAGCTTTAAAAAGACTATTTCAAGAATGCCTCAGAGCCTTGGATTTGGCTACAAAGAAATATGTGATGCATTGAAATCATAGAACGATTAAGGCAAGAAGAGATTTGAATTCCAGGGTTTTAGTTCAGCATTGATGGTGTAATATACAATGGATATGGTTCTAAAAGGAAAGTTAGATTGCTCAGCTGAATTGAAGGCATTCATTTGGAGGAAAATACAAGTGACACATGGAAATAATATTGCTGTACTTTTCTCAAATGTACTTTTTATCTCATCTTCTATCCCAGCAATCTTTGGCCACATCTGGGTTGCAGGAAGGCTTCAGTAACCCTAGTTTTTGCTGCCAGTATCCCCAGATACTGGCTGTGAGGAGACAGGACAGAGTGCTTGGTGGTATGAAAAGCAAAATGAGTTAACTCCACAATTTTGATTCAGTCCAGACCTGCAGCTTGTTTTTGTTAGAGTTGCAGAATAGATACACACATACAAATACATACACGTATGATTACATACACATACTACATATGTGAGCTCAATTTATCAAAGCTGTGATATCAATTGTCATTTTATGTACCACTAGGAAAGGAAAAACATTGCCAGCTAAACTATGACACAATGCTTTCTTAATGCTTAGAAATTTTACTTCATACTTGTTAAAAGAGTTTTTAAAATGAATAAATGAATATCATCACTCTTTTGCATACTTAAAAATGATAATATAATATAGACAATATTAAATGGTTGAAATGTTCCCAAATCAGCTCCGTATTCAAAGACTCAATTTCGTAATCATTTTCAATTCAGAATTGTCCAAGTTTTTCCACACAATATCATCCTCTGTGTCAGTAAGGGCATTGCTAATGCAGTATTTTCTAAAAAGTGCTCCATTTTTGTGTCCAGGACTTTCTCCAAGTGCTAAAAGCCTTTCTGCAAATTTTGATGTGTACACATTATCAATTACAACTACGTCATGACTATAGCCAGGCCAGAGATTGTGAAATGCCATTGATTATAAAATACAACATGATTTCAATGATAAAATATGAAAAAATATACATTATGTATGTATGTATATATATCTGTGTTTATACATATATGTGTGTATACATACACACAAACACTCATATTTATGTATATATATGTGTATATATATATAACTAAAATAGACATCTTAAAACAAAAGCAAATTTTGTCTTGTAGGATATCATTGCAGAGGGCAGGATATGCCTTTCTACCTTTCCTGAGCACAGGAATTCCATCTGTGAATTCACCTCTGCTCTTGGCATTTCCTCAACCTCCAGCCTAGCTCTGGCCATAAAGCTATACCTTAATTGCACCTGGTTTCTCTCTCTCTCTCTCTGTCTCTCTCTCTCTCTCTCTCTCTATATATATATATATATATATATATACACACACACACACACACACACATATATATATATGCATATATACACATATATATACATATATACACATATATACACATATATACATATATACACATATATATATATACACACACACACACATACACATACACATACATATAAAATACTACCATATAGTACTGAGCTAGTTACATGAACAAAAAAAAAAGTCATGGGACAACGTGAAAGGAGAATGACATTTGGAAAGAGAAGATTTGAGCCCCTTACCTAGCTGTAATATTTGCCAGCTATGTGAACTTTGGCAAATTATAAACCTTCCCTGAGGCTCATTTACTCATGGGATGATGACCATGTGATAATACCACCTTAACAGGTTTGTTGAGAGGACAGATGAGTTAACATTTATACAGGTGTAAAGTGATACACAGATGGATAGCACTCTTACTACCAGGATGCTAACACACTTCCCACAAGCCAAGGGGTGAGGACTTTGCTGAAGCTAGGTGATCCTTGACCTTACTCTTGCCAAAGCAGCAGAATAGAGAGTTAAGGAGGAAGAGAGACCAGAACAAGCTAACTTTGAGAGACTGAAGCAATGAAGACTGATCATTGGGTAAAAGGTGTTCTGCAGCTGGGGTAAAAGAAGCAGCCAGATTTTTACGTGGCACTACTAGGGTCCCTGCCTTTATATCCCCTCTCCATGAGAGAACCTTTTTCTTCCTGGATGGGATGCTGGCCACCAACTAAGAGGCTGAGGTGGGGAGTGGCATGTATCGACCATCATGAGGTTGTAATGTACCAGGATCTCAGGAGATGAGGGACTGTAACTGTTGACAAGGTGACAGACATGGAAAATGATAATGCATGAAGTCAGCTTAGAAATCGTGACTTGTAGTTATGGTTCTATGCTTTCTGTTCTTAATATTTTTAGAAAAATAGTAAAATTTCAAAGAAAACAAGAAAAGAATACTAAGAGTGCCATCTCATGGTATGACTTATACCCATTTTGTCAAATTGTGCCTACCCATCCCTGCTGCCCATGGTCAGGATAGTAAATAGGTTTCATATCTCCTGACATGTCTAATCAATTAGCAGTGACTGCTAGGAATGTTCTCTTGTCCAATATTCTAAGGGTAAGTCCATGTTCAGTAAGAAAGTGTTGTGTGAGGGCTTAAATCTTAGTATCCATGTTGGATGAGGGAGAGGAGAGTGGACTCAATGTTTCGTGAGTCCACCGACCTTGATCTGTGGTCCAGGCCCCTTTTGAAGATCGTGGAGAATAAACATGTAAGAAATGACCTAGAAGGAGCTGATTCTGCACTTAGCTCCAATCTTGACTCATGTCCTGTAACTGTTCCTAGACCTCTTGCCCCTGATTCTAGTTTCCCAGACTCTTCTGCACAAGTGACTTGACTATGTATTCATTTATTCATTCATTTAACACATTTTGCTTAGGCACTTGTATACCAAGGATTGTGCTGGAGGCTGGGGATATACTAGAGGACAAAACAAATGGAGTCCTTGGAGTGTTCCTGTGAGGAAGGAAAATTGGCCTTTGACAGGCACACAATTTAATCCAGTTGCTTATGTGCTACAGAGGTCATATGCGAGATATATATATATATATATACACATATATATATATACACACACATATATATATACATATATATATACACATATATATACACATATATATATACACACACACACACACACACACACATATATATATATATATAATTTGACACAGAGTGTCACTTTGTTGCCCAGGCTGGAGTGCAATGGCACAGTCTTGGCTCACTGCAACCTCCGTCTCCTGGGTTCAAGCGATTCTCCTGCCTCAGCCTCCTGAGTAGCTGGGATTAGAGGCGCCCGCCACCATGCCTGGCTGGCTAATTTTTGTATTTTTGGTAGAGATGGGGTTTCACCATGCTGGCCAGGCTGGTCTCGAATTCCTGACCTCAGGTAATCTGCCCACCTTGGCCTCCCCAAGTACTGGGATTATAGGTGTGAGCCACTGCACCCAGCCACAGTATTTTATAAATACATAAAAATAGAAGAAACCTGGCCATTTCAGGAATTAATGAGTTTACTTGAGAAAGACTAACAGAAACCATGTCACCATTGTTAAATACATCCCCAATACTTCCCATGAAAACCTGTCTTTGAGACATTAGCAGAAATGTGAAGAAAGCACATTTGAAATATAATATTGGAAAAGGTGGCCCTAAGTCTTCCATGGACCAGCTTCTGAGGGTATTTTTTTACTTAAAGAGCCATATTGGAGCCCTGGTGTGCCTCATCTTGAGCCCCTGTTCTCTGAGTTCAGCCTCCCAGAGCCCAAGGAAGTTAACATTTTCCAAAATAAGACAGAGTCATGGCCTGTACCCCTACTTTTTCCACTTGGTTGGGAACTACAGGGTTTTATGGACCTCAAGAGTTTTGACACTCAGCCATCACCTTCTCCTGCGGGCACTTACCCAAAGCGAGAGCTCATGGGATTCTGCGCTTTATGAGAGGACATGATTCCCATTCCCCAGGATGCCTGTGTCTGGCATTCACAGAGGCAATGGGGCCTGACGGAGTCCTTGCTGCCCAATGGCCTCTGGAGGAAAAGTGCTCACTTCTCAAGAGGTTGCATCCCCTAGGAACACTGCACCGTTATGGCCTTGCCCTGGAGGAAGGGCCTGAGCTGTCCCACGCTGCCCTCATTTGGGACTCACATACAGGAGCCACACATGCGCTCATGGCTACTGCACTTCCTATGTGTTCACTTTCATCAACACCTGCTGCTGTTCCTTGTTCCTGACTCATTGTTAAGCTTGAAATCTTGCCAAGCTACTGCAGCCCATAGCACATTTCTTCTTTCCTAAACCTTGGAAGCATATGATTACTAATTATGTAAGTCAAGTCCCACTTTCCAAACCATACCCTGGGAATAAAGGCCTTCTCAAGTTTCACAGCTCACCCTCTCCCGTCATGGCAGAGTGGAGCACAAGGTCAGTGACATGGGAGGGGCACACAGTAAAGCCTGCTGTTAATGGAAAGGGACAGAAATAGACTTTGGTCTTCCCTTCCCAAGTTAGGACGTGATTACTCACTCTCCAAGGGCTAATTTGAGACTCAATATTTTTATCCAGACTTCAGAAAAGAAACCATTGATGGGTAAATGATAAGTCAGTAATGGGCCTCCCCATAAGTAGATCTTTATAAAGGGGTCTTGGTGTCCTGAGACATCTGGGTTATATTGCTGTCTTTTGCCTGTGGTTTAGTAAATGAATGCAAGTTTGGGGGAACATGGGAAAGAAGAGGGAGGGCCCATGCTTGTGCACCTATGTGTGCACAACTGCAAAGAGTGCATGTCATATGGGTGTCCCTGTGGCTGTCCATACATAGTGAAAGTGCCACACTTGGGCTTGATGGCTGAGGCACACAGTTAAAGATCTCCACTGTACTAGGCTGAAAACTTGGACACTCTAGACTGAGAGAGCAAGGAGAGCTTACAGTCTTGCTTCTCAAAGTGAAGTCCATGGGCTAGCAGTGTCAGCATCACTTGGAAGATGGCCAGAAATGCAGATCAGGTCCCCAGATCTACTGCATCAGATGTGTAATCTCCAAGTGATTTATAAACACATGAATATCTAAGAAGCACATGCTTAGAGTTTATCTCCCTGAATGGCGCAAGTGAGAAAACAGGCCAAGAGAGATGCTCCACAGTCAGTGCATGTCAGACTACAGCCAGGCCTGGTAAAACACAGAGTATAACTGCCCCCTCTTTGTGCAACCAAGACCTATAGCCACACATCTTCTGCCCATTCCATGGTCCCTCTCCTGTCAGGAGTTGTGTCTGTTTGACAGAAGTGCCTGAGGTAAAGTAGAGAGGAAGGCTGGCAGTGCTGAGTGCTAAGGGAAGAAGCGCTTGCATCTGAATTCAGTTGTGGCTAACAGGAGCAGAGTTGTCAAGCCAGGGTTATGTAGCAACATGCCAGAGGTCTCCTTGTACTGCCTGCACCTGGATGTGGCCCTCCGGGACTACACCACTTGACTGATGTGGCAAGGAATGGAATGGGTGCAGAGAGGGGTTACCTGATTGCATGAGGGTGGGTTTTGTGATGTGGTAGTCAGCTAGAAGGGAATTATTGTAGTGTGAAGCCAAACTGACATCACTGCCTTTCAGGGCATTATGTAGTATGGGACCCACCCTACAACCGTCAGGAAATGCTGTGCCCCTTTCTCTCCTCCACTCTACATCCAACTAGGTGGCTACGATGTTTGTGGGAAGGGTCCCTGTCTTAGTGTGTGTACGTACACACACCACGCTCATGCACTTAGAGCACCAGGCTCAGCCTTTATACTTGATTCAGTGTCTGGTTCATCTTTGTAACCCTGGCCCTTAAGTTCATGCCTGGCACATACATAATAGCTGCTTAATAACAGTTTATTGATGTAAACTTAACTGCAGTAAGAAAATGGCCTCTCTCCAAGACCAAGGCCTCACTTAACCAAAGGAGAGGTCATCCTATTGAACACCTTCCCAAACAGATTCCCTTTTTATTTGTGTTAATACCCTATTTGTGTTATACTGCATTTGTGTTAATATCTTATTAAGTTTGTAGTTCCAGTTTGATGTTTATTGCAGTTTATTCTCTGTAACACTCCAGCAAAATGTTAATTTTACCTTATATATATTTTTAAAGTTCTATAGCTTATTAAAGTTTGAAATGTCAAGGTTTGAAAACGCCATGGCATATCATGCCGTGGACTATTCAGACCTTAGCTGTGCTAACATGCAGGTGCCCCTGTGGGAAGTGGAGGTGTGCACAGTACTCCAAACTTGCCTCCCTCATACCACAGAGCCTCTTCTTCAGAGAGTCTTGATTTCTCAGAAGGTACTTCGGGAGACCCTGATCTAGTTATTCTGGTATGTGTGGCATCTGTCTTCTAACTTGATAACCACGTGTTCCAGGGCTGGCAATGTGTTTTACACTCGGCTGTTATTCCTCAGGGCTTAGTAGGTATTGAAGGAATGCCTACTGAATGAATAACTAAATCTAAGTAGGTCTGTGAAAAAGACAAATAGATATAAGTTCCAGGGTGGAATAAATTTTATTTAATTCTAATTTAACTCAATGACTATGTTCAGGTGACTGCTTCTGTGCCAGGCTGTGTGCTGAGCATGGTGAATACAGAAATGAAGAAGACCAAGCACCATCCCCAAGAAATACAAGGACTTGAAAGAGAGACAGATAAAGGCACTTCCCAACTGTGGACAAATGGAACAGATAATGAATTTACAAGGCTTGGAAGGTGCAAAGAAAAAGGAGTGTGCAATCCTTAACCTAGATGATGACTAAAACAAATTGTGGAAGGATAACTGAATTCACTGTGGTGACAAGAATGGGGCAGGGTGCAGTATGGTCAACAGCTTAGAGGTATAAACACATTGCCATGCCCCAGAGACCATTAGCTCCGCCCTCCCACAAAAAAAATGTGACAACTGACAAATGTTGGAGTTGAGAATGTCCTAGATCACAATAAGTAGATCTTTCCCTTCTCTAAAGTCAGTATATTTCTGTTGGGACAGTGCCCTGCTCTGATTCAGAAAGGTGCCAGTCTTCCTGACTTCAGGGACTTGCAGTGGCTTTGGACAGTGGCTTTGCACTTTGTGAGCTCGCACTTACTGAGGAAGAATGCCTTAGAGTGTGGCCCATGCTCTAGCCTGCATGGCTGGTGGCACTGAGTTAGGACATGTGTATCACTGATATTCGTATTTCCTAAAAGTCTTATTATTATGCTGTACAGATATGTGTGGATTTTTTAAAGCTTGCACTCAATAAACTGTGAATCTGCGACTGTAAATAAGACAACTTGTAAAAATGCGTTTACGTTGATCCTTCCAACTTGAAATTTATTTTGCTTTTACTTTAGCTTATTTATGAACCAAGAATGACACTGATAGAGAATGTTTCCACACTAATAACACTAAAATAGATTTAGATGCCTATCAGATGAAAGTTGAGTATCATTTTTAATTATGATTAAGGTGACGTTTTATTATTTTCCCCAGGAGAGTCATGAATTTTGATCTGCATGAAATGTTAATTGAATGCATCTCCTGCCCCTTCAATCAGAGAGCGTTCCTGGTAAATAACTGTGGTTCTTAGTGGCCAGTTGCTACTGGGGGATCTTTTACTACCATGGGTCCAAAGAAACAGTCTGGAGGCCTTTCTGCTTCCCTTCCTGTTTGAGCCAGGTGAAGGAATCGGACATATGTGAATCAGAAACCTTGCAGTACCACTTAGAAGCTGTACACACTTGATCAGTTATTTCATGTTCCTAGGCCTGTGTTTTCTGGCCTGCACAATGGGCATGATACTGATTTCAGAGAATGAGGATTTCATGAAACAATGTAACATACATAGCAAAATGCCCAGCACATCGTAAGTGCATTTAACACTGGTGATATTGTTATTTTCTTAAAGTTTCAACAGAAATGGAAAATGTCAAACTAATCAGTCTAAGGGCTGGGAAGAGAGCAACAGGGGCATATGTGGGCAGGTAGGAAGGCAGGGGGTGTGTCTGAAGGAATTCCAGAAGTGTCGGGCTTTTTAGCAGCTCCCTGTGGAGCTGCTTACATGTCAGGGCTTCCTTATTTGCTCCTGAGAGGCAGCAGTGCAGTAGGAAGGATATGGGCTATGAATTCAGATGGACTTGGGACCGAATCCTAGGGTTATTAAAATGGAAATAATAATGCTCTTATTAGTCATTGTGAGGATTCTGAATCAGGATTCCTGGTGCTCAATACCTGGGGGCCATAGTTATGGACTGATTCCAGAAAACAGAATGTAGAACACATCCACCCTGATGGGTTTATGAAGTCTCCTCTTCTAATTAAGGATGAACACCATTGAGAGATGGGCTTTGGTTTTCAGAAAAGTGAGCTGCAGATCATGAAAGGGCCTTGACATAGACGTTGGGGTCTTGACTTGGTTATCAGTTCTATCTGTACCATAGGGCTCTAGTTTCTAACTCTGTGTCTCTTTGTGGTTATACTGAGAGCCCAACTAACTACTAGCAGCAATTATGGCCTAATTCTTGGTAAAATAACAAGCTCATCCAGGTTTTCTTGGGATTTTCTTAGTGTTCTGAAAATCCTGCATCATGGGAAATGCTTTAGTTCCAGGAAAACAGGAGAGTTGGTCCTCTCTTGCCCCACTGTGGGCCAGGGGACCTTTGGGAAGCTCTGGCATCCTTATAGTGCCCAGAAGTACATTTACATGAAGCCACTTTTATTTGATGCCTAAAATTATCAATGTCAAACTGGCATACCAGGTAGATTTCTTTCATTTAAAAACCAAGCGTGAGAGCAGGGAACATCTGGATCTCTAAAGTAAAACAAAATGAGATGATTTATTTACTTTGCTGCAGTTCTGTCCCCTGATGGCCTTGGGTGTGTTTGTTTATACTTCTGAAGGGGGTCACATTTGAGTGAGAAAGGCGGCCATCTAACAGAGTGTGAGGGCAGTGTGGGGGGCTCATCAACAGTAAAGACACCTCCATCCCTCACAGTCCCTCCTAGAGAAAGCTTTTGTCTCCTTATGTGGCAAGAGATGGAACATCTCTAGCAGTCTGGAGGGCTCCCTCATTCCTCACCCCAGTTAATAAATACCTTCACAGGTAAAGACTTTCCCTGCCTTCCAGAGCTTTTCAAATATTTGGATTCCCAGGCCACACCCATAGACTCTGATTTAATTGGTTTGTGGTTGGGCCAGTCACAAGGATTTTTTAAAAGCTCCCAGGGTTGAGGTCACCTCTCTAATCCAGCAGGATGTATGAGTACTAGGTGGTTCCAAATGCCAGTACATTTCAGACCTGCTGCCTCCCAGGCATCCAAGGGCAGGAATTAATGGGTATGTGTGATGGGATCTTCAAAGACCTGTCTGTGGGTATCTGATGGAGGAGCAGGGCAATGTGAAATATTTTGCTGTGTCCATTTCCTGCGCAGAGCAAAGCATTAGCTTTGAATGCCCACAGAATAATAGGATATAGGAAAAGCCAAAGGGGCTATTTTGAAGTGTAGACACAAACCATACTGCTTAGGGACCCCATGAGGAAGTGCCACCACCAGGAACAAGGAGCTTTCTCCTGATTCCTGTAGGTAGTAAATGCCTGGGTCTGCAGAGAGGCAGCAGCTTCAAGTCCAAAGGAGAAAGTGGCAGCAGTTTTGGGCAGCACTAGAGGAGGCTAAGGCTTCTTCTCCATTGGCCTGTGGGCAGAAGGCTCTAGCAGGGATGTGGGGGCCAGAATGCATTCAATGGACTTGCTTGTGTGAGATTCACTCTGGGAGCTTCCAGCAATGTGCACCTAGGAAGACAATCGTTGGCAGTTGGAAGAGGGGCAGCTGACATCCTGCAGATACGAAGATGGGGCTGAAGGACTCGTTAGTTAATAACAGATCCACAGGCGTGGAGGCCTGGTAACAACAACTCTACCAGTTCACTCTAGTGCAGGATCACTGCATGAATGAAGGGTCCTTATAGAATTCCTCCAGTTGAGTGCTTTCATAATATGTTTGAAGATTATTTCATTATAAAATTTTCATCTATACATGAGAGACAGAAGGAACTACAGTCTACAGATTTTCAAGTCAGGTTTCAAACTCAATTCTCCCACTAAGTAACTATATGACCTTGGATAAATCACTTTCTCTCATTGGGCTTCCATTTATCTGATTTTAAAAGGAGAGAAGTGGATTAAATGATTTCTGGGGGATCTCTTAGCACTGACACATTGGAAATTCATGGGAGTTCAGTTATCTATTTAAAGAGAGATGCAGCATGGAGGGAGGACCCTGTAGGGTCTCTGTTTTTTTGCTCCCAGTCACAGTTCCTATTCCTTCCCTGCTGCTTCTGAGCACAACCCTATGACTACTGGAGCCATGGAGAGTCTGAGACACCAGCCAGCTTGGTACAAGTCAGGCCCTACCAGTGTAAGCCTTACTCTAACAAACAGGGCCCAGAGAGAGGCCGTCCTGTCCCTAAAGTTATTTCTCTGTTCAGTAACTCCAGTTGAAAATCTCAGCCTAGATGAAGATGAATGGACTGCTGCAGATGTTCTGGCTGGAGTGATTGCCTTGCAAATCACATCACCATGCCCAGCTGAGAGTATGAGCAGTCTGACAACATTGTGGTTTGGACCAGCACTCTGCAGAGGGCTAATCTGGCACCATGTTGCTTTGGGGGCTGGAGCTCTCAGGAGGAAATGACAAGGCAAGGTTGGGGCAGGTCATGGTTATAGATTCTGGTCTAACTAGCAGATGTGACCTAAGCTAGGGGCATAGCAGCGAATGGCTTCCATATTGGGCACTTACACAATTCCAGGTACGAGATAGGTGGTTTGCACATTTTATCCTTTTTACCAACTCTATGGCATTATTATCTCCATTTTACAGATGAGAAAATGGAGGATTGGGGGACTGATAGGGAAAGAGTTAGTTTGTACTTTAGACTGTTTAATATATGCAAGGCTATTTTCTTTCCTCTATTATGTGATGAACTTTAGCTATCGGCATTTCACCTACCATTCTTGGAAACTACTGAAACTCATGGGTCCCAACCAAGAGAACTTGACAGTGCAGGAGGTTAGAGATGTCAAGAAAGGGTTTAGAAAGGCCTGAGTTTAGAATGCTCACCAAAAACCCCTCACTCCGCAGGGCAACAGCTGGAAGGCAGCATCAACATTAATGCAGCTCTACATCCTGGCTTATGGCTTACAGCTGGCAGGGAAAGCTCAGAAAGACAAGTATTATGACCTCGGATGCCAGGCAAGTCATTTCAATTTAAGAAATTGCAAATATTCCTTTTCAAGAGATACTTGCCTAATTTTTTATTAGGCAAAAAACTTGAAGAATAACTTGTTTTTTGGAGGGATAAAGCCAAACAAGACTACAACACAATGTACTAGGAAGATAGACATTATTCAGCAACCAAACTTTTTGCGCAGCAAATGTGTCCTGAGGGATTATGGGTGAGTTATGATTCACTCAGCACAAGTTCACTGGTACCCACTCTGTGCCGAGCAACGTACTTGGATCTGGGAATAGAGTAAACCGGATATGGTCCTGTCTTTGGGAATCCATACATCAAGGCCTTCCAAAGAATGTGCTGTACCTTCATGGTGAAATGGGGGCAGATGGCTTGAGAATAAACTGGGAGAAAATTTCCATGGCCGGTGGCTACAGCTGAGAGTCACTATTTGGCTCTGCCTCTTTTCAGGGTTGGGACTAATGTTTCATGAAGTTTTCATAGGGAAAAATGTGAACAATCTATTTCAATTACTTGTTAGAAGTCAAATTTACATAATCATTTGATGTAATGCTCTTCCTTTGGGGCTTCCCTGGAGTGGTGTCAGAGCTGCTGTCCCTGCAAGTGCCTCAGCCCCTGGAGGAGCAGACAGACATTTCTCCACACTGGGAGAG
Organism: Homo sapiens; assembly: GCF_000001405.40. Lineage (NCBI taxonomy): Eukaryota > Metazoa > Chordata > Mammalia > Primates > Hominidae > Homo > Homo sapiens. The sequence goes on from NC_000003.12 coordinate 140,250,660, forward strand.
TCAAGCTGCATTCAGCTGCAATTGGATGAGCCTTCGCCAGGGATAATTAGGCCAAATGGGTGTGAAAATCTACCCAAGGGGAGAGGAGCATTCTCTTTAATCACTTTTTTCCCCCAAACTCGAGAGTAAAACAGTGAAATTAAATCCATTTTAATAATACAGTCTTCATTAATGTGAAATGTAGTTTTAGGCAGACCTTAATTCAAAGGTTGCTTTTTTTTGGTGGAAAAGATATTGCTTTTTGTGTGACCTTTAGTAAATCCAGAAGTGACAACATGGAATTTTAAAGCATTTCTTAAGCAGCAGAATTCTGAGAAGAGTCTTTTCCTCACTGACTGGTTTCCATGTGGCGGATATGTCCATGCCATGACATTTATGCCAAGCATATGTTGGCCGCCCACATGTGGGACATGGGAGTGAGTAGTTGCCTCTGTGAATGTTTTGAAGGCCAGAATCACATCTTCTCTGGCTGGCTTTCTCTGCGTCTATCCTTGTAGACATCTCTATTTCTTTGTGGAGAGAAGGGAGGAATGAATGAGTGATGTTGCCAGATAGTGACTTCATTGTTCTCGGTACTGAAATTTGGCATCTCTTCTGTGGCAAGGCAATCACTGAGTTTTCCATTTGTAAAAATGTGTTCAAAATAATAATCATAAGTGTCTCCTTCTATTACAAAAGTGCTATGGGCTGTATGATTTATTCAGTATCTGTTGCTATACATTGGTAATTTGCCTAGGTATTAAACGCATATTTTGTGACTAAGAGTCTGAAGTGCTAATTTCCTTTTCTTGAATCTTTGGCAGAAAGAGCTAAAAATGTTTCAGAAACTTTGAAGATATTATCTTTAGCCTGGCATTTGATACCTGATTGTTTGATGGAGTGGCAGGAGGAAAAGAAAGTCAATAACGGCAACTCTTAGCTTCCGTTCCTTTCCTTTCCTTTCCTTTCCTTTCCTTTCCTTTCCTTTCCTTTCCTTTCCTCTTTTTGCTTCCCCTCCTTCCCTTTTTCCTTCCTTGTTTAGTGCTTCCTTTGAGCCAAGCCTATGCTTCATGCTGCCAATGGTACATTATGTATGTGACAGTAAGGACAGGTTTCTGCCTTCATGGGGCTCTGTCAGTGAGGGGAACAAAGAAGTAAACAGACAACACAAAAGAATGCGTTGAGTACTCTGAGGAAGTGGAATCTGTGTGGAGCCTGAAAGAAAGGAATAGGCTGGAAAGAGGAGGTTTCAAAAAACAGCAATGTGCTTAAAGCCTGGAGGCAACAGCTGTGACACACGTAGGAATTGCAGGGTTTGATGTGGCAGCTGCAGTGGGGAGACAGGGCCTAGGGTATAACAAGCCATAAATGCCATATTAAGAAGTTTGTTTTCTAAGCATGATGGAGAGGCATTGGAGAATTTTAAGCAAGAGAGTGACACGATGAGGCATGAACTTTATTTATAAAGAAATGTTTGGAAACAAAAGTGAGGGGAGCAGCAAGAGAGTGACACAACAAGGCATGAACTTTATTTATAAAGAAATTTTTGGAAACAAAAGTAAGGGGAGCAGTGAAGGAAGAGATTAGGCTAGTGATATGAGACCAGAAGGGTCAGGGTAGGGAGCAAACTCCACAGTGAAACTCAAGGCTTACATTCCAATCCTACATAAAGATTTTGAGCAGCCCTCCCTCGCTGAGGGTCCTGAACTAGCACTCAGAGATGCTTGGTACTCAAAGTGTGGTCCACAGACTAGCAGCATGGGCCTTATCCAGTGCTTGCTGGAAATGCAGAATCTCAGCCCTATCTAAGCCTACTGAATCAGAACCTGCATGTTAACAAGCTCTCTGCCTTTCCTGACACAGAAGGGCGTATAGATGAAAAACACAGCCAGAAAGGTAAAGTGAAAGAGCTGTTTCTTTATTTGCCAAAATCAGGCTCAGCTCCCTTCTCTGGAACATATATGGGCTTAATTCTCTTAATTATAAAATGTTATGCATGTTGACAAGCTCTCTGGGTCATTTGGACACATGTGAAAGTTGAGAAGCACAGTTATGCAGAGGATCATAGGAAAAAGGAGCACAACCCTGTAAGGGCAGGTGCCTAAGGTACAAGCAAGTTAGCTGTGTGGCGCATGATGCATCTTACTGAGTGGATTACGTTCTTCAAGGAAAGTAGCTCAGAGGCTTGAAAGGATAGGTGGAGCAGCTGAGAAAGCCTGTGAGCTCTTCCACCATGACCCAGCTCATCTGATGAAAGCCAGTGATGGCTAGATCTGTGTGGCCAGTGTGTCTCTGTGGAAGCCAGGGTGACCAGGCCAACAGCTAAGTTAATGCCAATCTCTGGATAGCCCCACCCCTCCCCACCACGCTACCTCACAGTCAGCCAAATGTGCATGTGTACCTAAGAAGACTGTTGAAATATGTGTAAGTTCGATCACTGGGATCAATCTGGCTGCCTGTGTAGACCAGGTACACCAGGCAAAAGACAGTGGGAGCCCTACCTAAGGTCAAGGCAGAGGGATAGAGAGTAGGAGACAGATTCTAGGTTACAAAGTTACAGCTGCAAAGACTGAGTCAGCTAGTTGTGGTCACGGGCAGGAGTAGGAGGAGGAAGGTAGGGGCTAGTCAAGGTCAGCGTGTTGGGTCCTGCTGCGGTCACTGCCAGGTTCTTCCATGGCTCCGAAGGTGGACCACAGGAGCTTTCTCCATCCCCAGAAAACCTGTTGTCAGCTCCTCTGAACTCCATCTACTGTGCATGTGGCACTGGAGGAGTCTGACGTTCCTTAATTAGTGTTGGCAGCAACTACATTTGTTTATGATATTACGTAATCAAATTTGTATAATTGCTCTTTTATAATCCACTTTAAAAACCCAAAAACAGCACAGTGCAGGCAGGGAAAGTATGAGCACAGGCCCCTGACATGTCAGCATTCCAGCCTTTCCTGACACGGAAGAGTGTACTGATAGAAAACACAGCCAGAAAGGTAAAGTGGAAGACCTGTTTCTTTATTTGCCAAAACAGGCCTGGCTCCCTTCTCTGGGACATACCTGGGCCTAATTCTGTTAATTATAATGAGATAGAAAGTTCAGGATCCCAGGAGACAGGAACCCACCAAAGGGTTTCGGTCTTTTTTATTTTTTTTTTCTCTTACAGTTACAGTACCATCCAGATATGGTTCTTGCCATTTAGTCCTCTAAGACTTGTGGGATTCCTTGATTGAGTGACACTTCTGGAGCTCCCAAGGGCTGCTTAGTGATGTGTGTGAACTGTTAGGGCTGTGCTCAAAGCCCTGAGAAGGCCTTTGTTGGGGTCAGTTGGGTGACATTTCACAGGGGTCAGGAAGTCATGTTTTGCCTCCTTTGGAATTTTCCTTGGGGTAAAAATTGTGGGTCCCTTACCTAATTTGGTCATATTTCTCTCTGTTCTTTTGTAGAAATAATAACATAGGAAGGAGAGACTCTTTACAAAATATTTGCAGACTTCTCATGTTCTCGACTTCCATTGCACATACATGACATAATCTGAGAAGAGATGCAGATCCTTGCAAACTTTAAAGAGTTATAAGAAATAGTCAAATTACTAATTTTTGCTTCCTGCAAGAAGAAAAAATCATTACATATATGAGTGAGGGGATTCTGCACCAGAGAAAGTACTTTTAGGAGAGTTTCCCAAACAAATTTATAAGAATGGCTCTCAATCTAGGCTTCATGGTGACTTCAGGGTTCTATGAACTCTCTAAAGTAATTGTGTGTATATTTGCATATGTGCATTTGTACATTTTTATGGGAAGCAGAACCATGTCATTTATGAAATTTCAAAGGCTAGGATTAAAAATAGCTGAAGAAACTTAGAGATTTTTAACAATTTTAAATTTATGAAGAGCCTGTGTGTGTATCCTATGTGGTCCTCATCTCTGTCATCTCTGTTAATGAGGAAGGACAGAGACCATTATCTACAGTTTACAGTGAGAAAATTTAGGCATACAGATGCAGAAGATTGAAACTGGACTCCTTCCTTCTACCATATATAAAAATCAACTCAAAATGGATTAAAGACTTAAATGTAAAATCTAAAACTGTACAAACCCTAGAAGAAAACCTAGGAAATACCATTTAGGACCTCAGTCCTGGAAAAATTTTATAATGAAGACTCCAAAAGAAATTGCAGCAAACACAAAAATTGACAAGAGGGACTTAAACTAAAGACTTCTGCACAGCACAAGTAAACAGACAACCTACAAAATGGGGGAAAATATTTGCAAACTATGCATCCAACAAAGGTGTAATATCCAGAATCTATAAGAAACTTAAATCAACAAACAAAAAACAACCCCATTACAAAATGGGCAAAGGATATGAACAGACACTTCTCAAAAGAAGACATACATGTGGCTGATAAGCACATGAAAATTGCTTCATATCAGTAATCATTAGGGAAATATAAATCAAAACCAGAATGAGATACCATCTCACACCAGTCAGAATGGCTATGATTTAAAAGCAAAAAAATAACAGGTGCTAGTGAGATTGTGGAGAGAAGGGAATGCTTATACGCTGCTGGTGGGAATGTAAATTAGTTCAGCCATCGTGGAAAGCAGTTTGGAGATTTCTCAATGAACTTAAAAGAGAACTAACATTTGACCCAGCAATCTCACATATGGGCATACACCCAAAAGAAAAGAAATCATTCTACCATAAAGACACATGCAGTGTATGTTCATTGCAGCACTGTTCACTACAGCAAAGACATGGAATCAACCTAGATGCCCATCAACAGTGGACTGGATAAAGAAAATGTGGTACATATACACAGAGGAATACTTCACAGACATAAAAAACGACAAATCATGTCCTTAACATAGAAACAGAAAACCAAATACTGCATGTTGTCACTTATAAGTGGGAGCTAAGTATTGAGTACACGTAGACACAAAGAAGGCAGCAATAGACACTGGGACCTACTTGAGGTTGGAGGGTGGGAGGAGAGTGAGGAATGAAAACTACATTTTGGGTATTAGGCTATTATCTGTGTAACAAAATTACCTGTACACCAAACCCCCATGACCATGACATGCAATTTACCCATATACCAAACCTGCACATATACCCCTTGAACCTAAAATAAAAGTTGGAAAAAAAAGAATTTTACTAAAAAGGAATTTTTTTAAATTTAGGCATAGAAATGTCTAGGGCTTGTTGATCCTATGCCTCTTGATCCTTAGAAACTGGACATATAACCAGGGTGCTGACACTTTTTTCAACTCTAGCACAAGCTTTGAGGACAGAAATTATTGGCTCTATCTACATAACCCAGGACATTTTGGAATACTACGATCCTCAAATGCTGAATCTAACAAATTGATTTTTGTGTGTATAAGCCACGCCTCTGCCAATCCAAATATTCCCTTTTCCCACATTTTTCTGATGTGAGGGTCATGGATAGTGTGAGATAATAAAGCTATTTCTAGGTCAAGGTTAGTCCTAGGTATGGCAGCTGAAGAACAAGAGAGGCCTTTCTTCAAAACATCCATGCAGCCTCCTCTCCCATCCTTCACCCCACTACTTTCCTAAAGATTGGGGCCCCTCCTTTCAAAATGTAGATGCCCATCTCTCTTTGATGTTTGCCTAACATTTAGACATTAAACTACCTTTTGAGTCACACTGCCCCAAAAAGCAACCTATGGAATTCTGTGTTTTTTCATTCATGATCAAACTAGTCCCCTGTGGAAAATATGTCTTTGAATGGTTGCAGACTGTTCCAACCTATGGTGGAAGTCTGATATTTCACTTCACTGAGGTTTATAAAAGGAATATCAGCACATCCACCTCACTGGGTTATTTGTGCAGATTTAATGAGATAAAATGAGAAAATGCCATTGCTATGCCTGGCACAGAGTAGGGCCTCAAAAATAGTTGTTTACCTTGGCAACCTTCAGAATTAGTTTCAGATTGATATTTCCATTCTCTGTCATCCCCACTTTACATCACAGAAGAACATATTTGGACCTGACATTCTAGGAAAGGAGTGTTCCTCAAGGTTTTATGGTACTTCCTTTTTGAACTGGGGTGTCCCCAGGATAAAAAATTTCTGATTGAGACTTCTATTTGATTCGGTTCAACAGAAAGACAGCCCAATAAATATCATTAACTAAAATATCATCAGGACCATTGCATAACGTTTATAATGCATTGAGGTTTTTTGGTTTTTGTTTTTTAAATTTACATTCTGATTCAAGAAGTAGCAGTCTTTCCAAGCCAGTGCACACTAGGCACTTGTTTGCTCTATGCTAACTCTATGCTGGGAAGTCTGGCTGGGAAGACAAACTTAAAACACAGGAGAGCAATGTGTGTATAGAAAGGCATACATAGGCCGGGCGCGATGGCTCACGCTTGTAATCCCAGCACTTTGAATGGGCACTTAATATTTTTTTAAAAAACAAATTTGTTCATGAAACTGAATCAGTGTTCACCAGAGTGACTGAAAAGGGATATTAAGGATCACCTTCAAACTTGTAAAGCAAATATGCTTTATGCTAATGAAGGCCCCTACAATAATTAAATGTATGCTCCATAAATAGCCCTTGGTGCATGCTACATGTGGAAAAGTCTCTGGAGATCATTTAGGGGATTAAATTTATCTAATAAGTAAAAGTATTTAGGTGAAAAGTGGAAAATCATGACACTGTGGACAAGACATAAGCAACAGTAACACAGCCTGCCCATGTAATGAAAAAAGTCTTGTATTTGGAGAAAGTGATAGAGAAAAATTGGCTATGGATCACATGTGTTATGACAGCATCTTCTTCTATCTTAAATTGACTATTGTTCAGTTATTTATAGAGAAGAAAATTTAAATAACCAGTATTTTCACTGGGAAAGAGCAGTAAGCACTGTTAGTATTCCCTGCCTATTTCTTTCTAGGGGTGTGTGTGTGTGTGTGTGTGTGTGTGTGTGTGTGTGTGTCTGCTATGAGATCACATTCTATGTACACAATTATTTTTCCGTATAATATTAAAGAATTTCTCGGTCATTAAAAATGTCTTGAAAATGTGTTTTTAATGGTTGCAAACTGTTCTGACACATTGATGTGTCATAATTTAATTAACAATTCTGCTGGGCATGTAGGTTGTTTCTAAACTTTGCTGATATAAACATAAATATTAAAAATGGCATTGTCATGATTTTTTGTGCTCAAAGATCAATCTCTAGTTCAGATTCTTTCCTTAAGATAAAGTCCCAATAGACAAATAACTGGGTCAAAAGATATAAACATAGTTAAGGCTCTTCACATATATTCTTTTCAGAGTTGTCATTTTGCATTTCTACTAACTGTGTTCAGTTACCTTTCCTTTCATGAAATCCTGCCAATACTAAATGTTATTATGTATTATTTTTTCTATCTTGGTGGCAAAATTATCTCATTTCTGTTTTAATTTGTTATTCTTTAATGATTGAGCATTTTTCCTAAGGCTTAATGGCATTTTTAATTTTCTTTTTTACACATTCTATCTTCATAGCTTTTTCAGCCCGCTTTTATTGTGCTAACCTCCCTTTAGTAAAGTTATTTAAACAGACCTTAGGATTAAGCAAAGGAAGCCCTTTGTGGAAACTTCCATCTTCCAATTTGCTAATTCCAGATGCGCATTGACTTTCTTAGAGACATATGTAGCTGAAGTTACTTTAATACTTTGTGCTTGGGTCAAATATTTATACACAGGTTTTTAATTTGACAGCTAATCCATGGCCGGGCTTTGGGAAGGCATTATTTCCTTCATGTGGCCGTAGATAATGGAAAAGGTCATTTCCAATTCATTTGTCTTTCTCTTTTTCATCTTCTGGCTCTCCTTAGTCAAATCCTTGGAAAAGCAGTGAATGTGTCACAATGAGAATGAGAAGTCATGTTTTTGATAGGAAGTGTGTCATTTCCCATTTGCTGCTGTGATATGTATTTGCTCAAAGCTGAAGGAAGGATAAATTTTCTACTTGCAGTTAAATTCTATAACTTCCTTCTTATTAATCTTTTCCCCCCTCTTTTAATGTCTTTTGTGGAAACTTCATCTTAATATCTTTGAACCGTTTTTTATGGGGCACAAGACCTCTTCGGGTTTTAACAATATGTTGGAAATTTCCATCATTCTGACACTGGCCATATAATTATCAGACACTTGCCATATGATTGTAAAACTCTCTGATGACAGGGTGTACTTAAAAAGAGACATCTGTGGAATTATCTTTATTTTCAAAACCTGTTTACAATATCTACTTTCCCAGTGTGGAAAATCATGTATATATGCAGATATGTAAGTCATGTATAGGTATATAACATCATGACTGCTTATGTGGAGCAGACACAGCAATACATGGACATATTTTTGGCAGTAAAACATGCCAAGTTTGGTGTCTATACCATGCTCTTGACTCACACATTTGGATCAATCCTTTTTATACTTTTATCTTAGCCTCCATGTATTTTTTTTTAAAAGACAAAATTTTAATTTTTTTCTTTAAATCTTTATCAAGAATAATTGATTGAAAAAAAAAAGCTGCACACGGGCTGGGTGCGGTGGCTCACGCTTGTAATCCTAAGCACTCTGGGAGGCCAAGGCGGGTGGATCACCTGAGATCAGGGGTTCGAGACCAGCCTGGCCAACATGATGAAACCCCGTCTCTACTAAAAATACAAAAATTAGCCAGGTGTGGTGGCAGGCACATGTAATCCCAGCTACTCAGGAGGCTAAGGCAGGAGAATCACTTGAACTCAGGAGGCAGAGGTTGCAATGAGCTGAGATTGCGCCATTGCACTCCAACCTGGGCAACAGAGTGAGACTCCATCTCCAAAAAACAAAACAAAACAAAAAAAGCTGCACATATTTAAAGTATGCAATTTGATAAGTTTTGACATTCCTGTACAAATCCATAAAACTATCACCACAATCAAGATGACACACCTATATCCTGAAAAGTTTTCCCTTGCCTCTTTGTAAGCCTTCCCTCCCACCTTTTCAAACCCCATCTACCCGACAGGCAACTAATGATCTGATTTCTGACCCTATAGATTATTTTCTATTTTCCAAAATCTTATATAAATGTAATTATACACTATATATTCTGGCATCTTTCACTCAGCATCATAATTTGGGGATTCATCCATGTTTTAGGATAGGTGAGTTCATTTTTTTAATTGATAAGTAATATTCCATTGTATGGATATGCCTGAATTATTTGTTCATAGATGAGGTGGTCTATTAATAAAGACAGATCTGTGTACTTTGTTCTAATAAAAATATCTTTTACCCAAACAGGAGAACAGTAGACACCAGGAGCCTACTTGAGGGTGGAGGGTGGGAAGAGGATGAGGGTTGAAAAACTTTCTGGTACTATGCTCACTACCTGGGTGATGAAATCAGTTGTACACCAAATCCCAGTGACATGCAATTTACCCATGTAACAAACCTGCCCATGTACCCCTTGAACCTAAAATAAAAGGTGAAAAAGAAATATATATATATATATATATATTATATATAAAATACTGTACACCATACAAAATTAAAATAAATGTATTTTATTTCTTTTCTTGCCATATTACACTATCTTCAGGACCTTGAGAACGGTTAAACGGAATGGTGAGGGCAGACATTCTTACCTTTTTCCTGATCTTAGGAACTATCACTGTGTCTTACACCATTAAGTATGATATTAGAAGTAGGGTTTTCCCAGACGCTCTTTATGAGGTTGAGGAATCTTTTTTCTATTTTTAGTTTCCTAAGAGTTTTCTAACAGCCCAACTGCTCCTAAAGGAGGGTACTGGATTTTGTCAAATTATTTTTCTACATCTAATATAAAAAGTTATATGGTTTTTATTTTTTAGTCTGTTAATATGGTAAATTACATTGATTTAGACTTTAGAACAATTTCAGAGTTATAGAAAAATTGAGAAGGCAGTACAGTTTTCATATACCCCATATCCAGTTTTTTTATTCATAGCTTACTGTAGTATGATGCATTAATTACAACTAATAATGATACGCTATTATCAACTAACGTCTATAGTTTATTTAGATTTTATTAATGTTTTTCTAATGTTCTTTTTCTGTTCCAGGGTCTCACTTAGGCTACCATATCACATGTAGTTGCCATATCTCTTTAGGCTTCTCTTGGCTGTAGTAGTTTCTCAGGCTTTCCTTCTTTTGGTGACCCTGACAGTTTTGAGAAGTTTTGCTCAGTCAGGTGTTTTGTAGGGTGTCCCTTATTGGAATTTATCTGATAGTTTTTCTCATGGTAAAAACTGGTTTATGGGTTATGAGAGTAAAACCACAGGGGTGAGGTACCCCTTTTCATCATGTTAAGTAAAGGATATGTAATATCATCATAACTTACTACCATTGCTGTTAAACTAGGTCGTCTGGCTCAGGAAGTGTTTGTTAGGTCTCCTCGCTATAAAGTTACTCATTTTTCCCTGCCCTCTTTTCTTAATACAGTGTTTGGAAATGACTATACATAACCCACACCTTCTTGGGGGTTATGCATTACCTTCTTGAGGGAAGAATATTTACATAAATTATTTGTAATGTTTCTGCCCAGGAGATTTGTCTGTTCTTCATTTCCTTCTATATTTAATCATTTATTTTTGCCAGTATTGATTCATGGATATTTATTTAATAGTTTGGATTATAATTCAGTACTACTTTATTTTACACTGTTGCTTAGATGGTTAACAGCTATGGCCATGGGAGACATTTTTATTTGGCTCCTGTTTCCCTTTAATATATCCCCATCACTGTCTTTTGGTTTTTGGGTTTTATTGAACACTTCTTTATTTTTTGGCACCGCAAGATACTCCAGGCTCATCTTCTGTATTCCCTACCCAAGTCTTAGAATAAACTGCTTCTCCAAGGAGCCCTGGTTCTTTTTATTGGAGACTGGTATTAGAAACCAAGAGCTGGGTGCTACGTGTACTTGCTGCTACTAGGGAATCATTGCTTCTATTTTCTCTCAATTGACAAGGTGAGAAATGTTTACTATGTATACTAGCCTGTTATATACATATCTACATATTGTACGTGTGTGTGTGTGTTACTATCTGCGTCTATAAGCTAAACATGAGTTTGTACTGATGTCTTCCATTCTAATGCACTAACACATGGATCATTGTAGCCACCTTCTCTTGCTTCTCTGTAAGCTCTCCAACAGTAGGAGACCTGGTTCCTAACATCCACCATTAATTTACTTAATGCCCACCTTCTATTTTTTTATGGCTTATCTTAGCTACCAAAATGTTTTTGGAGCTTGATCTGCCAGTTATCATTAATACTGAGAATTATTTCAAGGTCAATCTTACCACCAGGCTAATTAGTATGATGCCATAAAAAGTACAGATTTTAGAGTTGTCCTGTCCTGCTCAATTAGCTGTGTGACCTTAGTTTAGTTTCTTAACTTTCCTGAAGCTTAGTTTTTTGATTTGGGAAATGAGATTACAATAGAACCTTGGCAGGGTTTTGTGTTTATATTTACTGTGTTTATAAGCATGTTTATGTGCTGCTGGAAATGAGCCAGTAGAATATGAAAAAAAGTATAAACTAGAAGCAAGAGTAGCTGGTGGTTGGCAATCAAGCTCAGCATGTGAGTGGTGAAGCTGGCCTTCCAGAGGAATGAAGACATTGTTCCACCCATAGGATGCCAGTCAGCATGGCTTTCAATGGCTTTCCCAGCATGTTCAACTGCCCAGGGGCAGGCATGGCACAAGAGAGGGCTTATCCATGGGTGCTGTTTGGCCTGAGGTAAAAGAGAGAGGAGTGTAAGAAAGTTAAAGATGTTCGAAATGAAATTATTTTTTATGATGAATTATGAACTCTAACTGGTTGAAAGTGAATGTGAAGAAGTAATATTGTTGATGGGGAGTGAAAAAGTGGCAAGATGAATGGATTATATGTTTCATGGGGCCCATAGATTAGTGGTAATTGTTTTAGTAAAGAAAGTGAAGTGGAATTTCAGGTGATGGTGCAATAAGAGAAGACTGACTGGTATCTACATTATGAAGGTAGTGCAGTTTTCAGGGAAGATAGGACCTTTGGTATGGCCATGAGAATGAGTGGCTGGGAAATGATGAGAGTAAAGGTTTTTGGTCTGGAAGCAGTCAACAAAGAGCCCAGGATGTAGGACAGATTCTCCAGTAGAATGTTGACATTATGAAGAATGGGGACAGTAAGAAGTATGGCAAAGAAAATGGTAAGCCAGGACCGGACCTCTTCAGAGAAAGAAAGGGATCACTGGGAGGTCAATGGAGGAAACACAAGGAGGACAGTGAGTTATTCAGATTTGCAGGATGAACTTGAAATGAGCCAGGATTTTTGAAGAAGAACAAATGGTTTGGAGTGTTCCTGAGGTACTTGACCGTTCCCCACATCCCCCCCAAAAAAACCCCCAAGAGCAAGCAAACAAAAAAACATTACCCAATGAGAAGACTGCAAGGGAAGTAGTGTCCTCAGAGGATAGCCTGGCTTAGTCAGAGGAAGAAAAAGAAGGGGTTATTCAGAGAAGTGAAGGATATATGATGGTCAAGTACTGACAAAACCTCCAGTTGCAGAAACAACTGTGGAAATATTTGGGAGAATGGGAACTTGGTTCATGTTAGGAAATGTAGGGGACCTATATGTGGAGATTAGTGAGGGTGATAAGAGATGAGGTGGGACACTTGGGCTGAAGTAATCAGGGCCATGTGGAATGGTGGGATTGGTCCTAATGGGTTACAGGCACCCAGCTGGAAGATGTGGAAGAGGTTGGCCACTGGCTCACCCCCATGGGGTTCACTGGTTGCTCACTCAGGCAGGTTGTGGGGTGTATTGCTCTAGAAGGAGGGCCCTAAGCTTTGGGCAATGAAGTCTTTGTAGCTTCATCTGTGAAAAACAGGGAGCCTAATTACCAGTTAACCAGATTTAATGAAACATATGCATAGTACCAAATATTATTTGTACTACAGAGTAGATGCTCCCCAAAAAACTTACATCTCTTCCCTTTTTCTTGTTTGGCTGCAGGTAAATAAATGTCTTTGTGTCCAGTGACTTAGAACAACTAGCTCAACCTATGTATTCAATTTCTATAAAATTGGGTCCTTATTAAAACAAAAAAATATTCATATTAATTACTTATTGGTAATTCCAGTAGGGAGAAACATCCTTGAAAGAAAGTTTACAGTTGAACTCTTGATAGTCTGAAAACAACTGGAGCTGAAGTCCTCCAGGCATTTGTTATAAGTACCATATTTAATATTTTCATTCCCTATTGTATAATCATACACAGTGTTCATTATTTACAAATATTTGTGAATTAGCCTACTTACTATAAATTATCTGTACTCTCACTATCAAACTTGGGTGTTTTCACAGTTATTTGTAGGCATGTGCAGAGTGGTGAAAAATTTAAGGTACCCAACAATGTGTTTGTTCCCAGCTGAGGTCAAACGAGGTGATGCTCTGGCTTTTTGTTTCCATCTCTCATACTGTAAATAAATGTCCTTTTCCTGGTCTATTTAGTGCCACATGTTTTTCACTTTTATACTTTTTGTTGATGATTTTGCTGTTTAAAATGGCCTCCCAAGCATAGTACTGAAACACTGTCTTGTGTTTCTAAGTACAAGAAGGCTGTGATTTGCCTTCTGGAGAAAAGCATGTGTCAGGTAAGCTTAGTTCAGGCATGAGTTACAGAGCTGTTGCTGTGAGTTCAAGGTTAATGAATCAAATATATATATATATATATATATATATATATATATATATATATATATATATATAAAATTAGGCATCTTTAAACAGGAACACACATAATGCAACAGTGACATAAAACAAGGTATATAATGATCGGTTGACAAAAATATCATAACCGGAGACATGAAGATGCTTGACCCTGTATTTCCCTCCAAGTGATAGTTCAATATTTGCTAATTCAGTCTTTGCAGCACCTTTATAGACCATAACTGCTGCAAATAGCAAGAACTGGCTATAGTTGATAATGATTTCCTTTGAGGAGGATTCACTTACATTGCCTTTCATTGTCAAGAGATAATCTCAAGCCTCTTTGGTAAGTGGCCCAGGAGCATGGGACAGAGAGAGCAGAGTGAGAATTGCTCAGGGGTTTTTAGGACAGCTGAAAAAAATGATGATTTTCATTGAACAATGACTATTAATTGAGAATTAGGCCAGTGGGGTAGATCTAAGAGTACAAGTGTGCTTCCAACACATTTATTGAGTGCTTTCTCTGTGCCAGACTAGATCTTGGGATTATAGAAATGATGTGCACAGGTCTCTGCCCTGAAGGAGCTCATAGTTTTTCATCCTTCCCTCCTTCACAACCCCCAGCACATAAAGTATTGAGTGTGTGCTGGCCATTGCTGTAGTGCATTATACACATTTGTCCATTTAATCTGCAAAATGACCCTACGAGGAGGTACTATTACTGTTGTTATTTTTAGAGGAAGTCACTGAGGTCAGATAACTTGCCTGAATTCATTTGGTATGTGGAAGAACCAGGAATTGGGCCCAAACAGTGAAGCCAAGAATACTCAGGCCCTCAACCATGCATCTACACTGCCCTTTATGGCTGGGGAGACAGATGTGGAAACAAGACAAGAACAATTCCAAGTTGCAGGTGTTCTCTACTGGCAATGCACAGGGGGGCTGAGAAAGCCCGGAGGAGGAGCCCCAAAGCCAGTCACACCTCTGGAGGCTTCGACAGTAGTAGAAGAGAGAAGGCATGACCTAACGACCTCTCAGCAGAGGAGAGAAGGCTCAGAGACTCTGAGACTACCCAGACCCCCTGGAATCAGAGTTCTAAACCACAGCTGTACGTGGGCTGTCAGAGGCCCCATGAGGCCAGCCTTTAAGAAAACAAGCTTTTGTCAAAAAAGATAATCACTCTGGATGGCCTATCCCCACTGAGTGTGATTAAGCGCAGTTTCAATGTACTTTCCATCAGCATTGACTTTTAACAGTGATTCTCCTGCTGTTGATATGAAATAAAAGCCAGTTTTATCTGGAAAAAAGTAAAACCATCAGTGCTTTGAGTTTTCTTAGGTAAGGGCCAGATTTTCATCATTATTCCCACTCCCACACAGAGCTCCTGAAGAGGGAAGTTTGTAAGTCAGCAAGAATATTACATATCAAAGGGACACTCAGGGCTGGCGGCCTAGAAAAACTAGGCAGATAGAGGCATTTGTGTCAGTGTGAGTCTTCCTCTTGTGATATGATCCGATAAATTCAGAAAGCATCCCTGCACTGGGAAAATGAGGGTCTAGGGTTCTTGGATCCCTCACTGCATAGTTGTAGCTGGTGCAGACATCATCACTACATGGCCTCAGCTCAGCCAGCTAAGGACAGACCCACTGTGATTCGTGGGTGCCCTAACAAACCTTCCAGTACTGCACCTGACAGCCTTCAATAGCTCAACATCTGAAACAGAGGTGCTGGATTGCTGAGGGTGAATTCCCATATCCTGTGTCTGATCTCTCTCTGCACTCAGTATTGGCACACCCCCCATTATCCTGTGATTACCCTGATGGCTGGAGGGAATGGAGAGAAGATGCTATACCTTGAGTGGAAGCTCCAAAGTTCTTACCCATATAGGCGAATGAAACCAATAAAAAGCATAAATGAGCAGAAAATGAAACAAAGTAAAGCAACATTAGAAATCCCACAGGAACAGTGAGATCCAAAACAACAAAAGAAAACTTGAAAGAATTCATATTATAAGATAGTAGTGGTTGTCTTGATGTTCTTATAAAATTAAGATAGGATATTCCAATTTCCCTTTCAAGTTTAAGGAATGCCTTGCTTCACAGCCACATTATGTGAAGGCTTAAAGGACATTTCCAATTCTCAGCTACTGGAGAGCTATTCAAAGATGCATCACTGGTATTCTGTTTACCTATCTATTCCTAAAGCTCATCATTAGCTTTAAATAGGTTGTTCTGCCGCGAGTTGAAGCTGAATAAATGAAAAAATGTGCCTGAATTTCCACTGGTATGTTTTGGTTTCATCCACCTTGTCTATGCCAGGCATTAAACCTCAGAAAAACTATTGTTGGACTAATGGTCAAAACACAAAGATCTTGATTAGTCTAAGTGATCATGATCACAGGAAGTTTAAATAGAGACCCAAGCCGTGGGTCCATTGGTTGTTCCACCTGGCCATGGTGTTAATCAGCAATTTGTCCTTGGCTACATGGCAAGCACGAAAAGAGCTATGGCATTTTATGTGCCAACTCTGGTTGTTAGTTGTTGTCTGGAATGCTTTGTTAGAAAGAATGCTAAGGCTGAAATTGGCTCAGTAGAGGACAGTATCATGATCTGTTAGCAATGTCTGCCATGAGTGCTGGCAGAGAGAAATGGGACAAGTGAGACCTGTGTTTTTTATTCCTGGATTAAAGCTGCAAGATTTGGAAACCAGGTCTACCTGGGAATCCTTAGGTGGGTGAAGAATGGACCATGTTCCTCCCAGGTTCCCAGGCGGAGTATGTAGTTGGGAGAAAGTGTGTATCTTCCTGTTTGTTATACTGTGTTGGTCCCTCCTCTTAACCCACCAAGGTTTTGTGAGTTCCTATCATCCATTTAAAACCTCATATCTTTCCTTAAAAAGCAGAATGAGGAGAATGCAGCTTGAGGAGAAAATACAGAGAAATGAGATTTTGGAGCAAGCCCACTCTCTAAAACTACTCTGTAAGGTGTCTCTGATGTAGAATGCCTCTGTCCTAGTCTAACAGTCTCAGTCCACAAACTCCAATTCCTTGGTCTACTGCAAATCCCCAGGTTTCAGGGCAAGATGAAAGTCTATGGATATTGAAGGAACATTGAAGATTAGGGAGAAAAGCCAAACCTTGCCAAAGCAAAGAGAGAGATACAGGCAATAGCAATTACTGAAAGGACCTGAAAATAGGTGAACACATCTTTAGCCAAATAGGTATATAGTTATATTCTCAGAGACCGGGCTGTTTAAAACCACTGTGTTGCCTCTTTCAGACACAAGCCCAGAAGTTTTGCTGTGCCCCAGGCCAGGAGACAGGGAATCTTTGAAAATACAAGGGGAAAACCTCAGTGATTTCTAGTTTGGTTGGCCTGAGGGAGAGCTGTGCCATCTTTTTGCTACCTCAACATTACATTTGCACTGAAACTTGGAAAGGTGGGAACTGTGGTATGGCTCAGAACTCCAGCTTAGGAAGGATATAACTGTGAGCAGAAAAGCCTGGAGAGAATTCTCGGAAGACTGAATTCCTAGAAGGCACAGCTATTCTTGGACTCTGATTCTGTGAAATGATATTATACCCACATTGACATCCATTAGCTCCTGTTATATAAGCTTATCATTTATCTTTAAACACAGGCTACATAAAATGGGGAATGAATTGGAGGCAGAGGAAAAAAGGAGGGAAATACATTTAGTGCCAAGCTCTGAGCTTGGAGGCGAAAAGAGCTATCGGGGTGAACCGCTGGCTGCCCTCACATAGCCTACTGCCTAGTAATAGTAGTCTCATAAGTGCACAGATGACTCTGAGACCCAATAAGAAGGTTCTGAGAAGGACTCTGGGCCTTCAGAAGAGGGAGGAATCATCCAGCAGAGGGCTGGGCCAGGAGTACGTAGAGAAAGGAGCAGTGGATGTGTGTGCATGCATTCTTTCACTCAGCCCTTTTACCAATCATTCGTCCAGCAGTACAACACCCCCTGTTGGGCTGGGGACATAGAAGTGACTGAAGCTCAGTCTTTCCTCTGAGGAAGTTCAGGAAGATCTGTAGCAGGAGCTTGCCTATGGAAAAACATATACACTTTATAGTGTTATGGGTGCTATAATAGATCTGATGTGCAAGGACACAGGCAGGCAGGACTGGGTGTTGTGAGCTTTCATGTGGCACTCTGGGGCACATTAGAAAATGATAGCTTTCCCAGGCAAAACATCACTCACAAAAATTTGGCTTGACAAACAGAGGTGTCATTGTGCAAATTAGGAGAAGAGGTTCCATTCTCCTTCCTGGCTAACTCAGTATCCAGCCACAGTGCTGACTTAGCTAGTGAAGCACTGGAGTGTCCAGTGTCCTTGTGCAGGGTGCAACCTGCACAACTGTACATGGTATAGTTGGCAGTGGGCAGTGGCAGTATATAATCTGTGTCCTGGCTTTGATGCTGTACAACATTACGCAACCCACTTGCCCTCTCAGAGTCTCATTTCCTCTGTGTACAGGATAGAAACTATAAGGCACCTACCTTGATTGCTGTGATCGGCAATCAAATGAGATAATGTAGGTAGTGGTGTTCTGGGCCCTGGAAGGCTCTATATAGAAGTTAAATATTGTTATTCAGTAGAGATTTGTTTATTAATTGATCAGGGACGTCTTGAATAAATCTCCTAGTGAGTTAACATTCCATAGTGCCTCTTGTCTTCTTGCTTCTCTCACATCTACCTTTTACCATCAGCCACACCAAGTCATAGGCTTACTCCTTATTTACTGAGAGACTCCTTGTTTTCAGAACTTTAGTTAAGAGGAAGATTTTCCATGGATACAAGTTGGAACTTAATAGTATCCTTTGGGTGGTACCTTGCTCAGTTTCTTGCAAAACAGGATTTTCTTTAAGAGGACATAGAAAATAAACACTCAAGAAGTGTTTGTCCCCAATAGCTTTATTGGAAAACATTATTGGGCCAAATGAACCGAGCTGAACATTTGCATTAATTAAATTGACCATAAACCCAGCTTAATGTTTCATTTCACCTTTCTCCTGGCACGATGGTGCCTGAGTGTTTTGGAACTCAGATACATACCTGCTGGCAGGGATGGCTGAGAGTTCAGCGACAATCAATGTTTGTAATCAAAGAAGATTAGACTTGGTATTAATTAACAGAAATCTAATGCTCAACACAAATGTGGGACAGAGAGGGCCAAGCCTGTGGCACATTGGTAGAACTGGAGGTAATTAAACAGCCCCTTCTGGAAAGAAAAGCTTTCGATATTATTGAGTGAACTCTGTGTGCATAGCCCCACTTCTTGAACCGATGGGGGACCACATTATTTATAGGAAGTTATAGGAAGTTGGGACTGTGTGAGATGTAGCTCCTAAACTGCACCTACAGGGTACTTCTGACCCCAGGGGATTTTGAAGGAGTATTGAGAGAGGGATTACTCCAAGGTTCAAATCCCAGCTCCATTATTCACTAGCTGTCTGATCCCACCTAAGTTGTATAACCTCTCTGAAGCTTTCTCATTTGGAAAATGACAATCATAACTACACTTATCTCAGAGAGGTTTTGTGAGGATTTGATGAGGTTTTGTGAGGATTTGATGGTAGAGAAAGAAAACAAGAAAGAGGAAAAGCGGGCCAGTTTCTTGAGCAAATGTTTGCTGGGCTCCCATCTTTAAAGACAGGGCTACATTTAAGCCTCAAAGCCAATATATGTAGTACATGCTATTAAGCCCATTTTGATGAATGAACATGCTGAGGAAATTTCCTAGTGAATGAGGATGTGATGGCTACCATTAATTGGAGTACTAACTATGTGTCCACTAACGGCTCCTCATTCATTGCCTCTTACCTGTGATACTTGGAACCTCCTAACACAGGTGAGGAGATGTACACTCAAAGAAGTCAAGTGATATGTGAGAACCCAGGATGGAGGTGGACTCACACCCATATGCACCTGGCCCCAGAGCCTGGGTTCCACCACACTCTGCCATGTGTTCATTTGCCTGGGTGTGTCTGTGGGAGACAGGATGCTTTGTCAACCACTTTGTCAGCCACTTTTGTAACAAATGAGACAGGGTCCCTGGTTGGGAGGTGTCTGCCGTCCGGTTGTTAGGGAAGAATTTACAAGCCTGAAACAAGCTAAGAATGGAAAACCACATGTCACCTGGCCGCAACTCTAGTGCCTCCCATCCAGATGACTCACACATTGGACCAGTAAGAACATGAATCCTCTATATGAGCCTGGTTGTGTGTAGACAGGAGGATGGGGGAAGAGGGCTGTGGATGCTAGGGTGGTAGCAGGTTCACCTTATAGGTCTGTGGATCTACAATTGGTAACTGTGGTCCAGGAAGTGGCAAGTGCCACAAGGACACTCAGCATTTCTGGCGAATTTCCTCACACCCACAGAAGTATTGGAGCTTTATTCTCTCTTGAAAAGCATATGAATTTTACCTAGTCGCTGGTAGCAGAACTCCGGTACCTGTAGTCCAGAGCAGTCTGTGGCCCCAAGGGAAGACTTGCAGCTCCCTCCCTATCATCATGCTTCTCCAACAGACCTGGGAAGGTGTCTGCATTTGACCTCTCATTCTAGCATGGAGACAATTTAGCACCATTGGATAGTCTTGCAACAGAGTAATTTAAGAGGGATTACTCCCAAACATCCTCCTGCTAGATAATTCTTTAGCGGCGTCTCTGGGTGATTTCCTTCCCGGGGAGCCACATAATCACTTTGCACTGGCTCACCAAACAGCTGATGGCTCGGTGCATCATTGCTCCCCAGTCAAATGGATTTAGAGCACCATTGCATTCGGTGACCATTCATCTCAAAATCTCTTGGAGGTCACCTCTGCTCACCAGGGTCCCAGACACATGAGATGGCAGAAGCCCAAATGCCAGCTCGTGTTCAAGCAGGAAAGGGCAAGTGGCAGATTATTTGGTGTGCCTCTGTTAGCCCACCTCCCCTCCAGGCTAATTACTTATGCTACTGAAAAGTGTCTCAGTCTGTTTAGCTGTTATAACAATGTTACCGAACACTGGGATTACCCCAGTGTATTATGTACATGGCAAATATTTCTGTTTGTAATGACAGAAATTTATTTCCCACAGTTCTGGAGGCCAGGAAGTCCAAGATCAAGGTGCCAGCGTTTCAGTGTCTGGTGAGGGCCCATTTCTTATAGATGGCACCTGCTGTGTATTCTCATGTGGTGGAAGAAGAAAAGGGACTGACAACCTCCCTCAGGCCTCTTTCATAAGGGCACTAATCCCATTCAGAAGGACCCCCCTCTTATGACATAATCACTTCCCAGTGGCCCCACCTTCTAATACCATAACCCTGGTGATTAGCTTTCAATGCATGAATTTTAGAGGGACAGAAACATTCAGACCATAGCAAAAAGACTATGTGTTCATTAGCACATGAAGCTGCTTCTGGACTCAACTAGTTTTAAAAACAAGGAAAGCTCGTGAAAGTCACACGCTACATGTGCTTGTATAATGCAGACACCAGATGTGTAGGTTCTCAGCTAATGTGCAAAATGTGTTGGCTTAAGCCGATGAACACTGAGCTTCTATGATAGAAGTACAAACAGAACCCAATTCTGAATTCTTTAACTTCCTGTCCTATTCTTTCTCAGTTGTGATAATAGCGGTGTTTAGAGCAGCTACCAGGGCAGTTTCTCAAAATGAATGCCGTTAACTTTCTGCCATTCTGGAATTGGTGTGTGTGTGTCAAGAAGGGGCAATACAAGAAAGAAGCTGGATAAAGGACAACCTTCTCTATTTTTATTTTGCTCGTGTCTAGATTCCTAGAAGATCATGTAGGGATATTGGGGGAAAAAACAGTTTTTGAACAACCTAGATCTAGGCTCACAGCCTAGCTCCTCCAAAACTGGCTGAATGGCCTTGGGCAAGTTACCTATGATTGCTGGCTGCCGTTTGTTCCTCTTTTATGCCAGACACAGAGTAACCATGCAATCTATGGCCATATGCTGTGAATAAAGTCAGCAATTGATATCTCACAGTGTAAATATGAAGACAAATAGATTATATAGGAAAGAGTGTGCCTAGAATACAATAGCCAATCAGTAAGGTTATAATAATTAGAATGACTGGTCGGGTGTGGTGGCCCATGCCTGTAATCCCAGCACTTTGGGAGGCCAAGGTGGGTGGATCACCTGAGGATGGGAGTTCGAGACCAGCCTGGCCAACATGCCAAAATCCTGTCTGTACTAAAAAAATGCAAAAATTAACTGGGTATGGTGGTGCACACCTGTTATCCCAGCTATTTGGGAGGCTGAGGCAGGAGAATCACTTGAACCCAGGAGGTAGAGGTTGCAGTGAGCCGAGTTTGTGCCACTGCTCTCCAGCGTGGGTGACAGAGCAAGACCCTGTCTTCAAAAATAATAATAATAATCATTAGAATGACTATTTAAACTTTAATATTCAGTATTTTACACCTCATTGTATTGATTACTAGATGGGAAAATCATGAAATCTTTAAGGAAGGTTGTGATTGGCAATGTTCCTTTCAGTCCTGGCTTAGTTTTGAAATATGTGAAGGAAGTAGCTCTTGCAGTGATTATTATTTTGGGTTTCAGATTCCCCATCCCCATGTCCTCTTTGCCGCTGTCACTCAGTGATCATTTGATATATTCAGAGTCAGACAAAGAAGCACCCAAGAGGAGGGAAGCATCTTCTTCACATTTTTAGGGCAAACTTACTAAAGAGTGACTTTACCTTTGAAGTCAGACTCACCCTAGGAATAAAAAACTTTTATTCCTGTGGGTTGGAAGATATACTCATTTCCCTCTTCTTAAAAACATTCATTATCACAACACATACCGGAACCTGTCGGGGGGTGGGGGGCAAGGGCAGGGAGAGCATTAGGACAAATACCTAATGCATGCAGGGCTTAAAACCTAGATGATGGGTTGATAGTTGCAGCAAACCACCATGGCACATGTATACCTACATAACAAACTTGCACACTCTGCACATGTATCTGGAACTTAAAGTAAAATAAGAATATATATATTTACCATCCACCATGCTGCAAGATGCTTTTCCCATGTTCAGTTGCTTCTCACAACAATGTTAGAGCTGAAGAAATGAAAGCTTCACAGCTACATGTGGCCTCAGGATGACTTCAGAAATTATATTTTTCTTTATCACATATGAATAGGGATAATAATAATCAGGTGCAGAGGAACATCTGTATAAGCCATTGTGTGGTTAAGTGAACCACCGTGTCAGAGCCCCAAGGCCTGGTATAGAGTTGGTGCCTAAATGGATGCTAGTTTTTGATTGTCCTCTCCTAAAACCCAGCAAGGGCCTCCTCGTCAGCCAACAGAAGCAATTCCTCAGGGTAACTCGCCCACTCTACTGACTCATAGTGGTGGATGTCAGAGCATTGGGAAAGCCTTCAAAAAGTTGAATCCTAATAATTTAGTCATAGGAAGGCACTTTGTAGTTGATCAGTTCATATCACTACAAAGAATGTCCTTACCTACTATGGCTCTTTGGGGACCTGGCTCAATTTCAAAGGGGACAGGACTGGAGCAGCTCACAAAACAACAGGGGATGTTTGATAGTTGAACGCACAGAGCCACAGGAATGTGACCATCATCCTCCTCAGGTGACATATGTTAAGCAAAGGTTACAGCTCAGCCTCCTCCCGGCTCCAGGGAAAGAGCCAGGAAGAGCCTGCCTGCTGCACATGATAACCTCTGAGACAGTGTCCTGGGAGACTTGGCATGGTAACATTGATCTTACCACACAGGGCTTGGTGCCTTTTGGCTCCTCCCATGTGCCCCTCATGGGAGGGTCAGAATGAACCATACATCTACTAAGGAAAGGCCACATGGGTTAACACTCTGCTTCCTAGATAAGAAAGTATGACAGAGTGACAGAGAGCTCTGGCATTGCTTATCCTGAGTGCCTGGGAAGAGCTCTGACTGAGGACAACCTTGACAACAGACCCCTGCTGCTTATGAGGGAGGCTGGACCAGCTCCCCAAAATCTGATGGAAGCCACCCCAACTCTGTCCATTCAGCTAATCTTGATGTTAATTATTTGTTTAAATTGGCCCCGTTTTATTTTGTAAAGTTGCCAACCATGAGCCAGCATCTTCAGACAGTAATAGAACAAAAAGGTAGGAAGAGTTATGTTCACCTGCTCTGAAAATCCTGGATGTCCGGGGCACTGGGAGAATTGAGACAGGGCAGGTCATCAGGCATGTTGTCCACCAGGTCCAGGGATGGCGCACAGAGTGGGCAGTTTCCCAGCATTAGTGTAAGTAGCATCTTGAGAGAGGGAAGTGTATCTCTCTACAAGGAGGTAAGTCAGAGGTCTGGGCTCGAGAGGCAGTGGTCTCATCAGATGTGAAGAAAGAGGAAAGGCTGTCAAGGGTAAAGGCATCACAGGATCAGAGAGAAAAATAACAGGCACAGATCACAAAGCAGAGAGCAAGCGGGTCAGAATTTAAGCTGGGAAATCAGGAAATATTCCAGACACTTTGCTTCTGTGCAACAGCCACTTCTGGCGAGCATGGAGGCAGGGAACAGGGTGGGCTCCTGTGGCTTTAGTCCTCAGTGTTCATCACCTAGTCTCTTCTTTGGAAGACAGCTTTTGGGATCCTGGAATGGCTTTGTCTGTAGTTGAAGAGATGGAAGCATCTGGATATCTATGCATCCAACCCTGGGGCAGCCCTTAACCAATGACTGTCCAGTGAAGAAGCATGGAAATCCAGTTTCCTAGCCTCAGATCGGGGCAACTCCGAGATTTAACTTACATGCCAGATATCCCCTGCAGGACCAGGCTGAAGCCACCTTCCACAGAACTCCACCTGAAATCACATCCTTGTTTGACTTCCTCTTTTCCCTGTCCCAAAAACCCTTCCTTACAGGTACCCCTTGGGAGGAGTTTTTTTTTTTAAGTGAGGAGGTCTCACTGTGGCACCCAGGCTGGATTGCAGCAGCACACTCAGAGCTCACTGCAGACTTCAACTCCTGGGCTGAAGTGATCCTCCTGCCTTCCTGCCTCAGCCTCCTGAGTAGCTGAAACTACAGGCACCCAGCTTTTAAAATTATTATTATTTGTAGGGATGGGGTCTTGCTATGTTGCCCAGGCTGGTCCTGAACTCCTGGCTTCAAGCAATCCTCCCACCTTGGCCTCCCAAAATGCTGGGATTACAGGCATGAGTCACCCACTCAGCCAGGATTTCTTAATGAATCACATTTACAAGAACCTGCATCTCAGGGTCTTCTGCTAGGAAGCCCCACATAAGAAGCCACCTGACTCTCTACCCATGCTGGTTCATCACTGCAAAAGCGGGTTCTGAGCTCCTGCTGTGTGCTCTGGGTAGCTGTCACCACAGTGCTCAGGTCTCACTCCCTTGACACTCACCTCCAGCTAGGAAAGCAGCAGAGTAACTACACAAGCCATGGAGAGTAAGTACAAAAGGGTACAGACAATTAATGGAAAGACTGAGGTCAATGTGGACTGTGATGGTTGGTGAGGGCTTCCTGAATGTTACAGGGTTATGCTTGATCTTGAAGGGTAGGAGTTAGACCAAGGGAGGATTGTAAGCAGGGGCATAGGGTGAACACAGATACAAAAGCAGTGACCAGGTGACTAGCACTGGGGCACTAGTGACCAGCAAAGAGGGAAGTCCTGCTGCCTGGGCTTTAACATGGTTTGAATAGAGAACCTGGATATAAGCTGCAGAGACCTTGAAAGGGTGGCCTTTCAATTTCCACCCAGAGAGCAAAGAATGCACCTTTCTTCTCCCCATGAGGTGTAGCTCCATGGGCATGGGAACAGTGGAAGATGTGAAAGGTAGAGGCTGTTGCTAGTGTCTGGAGAACCAGCCAACTGACAACACCTTGCCCATTCACAGGTAACTGAGAATGCATATGTATCCCCTTGGCATGCCCAGTTTGAAGGCCCTGAGAGTCCATTTAACTTCCAGAAAGCAGTCTTTCCTTTGCTGTTTTCATTTCCATACCCTCTTGGCTCACCTTAGAGCCCACACCCTTCACGGCTCAGTTATGAGTAAGGGTCTAGTGTAAAGAGAAGGAGTAGAGGAAAGGCAGCCACCATGTGGCCAAGTACTATCTGAGTCTGGCTTTCTCTTGAGACTAGGAATTGAGTGTAGGTGTTTTATTTAGAAGGTAACCCCAGGAAGCTCCCACACAGGAGAACACAAAATAGGGAAAAGAGAAAAGCCAACCAATGGTACAGTCATGAACAGGTTACTGCTGTGGGTATCTGGGCTCCATTTCACTGGGGACCCTGTGAGGTATAATTAGGGTGACTATCCTGCTTTGCCTAGACTGATTATTTAGCATCAAAAGTCCCACATCCTGGGAATATCCTCAGTCCTTGGAAAACTAGTATGGTTGGTCTCCAGTATCACATAGAACGTGTATCAAAGGATGGGGGAAGTCAAAGTATTTGTGGACTTCTATTCCTCATTAGTTGAGTGTGGCCTCTAGAGGTCAGCACTCTGGGCTGCCTTTCACAAGCTATTATGGCACTTAAGAAAGCCTGTAGGCAGAGAAGCAGGGAGAGGCAGGCCCTTGAGGTAAGAAGCCATCAGCATACACAGGAACAGTCCATACAGTTGCAGACGTGGGCTGAGGCCAGCAGAATCAGTGTGCAAGCAGGATTAGAGTAGTCTGAGGGGGCTCATGCCTAAGCTCCTCCATGTAATTTGTATTCAAGACTGAGCACGCTAAATTGGATTACAGTAAGTCATAGATGCCTGGACAACTGTGGCCTGAATTTATGAGGAAAAAGAAGTAGGGCCAGATATGGTTATGTCTGTTATGAGTACCTGTGATTCTTGAGGTGCTTTGTATATGCTAACCATTTCATTGTCTGTGGAACTCTTCAAGGAGGGGATGATGAGATAAATTGCAGGTCTGAGGAGCTGAGTTACTTCCCCTAAGGTCCCTGGCTTTGTTTCTGCTGGAGAGGTCTGTCCAGCCTCAAAGCCCATGCTCCTTGCTTTTCACATGCTGCCTCCAGTTACCTATTTATCCTCCAGCTATCTCCAGTTGCACTGGGCCTGAGACAGATTCCTTCTGAATAGTTCTGCAGATGACTGCTCCAAAGAGAGGCTATTGAAAGCCATCCTAGAATTTACTTAGCAATAGCTCACCTTGAAAAATAACAAGGTTAAGTCTGAAGAATCTTCTATTCAATTCTGTTGTAATTAAGAGAACTTTTCTGCACTGCATGCTGCATAATTGAATTATACCAACGATTAATTTTTTTAAATAATTATTTGTAGATTTGTTTCCCCTACCAGTGCACTTAAAAAAAAATATACTTTGCCACTTAATAAAGCAGATAGATGCTGTAGGAGAGACAGTGGAGGAGATATTGTTTGCGCTGGGTGGTTCCATCATTACTATTGATTGCACAGTCTTATTATTCACCTCAAAGACACTACAATTAATAGAAATGGAAATGAAGGAATATCCATGTTCTGTGATGCTTTATTCCAAGAGGAAATAAACAATACATGTAGACAAGTAATAATTCTTTGTTGGCTGTGACAGCAGTGCTTTCAGAAGAAGGATTAACCTGCATCTTAAACAGGCAGCCCAGGTTCTTTCTGCCAATTCCGAGAGATATTCTCCTTAAAGACCGGCTGTCAGTCAGAGGCTCACCCCACTGAAGACCTAGCTGCCCCCTGAAGTGTCACAGGCCCGCAGAATCAGTGTGCAAGCAGGATTAGAGTAGTCTGAGGGGGCTTACGCCTAAACTCCTCTATGTACTTTGTATTCAAGACTGAGCACTCAAAATTGGATTACAGTAAGTCATAGTTGCCTGGACAATTGTGGCCTGAATTTATGAGGAAAAAGAAGTAGGGCCAGAACCAGCTGGTCCTCAGGGTGTTATTCTGAGGTATGCATGGTCCTCACACAGGGCCCCGCCTCTTTTCTACCCTTCTTTCCCAGTGCTTTTTGCTATTTTTCTCCAGGGCTCAACACTTGAGCGAGCGGGTCCCCACTACTCTTTACAGCTTCTCTCAGGCTTCCCCTTTGCCTGTGAAGCACTTTCTCTCCTTTTCCCAGGCTCATGGCTGCTCACCCTTCAGAATTTAGCCTTCCAGTAACTCCAGCCCTCCTCCTTCTGGCCTCCTTTCATGGTTCAGCCTACAAGGCTATGTCACCAGCAGACAATGAATTCTGCAAGGATGAGCACTGTGCGGCTTCATTACATCCCCTGGGCCAGTCCTGGAGGGGAAGATGGCACAGATTAGTGCCAGGAACTGTCTTTTGACTGGAATAAACTAAAGCAAGCTTGTGCAACTCGCACATCACAGTTACCTCTTTGCCAGTTCCCTTAAAGGTGTTTTGTTTTGTTTTTTAGAGACAGGGTCTCACTCTGCTGCCCAGACTGGAGTGCAGTGGTGCACTACAGCTCACTGCAGCCTCTACCTCCTGGGCTGAAGCGATCTTCCCACCTCATCCTTCTGAGTAGCTGAGACTACAAGTGCCTGCCACTATGCCTGGCTAATGGTTTTAATTTTTTCTAGAGACAGGGTCTCACTATGTTTCCTGGACTGGTCTTGACTCCTGAGCTTGAGGAATCCTTCTGCCTTAGCCTCTCCAAACTCTGGGAATACAGGCATGAGCCACCATGCCTGCTCTCCATTCTTCTGATTTGTATCACCATTGACCAGCTTTGCCTACTCTAGTACTATATATAAATAGAATCATGCAGCAAGTATATTTGTGTCTGGCTTCTTTCCCTCAACATTATGCCTATGAGATCCATCCCATTGGCTTCTATGTACTCTGTACTCATCCTATGCAGGACTTCCCTATTCAGATATCCACTGAGAGAGCCTTTCCTTGTGAAGATAGAGAAAAGCCCAGGGCTGCAGGCAGAGCTCCCACTGGCTGTTGAGGGCTCTGTGGCTCAGCATCCGAATTCAGCACATCTGGACAGTGTCCAAGTCCATGCTGGGTGACCAAGGATCCTTCTAGGGATGTGGTTCAGGCCCACAAGTTGAAGGTGCTGCATGCCTTGATTCATTGAAAAAAGACAGCCTGAGGTATGCTGCCAAAAGGTGTTACATTGAGCTAGGAGATAAATGGAGGAGGAAGGAATTGTCAGTGGTGGCTATGAGCAGATGGCTATGTTCTTGAAACCCCTGATTTGCTCTGCCAAGTGACCAGTCTGATGTAGTCTGCCTTTCTGATCACTGCAGTAATGCAGCTGTGTCTCTGCTCAGGCCCTAACAGGGAGAAATCTGGAAAGTAGGTGACGTCTGCTTAACTGTGGTGGATGAGCCCCTCAAGGTCAGCAGCCCGCCTTCTATGTCTCTGTGTCCCTGGCACCTGTCAGTAAAGTTACTGCCAAATGAAAAATAAAGAAAGAAAGAAATGGGCCAATAGCTCCTATTGGCATTCCTTTGCTCCTTCAAAATAGCCTTGTCCAAGATGATGATCAGGGAGAATTAGACCTCCTTCTCATGCTGTCCTGGGGTTTCTACACCCATTGGCATCCACTTGATCTGTCCCAGAGTGTAGCACAACCTTGCAGGTGCACAATAAGCCATCACCTGGTGGCTAAAGCAGTCCCTTGGTGGCTCGCTCCACTCTCTTGTCAGTCCCCAGCCAGTCCATTTCATCCCTTAGCTAGGGACCCTGTTTTGTTCAACTCTTTGCTTACAGCCCTGGTGCGGGGCCTGGGCCAGACAAGAGAAGCTCAGTGAAGAGTGAGAGTGTCAAACTGAAATATTCATGCTCCCTCTGAAATAAAGGGAGTTTTAGGGAAGGAAGAAGAAATGTGCAAAGTAGACTACATTCTGAGATTCTGGGATCTTACATAATAATATGTGTGCAAAAAGAAGTAAATATTACCATTTCAATATCCATGTTCTCTCCCGTACCCCTGACCCATTAGTAGGATGCTGACTCTGTCATTTCGGATCCTGGGTCTTTTTTGTGCAGAATCATGGTAATGAGTAAGTGGGAAAATGGAAGGGAAGAAAATCTGGCTAGATTTATTTGCATTGAAATAGACATAAAATTACTGGTAGAAGAGAGTAGGAGATATCCAGAAGGTAGAAGGAGAAAGGGCAGCAAGAGGCAGCTAGGACTAGTTTGAGGAGAATTCTTCACACTTCGGACAGTGAGGAAAGCAATTGGGAAGCAGCTCCCATGCCTATAAGGAACTGAGAAAGATAAAGAATGATAAGGACATTTTGCTGTGCATTAAGAATGAACTCTCCCTTGAAGCTTGAATTTCTGCTTAGTTGCTTGGCTGTAGAACTAGAGCTTCTTACAGTGTGCCATGATGCAAGATGGGGCCATGGAACAGGCTGGCTTTATGTACACTTCACTTGCAATTATGCACCAGCCAAGTGGTAGACGCACAGGTGTAGGTGCACAGGGCACTGGGGAAGGTGGGAGAGAGAGGGCTGCTTTGGAGGAACTTGAAGAACTTGCCTGGGGTCAGCCTGGGACTTTGTAAAATAAGGACTTTTGTACACTAAATTGGACCTGGGATGGCAAATAACCTTTATCTAAAAGTCAATTCAGATTAGTTGGTTGAATCTTCCCAGGGTGCTGTATTGAGAAGGATTTGAGGTAGGATCAAGGATCAGTAAGAGAAAAATAGCATGATTCACATAATTAGCAATATCTGTCCTGGATGTCTTAGAAGAGTGGCCATGGTTGAGTTTCTCAAAGTTTCCTTTCAAATGTACAGGTCTAAATGGGAGTGTGAGTCCATGTGTGTGACAGCCTCCCAGCAGGGGAGATGGCACATCATTACCTATTAAAATCTCATTCAAAGCAAGATGGCACATCACTACCTATTAAAATCTCATTCAATCAGCCCTAGAATACAATATAAATGAATTATTTTCATTTTAACAGATATTTACTTAGTGTCTAAGATGTGGTAGGTATGGTGGGAGATAACAGGAAGGAATGTTCCTGCCCTCAGTGAGCTCATGGACTTTGAGGCTCTTTCAGAAATGAAAACAAAAGCAAAAACAAAAAAATATTAGCTCACCCTTATCTCATCACCTGTGGGGCAGCTGGTACCTGGGAAAGTGTATCCAGATGGCTTCTCACTTATGGTGGAGCAGGACTGAGTTCCGTGGTCACTGCTATTTTGCCTGTGTCTTTTAATCCAGAAACACGTAGAGGAAGGGAAAAAAGCCCTTCTAGTTACCTAATTACCTAACTCTGGGAGATGTTTCCAGGATCTCATTCATAGTGCACTGGCTGAGATTTTATGGATTTAAAAATCTTCATGTCTGTTCTTCAACCCACAGCTGATTAGAAGCATCAAGTTTTGAGATGGGAGGTGGGGAGTGGATAATTTTAGAGGGAGTCTTCTGATTGAAATTAATAATAAAACTGTCAGAGAGAGAGCGAGAGAGAGAGAGAGAGGAGCCTGAAAACCATGTGAAACCAATGAAAGTCCAGCCTTAAGGGTGCTGTCTGGCTGGCTTGACTACCTGCCCTCCAGGCACAAGCTGCTTTAGCTGCTCTATCGGATTAGTTAACTGGTCCAAAGAGGACCAGGACACAGGGGCAGAGATATTTTCTGAAGGAGTCAGGCAATTGGCCACACTAATCCCAATGAAATAAAATGTAATAGTGACATTATTTGGGGCACTAGACATACCAGCCCAAAACTGTATGTGTTTGTGTGTGTATAGGGTAGATAGGTACCTTGAACCTATGAGGTACACTTACATGATGTTCTGTTTACATGATGCTCTGCTTACTTACACTATGTCTCTGCTTACACTGCTTACATGATGTTCTGCTCAGTCCATGAGCCAGCTCTGAATGGTTTATTCTTACAAAATAGCTTGGCTTTGATGCTTCCTGGAATTCCACTCTCAACTTCTCAGGGAGGCACAATTTGATGGGGGAAGAACTGCTAAACTAGGTTCTTAACCCACATTCCCTTTAAGCCTCACAAAAGGAGGTTCAATCCCAAGTGGTACAGGTGCAGAGAGGTGACACCATGTTTGAGTGGGCCTGGAGGGTCTGGAGTGTGACCAAGAGCATGAGGCGCCCAGAAAACAGCTGCCACCTTTCCCTTCAGTTTACTGCTGCATATAGAAGAAAGACCTGGTGAGGCAGAGCTTCAGATTATCCAATAAGCTGAAAATAAGAGCTTTCTGTGAAGTCTGCCAAAAATATTGGCAGCTAATTCAGTATTTTTAAAACACTCTATAAACCAAAGAAACTTGTCTGTGACTTTCTTTTTTTGGTCCAAGGATTCCTCCCATATTTGTCACATCATGTGTGATCTTCTTGGAGGGTACTATTATCCTGTGTACACCAAGAAAACCAACTTATAGAGTGGCCTGGTAATTTGCCAAAGGTGCCAGAGCTGGTGGCCAGAGAAACTGAGTTTTGAAGCTAGGTCTCAATTCAAAAATGACTCAGATTTCTCTCACTGTGCTGTTGTACAGTATGTGCATTACTTTAAAAGTTATGAGAGTATCTGGACTTTTCCCACTTGCAACCCATTCTGGCTAAGCTGAGCAAGGGACTTTTCCATCGCAAAAGATCCCTTCAACCTTCAACTGCTGTTTCCAGAGGAAAAGTGGGTCCTCAGGATGGCTTTCTCAACTAAAATTGAGCTGTTGTATCTCACCAGTGATATCCAGGGGCTGCTCATGGAGCTGGGAATGAGGTACAATCCCTAAATCATGTTGTTCAGAGTTCCTATTTTCCAATTGTAAGCAGACATTTATCCCTTTGGAATTTCTCTTTTAAAAAAATAATAGAAATACTTTATAATATACAAGGTTCTAGAGACTAATATGGCAAACTTTGTTTTCCTGTTACTCAGCTTAGTAAATAAAGCATCACTAGTTCAGGTGAAGCCCTATGTGCCCCTCTAACCAAATTTTCCATAGGTATTAATCAGATGAAATTTGGTATTTATTATTTCCATATATACCTTCATCTTTCTGAGGGCCAAAGTCGTACTTTTTCAGGTTGTACACATGCCTGCACACACTAGTACACCTGTGCAATCACGTTTGTGCACCAGAATATAGGGACCAGAACAGGTGATTCATGCTTCCCTTTTATCCTGTAAACTGAGCCTGTGGAGTCAGTAAAGCTGATTGTATTACCCTTGCTTTATGGAGGGGGAATATGGACTTCATGAGGGGTTAGGGGATGGGCACGAGGTCACCCAGATGGTGGCAGAGCCACACTGGTACCCTGGACTCCTCCTCTTGCCTCTAGGACATATTCTTCTTCCCAGGTCTCAGGGTCTTGGCTATTATTTCCTAAGTAGTGTTCAGTTACAGAGAAAGATGAATGAGTCCAAACAGAAAGCCTTTCCTCCTCAGACTGAAAATATCAAGCATCAGTTGGAATTTGTTTTTCCAATTTATTTAATGCACTCTTTTTTCCCCTTCTCTCATTAATTGATAATGTTCTCTGCTCAATCAGTTTCTTTGATTGCTTCTCCCCTTTAAAGCTTGGGGCCAGGAACTGGGTGTGTGGCATTTAAGTTATGACTTGTTTAGGAAATTGATATTGGCATTTTCTGCATGACTTGCCTTTCTTCAGTGAGTTACTTTGCTCTAATTCTCTGTTAGAAGCTCCAACTGTAAAGGAGGAACAGGCTAATTAAAAATTGGAAGCTGGTAAATTTCACCTTGAGCAGCTAGTATGTGCTTTTGGCAAGAATTGATGCAATTATTGATCAAATAAAATTGTCATCCAAAAGAACAGTTTTTATTTTAAGAGAAGGCAGCAAGATACTCACTGTTGAAATAAACCTTTATTCCAAAGATACAGCAATGACATGTGAAATCCAGGTAGGATTTTATCAAAATAAGAATTTCCTATATTTTAAAATCTAAATTCTATTATTTTTTTTAAAAAATACAAGAACAAATTGGGTTTCTAATTTATTTCTGGACTAAAAAGCACTGTGCTGGGACTGCCATAATTGCTTGTTAAATTGAACTGAATTGAAAAGATGTCAAAACACCATCACCCTTAGCCAGTCTTTAAGGTACAACAGCCAATTGTAGAGGTGTTCCACATATATAATGTTCATGGAGTCGCAAAGAAAATGTAAGAGTGACTTTTTTTCCTAAGAAAATCACATTATTCACAAACCGCAGGGGGTTGCGGAGATCAAGTCCTTGAATCAGGCCTGTGTTGCATTGTGGATTTCCTAGCTCAAGAGCCACTCCATCAGGATGTGCCCAGCCTCAGGTGCCTATTTTCTGAGGAAAGAAAAGCTCCAGCAGCACAAATCCTCTCTCAAAGTCAGTGCAAACCTCTGAGTGAAACAGCTCCTTCCAAAGGCTTTGTTCCCTGTTAATCTTCAAGTTACATTTGTCTATGTGAAGACTCCCTCTGTCAAAAGCCTGCATTTGCTGGGTTGGCAGAAACCTCTGCATGTCCCATCTGCTTGTTCTGACACTACAGACCAGGGAGGTGGACAGAGTTAAGACCAGTGTCAGAGGCTAGGAGTCAGTAGGGGCTTTGTCTTTCTCTAGCCCTTCCTGATAGCTCCCTGAACTAGCCTGCCAACCCCCACCTCTCACCCCTACTCCAAGAAAACCTACCCTGAGACAAAGGCTTGCATGCAGGTTTATTGCAAGAGATAGGATTGGGTGACTGAGTAGAGTAAAACAAGGAAAGAGGAAAAGCCAATACAAAAGGGCATCCTGGAGGTGGTCATTGCTGTGGGCAAGTGGAGCTCGGTTTCCCTGGGCTTTTTGGAGGAGCCATGTGGAACAATTCTGTCCAGTAGAACTTTCTGCAATGTTGGGAATGTTCTCTGTGCTGTTCAATATTCTGTCTACTAGCTACATGTGACTAGTAGGTACTTGAAATGTGGGTCCTTTATTATATTAATTTTAATTATTTAAATACTCATATATACCCATATGGACCACTGAAACAGACAGCTCATGTGTAGACTGGGCTTTCAAGTTGTCTATTGGGGAGTTGGAAGATGGTATCAATTATCTACTGGCAGCAGCTCCTGTTGCTTAAGGGAGTGTTATGCCCTCACGCTTCAGGTCGGCTTGCATGGGTACAGGTTGATCCTACAGACACCCTCCAGTGCTGCATCAGAGAAGCAGTTGCAAAGTGGGAGTTCTGGGGTGCAGCAGAAGCAGGAGCTGATGGGATACTCCTGTGTAAAGCTGGCAGCAACAGGTGTCACTAGAACAGTGGTTTTGAAATATGAGCCAGCACTGGGATCTCCCAGAAGGCTTGTTAAACACAGATTGCCAATTGCCCTCCCTAGGGTTTCTAATTCATTGGGTCTGTGGTGGAGCCTGAATATTTGCATTTCTAACAAGTTCTCTTGATGCCAATGCTGCTGGTCAGGCGACCATATCTCCAGAATTTCTGGGCTAAAATAAAGGGTGGGCCAGAGGATATAAGTTGGAACTAGAATAATGAATCACCCTGATTTGCCCAGGACTGGAGGGGTTTCCAGGACATGAGGCTCTTGGTGTCAAAACTGGAACAATACTGGACAAACGGTTACAAGTAGAACACTCAGGTTGGAGGGCAAGAGTCATCCAATACCATGACCTGGGGCTTAGCACTTTTCGAAATGGAAAGTTCAGGCACAGCCCTGCTGGCCTCTAGGGTGTTTGTGACAATGCAGGGGTGTTGTAATAACTGTGAAACTTTAGCGTTAGGCTCTAAGATGAGCTACTTCACTAATAGCAGAGGGTCCAGATGGCCCCTGGAGCAAGAGCTTTGACTTTATCCCCAATTTCTGAGCAGCTGTGGTCCACAACTGCCCCCGGTAA
The DNA here is from genome assembly GCF_000001405.40 of Homo sapiens. Classification (NCBI taxonomy): domain Eukaryota; kingdom Metazoa; phylum Chordata; class Mammalia; order Primates; family Hominidae; genus Homo; species Homo sapiens. The sequence continues at coordinate 140,286,157 of NC_000003.12, forward strand.
AGGAAGCAACCTCTCTGTCCAGGTCCTGATTCAAATGGAGGCCACCCCAATAGCCTGTGGAATAGACCATGGATCAGAGTTGTGTGCTGAGCCTTTTATTCATACCTGGCTGTGGTTTTCCGTCATTGATAGGTGTGGTGTTTTCAAGGAGATCTGGGGAAACTCTTTGGACTATTTCTCCTCCACAAATCAGTTAAGTGTTTATCGATCGTCCTTTCTGTTCAGTCCTGTGTAGATGTTTTGTAGGGAGGGGGCAGACAGGAGGTGCATAAAACTTGCTCCCCACTCCAGTGATGTCCCTGACAAATTAGGGAGAAAGAATGGTTTGATGATGCCCATTTTCAACTCTCATGTGGCAGACAGACAGTTATATATGTATATTCTTTTGCCGCCCTCTATTCAGTGTCTACCATAGATACGATGTATACCACTCTGCCTCCCTCCTCAGCCTTGGAGTATAAGCACCTTTAGGGCAGGGACCATGTTTCTCATCTCTCTCATTCCTGGTACTCAGCTCAGAGTGTGGTGGGGAGCTGGCAGTCAGAGGCTTGTCCTTGAAGAAAGGAGGAGCCTGCTCCACTTCACATGCTGTGTTGTGAGACAAATATTCTGGGAAGATAGCCCTGGATAGAAGAAGGAGGAGTAGTGGGGTCCTGGAAGAGGTAGTGTAGGCAGTGGACCAGAGGGATAGGTGGGCTTTGTAGGAGTGGGAGGTAAGCGATGATGTTTCAGGACATGAACAGAAGCACAGAAGCTGGAGGTCCTGGAAAGTCTAGGTGACAGGCTGAAGTGAGGAATCAGGCTGGTCAGGAGAGGGGAAACAGGTTGGCTCAATCCACAGAGCAGATAATGAAGGGCTTTAAGAGCCCAGCTCAAGGGTCAGCATCATGCATCAAAGTAGAATATAATAGTGGCAAAGGTTTCTGAGGATTAGAAACAATAAGATCTATCTAGCTTCCTGAATTTTAAGGATGTTGTCTGATTTCTTAAGGGATGCCTGAATAACTTGAAAAAATCCAGGTATGAAAATATGAATCAGCAATACAAAGCAGTAAATTACTGATACAACACGGATGAATCTCAAAATCATTATGCTGAGTGAAAGAAGCCAGGCCAAAAAAAAGTGCACATCGCATATGATTCCATTTATATGAAATTCTAGAAAATGCAAACTTATCTCTCAAGACAGAAAGCAGCAGATCAGTGTTTGGGCATTGGAGTGCATGGAAGGGTGGATTGTACAGGGACAGGAGGAAGCTTTTGGGGGAAAGAAGAATTCTTGTTATCTTGATTGTGGTGGTGATTTCACTGTATATACACTTGCCAAAATTGGTCAAAAATGTATACTTTAAATATGTGCAGTTTCTTCTACTTCAATTATACCTCACTAAAGTTGTAAAACAAAATTTTAAAGGTTGGCCAGTTAATGTAATGGAATACCATAAGAATAGGGAAGTTGAGAAAAAAACATAGTTTTTTTTCCTAAGGAAAATGGAATACTTGGTATATGTAAATTCACATAATTCTCTAAAACAGCCTAGTGATGTAGGTATTGAATTGCCATTTTACAAATTCTGAACAGAGGCTCAGAGATATTCAGTGACTTACCCAGGGTCACACAGCTTCTGAGTGATGGGCAGAGCCAGCATTCTAAGATAGGTCTATCCGATCCCCAAATCATTGAGCCATTTATTTTGTGTCTCTCAAAAATCAATGCTCTATCTGAAAGCATGCCCCAGTGCTCAGGAGAGAGAGATAAACTGATGAGCCAAATAACACTTCAAAATCTCAGAAGACTAAGTTGCTCATCTTTCAAAATGGGTTTGGGTTGGGAAAGGATTCTACCATATGCTTATCAGGATAACTTTAGCTCAACATTTTTAACTCAACCAACTGATGCCAAATGATTTCCTTCTTGATAGATGACACGTGGCCTTCATTTCTAAAGCAGTCTCAGCAGAACAGGAAACCGGCGGGGGGGGTCAGAAATGGGTGTGGACAACTGACCTTCCACATGTATACCTATTGTTATGTTTGAATGTCTGATTATTAACATGTTTTATATATCATAAATATAAGTAAAAAATTTATGAAAGAAAGTAGGGTGGGAAGAAAAGTGGAAGGAAAGAAGAACAGACAGAAGGAAGAAAGACCTGAAGAGAATAAGTGTCCGCTCTGGGTTATATGCCAGGATGAGTGTGCTGCCATCTCCCCTCCCAGACATTCCTTTCACACTGATGCCCTGGGATCCTCTCAGATATCCAGCTGTTCCAAGAGGATTCTATTGCAATCACTAAACACCATTTCCCAGGTGTTTTAGAAAGAGTCTTCAGCAGTGCTACTTGAGAAAAAGTGCAGCTAATTGAGACACTTTTATTCCCTCAGTATTTTAGCAGAATTCAGATTCCCAAGTCCAAGACATCATTTCTGTGGTTTGTATATTGGCTTGAGGAAATGCTGATCAATTGTTTTGATTTTCCTTCTTCTCACTATGCCCAGTTAGCATCTCCTGCTTCCCACCAACACCACTGACTAATTATCTCTTATGATACTGTCATCATGGCTATGGAATGTTCCATTAACAATTTCTGAGGGATTTAAATAAAAATGACTGTGAGCCAGGCTGGGGAACTAATGAATTAATCTTTAAGTGGAGAAAATCCAACTGATTCATAGCAGCCTGTGGCATTCTCCACAGTCCCCTGAGGGAGCTGGACTCTTTTCACTCACCCTTCATACCCACCTCCCAGTTGCCTCTTCTGGGCAGCCTCCCCAGACACTCTCCTCCCTGATCCCCCGTGCCCTTTTCCTCTTCACCTGGGTCAGCTGCTGCTGCTCTTTTGCTGCGTTGATTATGCTGTGTTGAAATCCTCTGGAATCTTCACTGGCTGCTCCTTGAGTATGGTACATGTTATTCACACAGAGTAAGGTAGCCCCAGTGTAGCTAATGTGACTGCTTACTGTGTGCCAGGCATGGTTCCAAGGGCTTTACCTGTATCTAATCCTTTAATCATCAGAATTCTATGAGATAAGCTGTGTTATTACACCTATTATATAGAGGAAACTGAGGCAGAGGTTCTGTTACTTGTCCAAGGTCACACAGCTAAAAAGTGGAGGTGCTGGGATTCAAACCCAGCCAGCCTGGATCCAAGCCCAATTTCATGGTTTTGTGTTTTTTTTTGTTTGTTTGTTTGTTTGTTTTTGCAGGGGGGCGGGGAGAGGAGCTGTATTCCCTGCAAAAAATCCACTGATTTGTATTTTTAAAATTTGGAGCCTTTCTTTTTGGTACCTAGTTAATCTCCCTTTGAAATTGGTCAAAAACTGAAGCCAAAAGAGTAGGAACAGCACCATAGCCTAATTCCATATCACAATCCCATCTGTGGCACAGCATTAACTGGGTCTCTGACCCTTTCATGGCTTCTCATTGCCTCCAGAATCAAGACCAAACACTTTAACAAACCTTCACTTCTTTTCATCATTAACAGACAATGGGTGACTTAATGTTTGTTGAATGAATGAAGAAATAAATGAATGCATGCACACACAAAAAGATACATCTGTATGAGGGCTCAGAGTTCAGTAATTGCTGCCTTTCTAAAATCACATTTCTGCCAACTTGATCATGAAATAAAAATATAACCCTGCCAATAATCTCAGAGATATGTTTCCTAAATATCAGACAAGGTTTAAAAACCCAAAATATAAAATTTTATAAGGATTCTCATGTATGTTAAATGATGACAAATTTTCATATTGAGTCAGGTGAAATTCTGTTTTCAGGTAAGAAGCAGGGCTTATGTGGCATGTAAAAGGGTCTCAGAAGTCTCTTTGATCAGCCTACTAGATGCTGAGCAGCCATTTTTAAGGCTTTTAAAACTAGACTTTATGTAAAAGGTAGAGAAATAAGGATCAAAATTCCCTTTAGTGCTCTGATTTTGCTAATAGGCATCAGAAAAGATTGTCATTATCTTTCTGTATTTTTAAGATGACAGATTCTGGAGTTATCTCAGAACACCCATTTCGATGAAGTGTTTGAGCCTGTTTTGGAATGTGATCAAGTTCATCTCACAGTTAGTTCAGTGAATAGTTTCCCTGAGTCAGGCACAGCACTGAGCCCTGGGGTGAGGGGCTGAGGAACTGGAAATACAGGGAGTTTAAAAGGTGACTAAGAGGACAGAGCTCTGCCTCCAGGGATCTTCCCATCCTCTGGGGCATTAACATAGTAGGAGGAGCCCACAATATACCCGAGCATTAGGAAGGGGTTCATTGATGTGGACTTTGGAAGACCAATGCATGCCTCTTAGATGGGGTGCCCTTTGAGGTGGGATTGAGGGACAGGAGGAGAGACCTCTACAAATGAGGAAAAGGAGGAGGTAGGGGGAAGGGAACACTCTCTTGTCTTCTGAGAAGTTCAGTCTATGGGGCAAATCACACACAAATACACCAATTACAATACAACCTACAAGCGACTGACAAGGAAAGGCTTTCCCTGGTTGCGATCCTCCAGAGTCCTGGTTGACCGCTAGCTTTGGAGCATAGAATGGATAATTCAATGTCTAAGCCTAAGTATCCTGATTCACACTTCCTCCTTGGTCTTCAAGCCACCTTTAGCTGCTACTCCTCTATCTGATGACCCAACGCCATGCTTTGTGAAAATAGAAGCTACCAGACAACAGCTCCTTTACCATCCTTCCTTTAGTGGAAGCAATGTCCTCATGCCTTTCAGGGCTAATTTTTCACCTGATCTGCAATGATGCCCTCCTTTAACACCCCTCTCTCCCAGATCATTTTCATCAGCATACAAACAGGGCCAACTACCTGATATTAAAAACAACATAAAATTTAAATCCCTGTCTTTTCTTCACATCACCTTCAATTACATCCAAAAATCCCTACCATCCTTCTCAGCAAAACATTACTCATCTCTCTGAACACCAGAGTATTTTTTTCTTTAAAAGGGGGCTAATATTAATAGTTGTCCCATGTGGTTATTAAAAAGTAGACATGGATCCATGAATTCATGTAAAACATATAGAAAGAGCCTGGCCCGAGATGAGCTTTCACTATATGTTAGTGCTTATTACTCTCCAATGCCTTGCGTACTCATGGCCCCGCCTCCTCACTTTATTACTCTCTCTCCCCTCCAGGCTGTCCTCCCTTCCTAATATGTATCTGAAACTGCCTTTGTCAAGGTCACCAGTAAATGACCTGATGCTAAATCAGATAAGTGCTTCCCCTCCCCCCCCAACTTTCTGCTGGACCTCTCCCATCACTCAGCAATGCTGACTGCCCCTCCCCTTTGAAACACCTTTCTCTCCTGCATTCTGTGATTCCATTGTCTCTTGAACTTCCTTCTCAGTTGTCTTTGCTGCCTCCTTTTCTTCCACCAGACAGCCAAATAATGGAGTCTTTTATTCATTGTTTCTGCCCCTTCCTCCAAAATTATCCTCTGGGCCATCCATATGCTGGCAACTTCCCCCATCTCCAGACGAGATCTCTCATGAACTCCAGTCCTGCGTATTCCCCTGTCTGCTTGGCATCTCCACTCTACCATCTCAAGCACTTTAATCCAATGCCAAAAGGAGAACTTTGCCGCCTCCTCACACCTCAAATGATTGTCCCTCAGTCATCCGTGTCTGAAAGATGAGCTTCCAACCACTCCAACTCAGAATCAGCCTTGATTCCTCTGCCCATTAACACCACAGTACAAGTCTCACCAGCTGCCGCTTGAAAACTTGTCTCAAACTGGTGTGTCCTCTCCATCTCCATCCCACCTGGAGGACCACATGAGCCTCCTAACTGGTCTCCCTACTCCACCTCACCTTTCCTCAATGTATTCTCCACTCAAAGCTGGAGGATCTTTCTAAAACAAAATCTAGATCATCTTTCTCCCCTCCTCAATTCAATTCAAAGACTTTCAATGTCTTTACAGTAAAAACAATGCCTCTGTCCATGGCCTATAAAACCCCCATGACCTATCTAAGGCTTGCCTCCCAAGCACTCCTCTTGCCACCCCTTTCCTTGCTCAGGACACCCAAACCCTCTCACCTCTCTCCATTCCTCCAACAGGCTGGATCCTTGCATGTGCTGCTCCTCCTCCTGGGAGCTGTTGCCTCATTCTTCCCATGGCTGTCAGCCGCTTCTTTCCTGTTACGAATATCCTGCCCAAAATATCTCCTCCTCAATTAGGTCTTCTCTGATTCACCCAGTTAACTATGTTGTCAATATTTGTTTTTTTTCTTCTTCCCTACTAAAATAGAGCCCCCAATGTGCAGGAACATTATCTGCCTTGAGCATTACTGTGTCCTGAGTGACTCACATAGTGATGGACTCATTCCTCAGCAAATCTTTGTCCAAGAATTAACAAATTGATACCTTTACCCATAAGCTGCAACATTAATCTCTAGTTACCCCAGCACTTCAGGCCTGTTAGAACTACTGCATAGAGAAGAGAATCATGCAAGTTGCACAGTCAGAAAACTTGGATGTAAATTCACCTTGCAACCTTTATTAATCAAATGACATTAAGTAAGTTACTTAACCTCTCTCAGGCTCAATTTTATCATTTGCCAAATGAGGGTGAGCATAGCAATATAGCCGTCATGGGGCTGCTGGGAGAACTACGCAAGATAATGTGTGTGTCTGTGCTTTAAAAATCACAAGGAACTTTCCAAATAGTTAATGACTAAATAAACCACAGCTTTCCACTTTGGAAGACTGTAAGAGAGTTTAGCCATTTATGAAGACAATGAGGCTGAGTCTCTGGTTGGTGGTTTGCCTGGAGTCACCCTGGCCTGCTGCCCAGGCAGTTAGTAAACTGTCCCTGCGGACTTAGAGTAGACGTGAGATAAACACTATTAGACCTCAGAACCAGAGTGGCACATTGATGGAGAAGCCTAGCAAAGAGGACTGGAATCAAGCTTGATTTGTCTTCCCTCTTTAACAACAGCATTCCCAGCCCAGTTGTGCAAGCTGAATCTTCAGGGTGATCAAATAATTAGGGATTCTTGGGAGAAGTGGATTTGAAAGAGGTATTGAAGGTGGTTCATTGGGTTGATAAGCAGGTGAACTCTTAGTGTAGACTGAGGGATGTAGAGTGACAGAGGAGAGGAGAGCACTCAGTGGGCAGCACGGAGGGGCAGTTGGCACTTTCCTTAGTAGGCCTAGCTTGAGCACACTCTGGTCATTCCTACTTCCTATCCAGGCAAGGCTGTGAATTATCTTCACAGCTACAGAGCTCCTCCCCTTCCTCATGGGTAGGCCATGGACAAGCCAGTCAGTGACAGGGGCCTGTCTTCCACATACATGTATCACAAAGCTTAACATTGGATATGTCAGAGAAAAGGTGCTTGGGCTGAGCTGAGAGGAATGTCCCATGATGATCATGATGGCCTAAGTGAGCAGTGGAAAGGATGAAATTAAGATATATTTAGGCAGGACGGTACCTAGAACTTAGATAATGGAGTGGATGAGGGAAAGGATGAGTTGAGAGAGTCCCAGGGATGTTATCCTGAGAGATGAAGAAGACGTTGATACCATTTACTACGTGAGAGGAACCTCAGGAGGAGTGATGCTGAGGCACCCTGACAATTTGATTCTGGGCTTGTTGGGTCCAAGCATTGATGGGCACCTCTGATGTCTTGAGCCAGTCCCTGACTGGCTGTTTTCTGGCTGAGAGCCAAATTCACCCTTTCCTTTGTCTACACTATATTCTTTCTATTCCATCCTCCTTCCACCTTTCCTAAGTTTTGTGAAGGCTCTAGAGTTTTCAGCATCAAAGACTGAGATGCAAACCATGGGAAGAATATAAGACTGAAAGGAAACCCAGATTTACTCTGTGCCCCATGGAAAGCACTGACCCTGGGCCTCCATTTACTCATCTTCCAAAGGGGCAGTTGGACTGAGGGATCTCTAAGATACCTTTTAACATACGAATCTTGGGTTACAGCATGTTATAGCAAATGGAGTATGGTTTCTATAAAATCAAAAGTCTTGATTTGGTCATTCATGTGATGTGACTATGAAGTTACCTAGCTTCTGCGAGCCTCAGCTTGTCAAGCTGGCAAATAGGGGAAATAATCTAACCTAACAGGGTAATTACAAAGTTTAGAAATTGTAACAGTCATGGGCTAAACTGTTAATCTCAGTAGATTAAAATACAAAGGTTTATTTATCCATGAATTAAAATAACAAAGGTTTATTTCTTACTCATGCTACATGCCTACACTGACTTTTGCTCCAAGTCTTTTTTACTGGAGGCCCCAGGCAGATGTCACCTCCACCATTAAGAACATCACTGATCACCATCATCATGAAGGGTGACAAATTGTTCCCCAGCTCCTAAAGGCTTCTGCTTCCTCTGCTTCCATTTCATTGGACAAGGCAAGTTATATGGCCTCCCCAATGTCTTTTTTTTTTTTTTGCCTGTTGGGAAACAGAAACTCCATGAGCCTAGGAGATCAATTTCCCTCCCTGCCCACAATGTGTGAGTGTATCAAACCCCTGCCATCAATGAACACTCATTTTCTTTCTCTTCCCCTCTCTCTTTCTGTCTTATTCAGGTGAGGCTGCTATAACAAAGTACCATAGACTGGGTGAATTATACACAACAGAAATTCATTTCTCACAGCCCTGGAGGCTGGAAGTCCAAGGTCAGAGTGCCAGCATGGTTGGGTCCTGATGATGGCACTCTTCCATGTTGCAGACTGCTGACTGCTTGTATTCTTTCATGGGGAGAAGGGGGTGGTAGAGCTCACTTGGGTTTCTCCTAAAAGGGCACAAATTCCATTCACAACGGTTTTGTCCTTATGACCTAATTACCTCCAGAAGGCCCCACCTCCTAAATGCTGTCACATTGGGGGTTAAGGTTTCAACATACACATTTGGGGTATTGGGGTCACAGACATTCGGTCCATAATACCTTCCTTCCCTCTGTAAAATTTTCTAGAAATACCTGGTTTTATACAAGTTGTTTTGCCAGTTTTCTAGGAAAAAGCCATATCTTGCTTTTTTATATTCATTTTATTATAAGTGAGTATGATCACATGACCATATTTTCATATGTTTATTGGCTGTTCATATTTTTTCTGTAAATTACGTATTTTCTTTGCGCATTTCTTTGTGGAAATATTGAACTTTTCCTTATGGCTTTGAAATCAGCTTGTATAGTGGGTATTTCAGCCTTTTATCCACCACATAAACTATTTCCCTTGGTTTTAAAATGCACCTTTCAATCTGTTTGTCATAGTTTTTCCTTTACAGAAAGGCTTCTGCCTTTCTTACCTCAAAATTATAAAAATATTTGCTCACATTTTTGTTGAGTATTTATGGACTTGTGTTATTTACCTTTAAAGTTTTGATCCATCTGAAATTTATTTTGGTTTAAAGTGATATAAAGTTCTAGCTTTATTTTTTCCCTGAAGTATTACACAACTGCCCCAAGTTTTTTTTATTTTTAAAGTATGATGCCAGTTATTTAAAATATGCAAATATGTAAAACAACATATATCACTTAGAGATAAGTACAAATACATTATAAGTATAAATGCTCAGAAATAATAAACACCAAACTCAGGACGACCATTGCCTTTGGAGGTACTGGAGAAGGAGGAGTCATATGATCAGAAATGAGGGACAAAGGAATCTTCAAATGTATCAGTAAAGTCCTATTTCTTAAGGTGAGTGGAGGGTTCATAAGCTCCTTAGATTACTCTTTAGAGCCTTTTATATGCCTGTAATACTTTAAATTCTGGTTTTAAGCAGCTAAAAGACCTTTGAGAAATAACTGAGACTAACTCAAGAATTGAGGCTATTTTAACTGAAATGTTATTATAATCCAATTCTTATATGTTGAATAGCCCTCTCAAACCCCTCCTGCTCTGATTTACAATATGGCCTTTATATCTGGATTTATTTATGAACTCTTCATGCTCTTCTCCTGACCAATGTGTCTTTTCTTGCATCTACCACCCGCAACTTCATAGCTTTAACTATCTTAGAATCTAGAAGGGGGAACCACCTTCCTCATTGCTCTTTCTGTTCTGAAGTTGTCTGGATGTCCTCACATATTTATTCTTGAAGATGATCTTTAGAATCACTATGTCAGTTCCCTGAAAACCAACCCGTTGGAAAGTTAATTGAGATGTGCTATGTAGATCTAAAATGTTGACAGATACTGGCAAATGGCTCTCTGGGAAATTTGAACTAATTTGAATTCTCAAAATTTCCTCACACTTCTGCTCACATCAGACATCATCACACTTTATCTGTATTGCCCTAACAGAAAATGATACGCCATTGTCATTTCAATTTCATATTTCTTTGATTACTAGTAAGGCAGAGCAACTTTTCAAACAGTCTCAGCTTACTTGTTATATTTTTCATGGATTGCCTAATTCACACTTTCTCCTATTTTAATTGGGATGCTCATCATTTTCTTACTGATTTGTAAGAATTCTTTATAAATTAATGATTCTGCCTCTTTGTTCATTATATACAACGCAAGTATTTGTTAGATGTATTTGCCTAAGTTAGTTTTCTCTATAGAGGTTTTTAAGGTTTCTGGCTCCGACCATCTGTCCCTTTAGGGCTGGGTTTTACTATTTCTAATCATAGCAAAGGCTATATTGTCACATTCGTTTTTCTGTTAGTTCCTCATAACCTCCCTGTTAGGTAGACAGGAAAGGAAGAACAGGTTAATTTACAGATTGAGAACCTGAGCTCCAGGAGGATAAACAAGAACGAGCTGGGGCTAAGCCAGCAGGAGTGGTCAGGCCCACCCTACAGGCAGCCTCTGCACCACTGTGCTGGGTGGATGGGTGGATGGTCAGACAGACAGAGGAGTGCTGAACTTCAGGAGCTATTCCACAGTGTGCCCAGCTTCCTTCAGGTGAAATTCAAACCCTCCAGCTCTTCCACTATGAGGAGCTCTTTGGACATTAGTCAGAATGATTAACTTCTGGCTACTTTTTTTGACTAAGAAACATCTGGACTCAATTTGTTGTGTTTGTTTGCCAAGTATTTTAAGCCAGTTTGGTGTTTATTCAGTCAGCCTCCGTCCTTGAACTGCTCTCCGCATCAACTCTGAAAGGCAATTTTGCACAGATATCACACAGCCACTCTGGGTGCTGGAGGACATAGAATCTCATGCCCACTGCTTGGGAACAGGGGCAAAGGATTTTGGGAAAAATGGCCATCTCTGGCACCAAAATTGTAACTAATATTAATACTTATTAACGTAAATGCCTTTGTTACTACATCTTCCCTTTCACTAAATTTCCACCAATAACATTTACTTGATTCTCACAATGAGCTGGTGAATTAGTCACTACAGACAGCAGGAATTGGCAAATGTTTTTTTTCTGAAAAGGGCCAGGTAAATGTTTTGGGCTTTGTAGGCCAAGAGGTAAAATAGAGTAACCAGTCTCCTGAAAGGCTAGAGTCCTTTTCTAAATTAGGAGTTAAAAATGCCATTCTTAGCTCACAGGCCATATAAAAATGGGTATAGGGCTGGATTCGACCTGTGGGCTGCATGTGGTCTGCTGACCCTCAGCATACAGCACTGTGACCAGTGAACAAATTAGGAAACCAAGGCTCAGGGAAGCTATGTGACTCTACACAAATGACATTTTCCTTAGCCTATGTGGCTGATACGTGGGCTTCCAACTTCCATCATGATGGCTCAACCTAATACAGGTGGTTCTCAGCTTACCATGGGGTTTCATCCTGATAAACCCATTGAAAGTAGAAAATACATTTACCACTTACAATATTGTCATCTGATGTAACCCCAACATAAGTTGAATGTATTAAATGTGTACTGCTTTTATACAATTGTAAAGTCAAAAAATTACTAGGCAAGCTATGGTAAGTTAGGGATCATAATTCATTCACTCAAGTCAACAATTTACTAAGCTTCTGCTATGTGCTAGGCATTGTGCTATAGAGGTGGGATATTGTAAAATAAAAAATAAACTAAATACATAGTGATTTTAAGCCCTGGCTCTGATTTAGACAGGCTTGCACACAATTTCTGGCTGTATACTAGCTGTGTGATTTTGGCCAAATCACTTAATATGTGTAAACCTCAGTTTCCTTATCTGTAAAATGGGCCTAATATAGTTTATTTATAAAATACATGTAATAGTTCATTTACTAATGTAAATATTTGAGGCCATAATCTATGTAAAGTCCTTAAAACACACCTAGAATATAGTGTCCATTAGACCGGAAGGAAATAACAATAGTAATGATGACAATAATCATAATTTATGTTGGCCTATAAACTTTCAAAGTGCTCACCATCTAGAGAAAAAGATAAACACTGAAACACATAGCTGCAGTTGTCTATGATAAAAAATGTTGAGGACACATAGGGAAGCTGCTTGTAGTATGTCTGGCAGCCTGAGCAGGGTTTGTCCCCCAGGAACACTGGGGAAGCTGTGAAGCCCAGGAGGGGAGGTAACTTGCCCAGGATCACACAAGAAGACTCATTCAGTTGTTCATTCATTCACAAAGCAAAGCTTTTGTCAGGCAAAAGGCAATAAACTTCCTCCAAAAGCCCATTGTCCAGTGGGGCAGCAACTGTGGATGCAGTGGGGGTAATTAACATACAAGAATGAGAACAGAATGCATGGTGTAAAAAGAAATGCAAATAAACTACAAAATTGGAGTGAAGAGGCATGAGGGTAGAAACCCACCTTGAAGAGGCAAGGAAGGCCCTTCAACCTGAATAAAAGCTAGGGGACTTGGGAATCTGAGATCCGGGAATAGGCTGCAGCTGCAAATGAAGAGACTCTGAATAGTGCCTCACCCAGTGGTGGACCTGTGGGGAGCATGGTCCCTGACCCTCTTCCCCCTGTACCTTGGTCTCCGTGCCTCACTGTCACCTGGGCTCTCCAGTGCTCACTTTCCCCTCCACTCAGCTAAGTGCTACTGGCTCCTAACAGCCCAGTGTCAAGTGCTCCCTCCTGCAGGAAGCCCTTCCAAACTACTCCAGGACACAACTTTCAATTATTATAGTGTGTGGCCCAAATGAATGGGAACAGCCCTGTCTAGGGAGGAAGGGGCTGTAACCCTGGACAGCCATTCACTCATCAGATCTTAATTTGAGTGATTATGTGGGCACCCCTGGTTCCCAGCCGTTGTCCTTAACCAAACCTATAGGAATCCTTAGCCAAAAAAGATATTTTAAGGTTCATTTATTATTGAAGCTCCAGTATATATAGTCAGTTCTGTTCAATTTAGTAAACCAGTGTTCTTAATCATAACATGCATATACTGTATGTATCTACATGCATATTCATAGAGATAAGTCATATTTAAATCCAACTGTAACGTTTCATTCGTGTTAACTGCAGTCCTTGCTTGTCAGGGAAGTAGCAGAGCCTTCAGCCAGGTGTAGAGGAGTGTGTATCAGTCCTCATCCTGTCTAGAAGCCCTTAATTGTCTTCTCCTACTGTGTTTTTGTGTCGGTCACCTATCTTTGGCTATTGACTTACATCCCACTTTGCTCTGCATCATGAAGGATGCTGCTTGTATAAGATTGAAAAGTGATTTTCAGAGACATCTTAGCCTCCATAGACCATTGCCCAAAGTTCGTAATAAATATGGTTTCTTCTTTGGCTATATTCTATCACACTAGCAAGTTTCTTTCTAATTTAGTTTGCATGGACATGTACACTTCTAGAACTTGGTGTGAGTTACACAGACTTGCACGTTGGAGCTCTCAGTGAGGGTTTTCTTTTTCCTCTTCTGTAATGCTAGTGTTTTTATTGAATGGTTGGGAGAATGCCACATGTGATGATGGTTTTGTGTACAGCCTTGCCTTTTGATGAAAAGAATAACTTCCGAATTGTGAACAAGCTGAAAATGTTTCCCCCTTGTTGCTCAGAAGCTACAGCTCTTGGCTCCCTCACTGGGAGCTATTGCCCAGAATGCAGTCTCGCTCCCAATCTCCACCTGTATAGGATTTGCTCTTTAATTATCTCTGGGAATAGGATGCCAAAATCTGCAGTTTAATAAATAACTCAAGGGATTTTATGCATAATAATGCATAAGAATCAAGTTCCTGATGCAGGGCTGGGCAGAGATTAGGCCCTCAGCAAATAACTGTGATTGGGAATTTTACAGGTCTTGCTGGTTCTTTGATGCTGATTAATGCCCTTCAACCAAAATTCCTACAGTGTCTGTTCTCCTACCTGTCTTGCTTCCTTCTGTCTTGCCTTTCTTCCTTCAGCATGTACTAAATTCTTTTTGGGTGCCAAGCCCTTTCTTTGGCATTGAGAATTCAGGAATGAAAACCACCCAGCCCTGCCTCAGAGAGTTGGCATTGGGAAATACAAGGAAAATCTATAAATATATTACTAGATAGTTGGTGCTATTACAGAGCCCAGCACAGGGTTCTTTTGGGGTCAGGGGCTCTGAGGTAGGTTCCCAGATGTGCCTTGAATGTAGATCTGAAGAATAATAAGTAGGAGCTAGGTGGGCCCATGAAAGGCTGAGTAATGTCCTAGGACAGTGGCTTTCATACTCTTTCAACTCAAGATATCTTTACACTCTTAAAAATTATTACTGAGGGCCACAAAGAACTTATTTGTAGTAGATCTGGATTAGTCAGGGTTCTCTAGAGAAGCAGTACCAGTAGGCGATATATATATATGCATACATAAAGAGATTTACTATGAAGAACTGACTTACACAATTATGGAGGCTGAGAAGTCCCATTATCTGCTGTCTGCAAGCTGGAGACCCAAGAAAGCCAGGGTATAATTGTAATCCAAGTCCAAAGGCCTGCAGACCAGAGGTGCTGATGATGTAAATCCCAGTCCAAAGGTAGGAGAAGACCTATGTCCCAGCTCAAGCAGGAAGGCAGGAAGCAAAAGGGCAATTTCCTCCTTTCTCTGCCCTTTTGCTCTATTCAAGCCCTCAAAAGATTGAATGATGCCCATCCACACTGAGGAGGACAGTCTACTTTGGTGAATCCACTAATGCTATCCAGAAACATCCCACAGATATACCCAGAAATAATGTTTAGTCTGGGCACCCCTTGTCAGCTTGACACATATACTTAACCATCACAGTGTTATAGCTATCAATACTTAACCGTATTAGAAGTTAAAGCTGATATTTTAAAAGTATTTACTTAATGTATTTTTAATAATTAATAACAAATCTATTACGTGGTAACATAAATTACATCTTTTATGAAAAAACATATTTTCTAAAACAAGGTGAATCCAGTGAGAAAAGTGGCCTTACTTTACTTGATTGCAAATCTCTTTAATGTCTACCTTCACAGAAGACAGCAGGATTCTTATTTCTGCTTTTACATTTGCTCTGTGGCGAGATTATATTTCATGTAGCTTTTATAAAACTTCACTGTTCATCGATAAGCAAAAACAAGTGAAAACAGCAAATAACATCTTCCTGTAATTTTGAAAATAGTTTTGAGTTCATGGATTCTTGCCCCAAAAGGGTCACAGGGAACCCCAGGATTCCCTGGACTATAATTTGAGAATTTCTATTTTAGAGAAAAGAATCTCAAGGACTTACAGTTGGCTAACTTGCCAGGCTTCAGACTTCTGCTGTGTAGGCAGGGAGACCAGGTACTCCTCCTGGAGGCTGTGTGACTGTCAAGCAGCAACTGCCCATCCCTACCTCCTGCCCAGCTAGCTACATGTCAAGCAAATGGGAAACGTCACAGCAATCTCAGGACAGAGGTAGAATTTCCTCAAACCATTATAGTATTTTTTTTTTTTTGGAAAAGAGTCTTTGCTATTAGGGTACACAGAATGGTGCAAAACCCTCAGGCCTCTGTTTAAAGCAAATATATTTTTAAGAAGGCAGATATAAAATATTCTGTGCATGGATTGGACTTTGTTTTTTGTTACTAATGTGGCTTCTATGCTGTTATGTAGAACAACATTGACATTTAGTTGATTAAAAAGCCACTAGACCCGTGTCTTAATATTTGGAACATTGTGATCATTTGAGGCTTGGTTGGGTTTTGCTAGTTTTTGTTTCTTGTGGTGGTTGTTTTTCCATTTAGAAAAACATAAAGAATTCCAGAACCAGAACTGTGACTTTATTATTGCAAGGCCAGGTGAGCTGTCAAAAGGGCTGTAATGCTGGAGACCACTTGTTAACTGTGCTGACATACAGGGACCATATTTATGAACTACATAGTTGAATAAAGTTGGGTTTATGGACAGAAAAAAAGAATGAGAGAGAAAATGGTGAATAACTGTGTTCATTTGGTTCCCTTGGGATTGGGCTTGTTTTCTGCTTCTTTGCTATTAATGAAAAGAAATCCAATTTGTTCTACATGGTGAGCTTTGTAATTTAGATGCTTATTAATTCTAGGTTTGCATAGGAGCTCTTTGAAAAATATGGTCTTCAAAGCATTTATTCTCAAAGGCTAGTAAACGTTGCCTGAAAACAAGCAAAACACGTGTGGCTAAAATGTTTTCTGTGTTTAACACAAATTTATTGAGTACCTGCCATGTGCAAAACTCTCATCCAAGGTTGGAATGGTTGGGGATGTGGAAAAGATGCCCCCACAGTGGCCTACTGTCCAGCTGCAGGAGTGAGGCAAGTGTATAGAACAGATAGAAGAATGCTCCACTTTGCTAGGCCAGGTGGGAGGGTTGGAGACAGAGAAAGGTGGCTTGTAGGAAGGGATGATGTGGGCCCAGTGTGGAGTCAGGTGGGCTCAGATTTCCAAATGATGACTGACATTCTGGTGTGAGCTAAAAGTGTGTCAGCCCCGGAGATGGGGCAGGACTGTGATTCCTCCGCCATTGCTGAGTTCTCCATCTCTGTCCAGCCCCGCGATGCACACAGCATAGCAGGCAAGAGCAAGATCAAGGTCCCTGCCCTTGAAGAGAACACAATCTTGTTGGGGATGCATATGAATAAAGGAGAAATGCTGACAGGAAAACCTAAGGCATTCTGGGATGAATTCAGATCTCAGTTTAGGTTCTAACTGTTCACGAGATGAAACAAGAGCATGAACATCTTTGAGTTCAGCCATTTGATTCATTCAGCAGATATTTCTTAAGTGCTTATTTTGTGCCAAGCATATACCACAAGGCTTGAGGAACCAGAGGAGGCCAAGATGTGGTCTCTCTCATTCAGGGACATGCATCATCTTTTTCTCCTGTGTGCCTGGCACAATGCTGGAATGCACAGTAGTTGCTCAGTTAGCATTTCTTTAACTTGAATCCAAAGGAAAGGTCAGACTCTAGTCCCAGCTCTGCGTCTGCCCAAGTTTGTGAACCTTGACAGGTCATTTAGCTTCTCTCACAGTTTTCTGCTTGTAGAAGAGAAATAATATCTAAATAATCATTCCAGTTTTTTTTCCAAGCATAATTACAATAACGTCCTTCAAACACAGAGGTCTCTACAGTTTACAAAATTATTTTACTTCCAAAATTTAAAATATATCCAACTGAAGGTCACTTGGGGAAAAGGAGATTATGGTGGCTTCTAGAGATGTCTGTAAAATGTTCCAGAACAAATCTGTGCCTGAAGGGATCATTCGGTGTCCCAACTTGACCCTGTTATTGTGACCTGGCTCCAGTAACACAGGGGCTCTAGAGGATGTAGGCAGTGCTCCTGTATCCTAAGAGGCATCAACTTGCTCTGGCCAGATGCATGAGGAGACCAGCCATGACCAGGAATCTCACTTTGGACTTCCATGGGATCAACATTCACTGGGAGGGCCTGCAGCTTTGGCACTTTAAAAATCTAGGATGCTGGGGAAAATGAAGTCCACAGAAGTGCCACTTCTCTGATTTTAAGCAAGTTACTTCTTTCTGTGGTCTCCTTTCCTCTGTCTTTGAAATAGCAACCAGAAAACCTACTCATTTGGGTGGTGGTATGGATTAAATGAGACAATATATGTAATACTCAGAAAAAGCTATGTGTGAGCTATGTGGTTATCTCTGAAACTCGCAGTGGGAAGATGAAATAGCTTCTGGCTATAACTACATGAAACTTCATTTCTTTGAATTTTCCGATAACTGTGGCTAACCTAAAACTCCTTCATATTTCTTTTTCCATCACTGATAATCTAAAATGCTGGGTTCAGTTACAAGTGAAGTCTTCTGCTGATGATGGAGCTCTGAATCTTTGCGTCTTAGTTGGACAGCCATAACAAAATACAATAGACTAGGTGGTTTAAACAATAGGAATTTATTTCTCACAGTTGTAGCTGCTGGGAAGCCCAACATCAAGATGCCAACTGATTCAGCTCCTGGTGAGGGTTCTCTTCCTGGCTTGCAGATGGCCATCTTCTTGTTGTATGTTCATAACGGCAGAGAGCAAGCTCTGATCTATCTTCCTCCTCTTATAAGGACACTAATCCCACCATGAGGGCCCCACCTTCATGATCTCATCTAAGCCTAACTAACTCCCAAAGACCCCACTTCCAAATACCCTCATATTGGGAGCTAGGGCTTCAACATATGAATGTGGGGGACACAAGCCTTTAATCCATAATACCCTGTTTGGATTTTGAAGATGACTCTCCAGGGCTGTAGTGGAACAGAGACAGGGAGGAAGCGTCTTTTCTCATTGAATCAGCGCAAAGGGTTAGTGGTGTGTAGTGGAAAGCAAGCTGGCTTTGGGTCCAGCCTGATTTGAGTCCCCACCCCAACCCCACCACTTACTAGGTGTGTCATCTTGGGTAAAATGCTCAACCTCTTCTCCTCAAGTAGGAAATTATTTTTTACTTACCTATTGTTGTAAGTCCGAAGTAAAATAACCTACAGCGATTGTCCAATGCCCTGAATGTTGCATTAGAGGCGAGCTATGCATGATAGTTTGCTTCTCCCTGGAGGACATAGCTGTCACACACACACAGAGACACACACACACACACACACACACACACACACTCTC
This sequence comes from Homo sapiens, assembly GCF_000001405.40. Taxonomy (NCBI): domain Eukaryota; kingdom Metazoa; phylum Chordata; class Mammalia; order Primates; family Hominidae; genus Homo; species Homo sapiens. Next base: position 140,305,060 of record NC_000003.12, read on the forward strand.
TCTCTCTCTCTCTGTCTCTCTTTCTCTCTCTCTCTCTATGGTGATACTCTCTCTCTTCCTCCTGTTCCCTCTTTAGTACTAATCACTGTGTAGCCTCCACTCCGTGCTGAGGATCCTGTACGTGGATTCAAGCTGTCACCACACAAGACAGGGCCAGAAAGGGCTCCATTTGTATATTATTATTTATCTAATATATATTATATAATAGCCTGTTCATGCTCATTTCCAACAAGGAGCAAAATTAGAAATCACATCTCTTAATACTTTCAGAAACTGAATACAGGTCCCTTTAAACTCCATTCCCATTAGATAGTGTCTTCGAAACACCTTAAGTTGCTGTGTGTATAGTGTGGTGGGGGTAAAGGCATTTCAAATCCCTTATCTCCAAAAGGAAAGCAAGCTCTTCCTTCTTTTCCCTTTACATCACCTCAGCAAGGTCAGACACATCGTGAGAGGAAGCAGAACGTGCTCAGGCAGAAATGAGAAGCTCACCAGGGACTTTGGTACCAAGAAGAACCCTGGGATGCCTTGTTGAGCTCACCTTTCCATCCTGGACAGCCATAGTCCTTACCTTCCAGCACAGAATGACACATTTACAGGACAAAGAAGAACTTGGGGGGCCCTTAATAGAGCAATGTGCAGCCATGGAAATTCAGACTCTTGAAAAATATTTTAAAGAGACAAAATACGCCCAATATTTTGTTAAATAAAAAAAGTGAGGCACGGGATTGTATGTACAGTCTGATCATGAATATGGGTTTTTTTTTTCAAAGTGCACAAAATGAAGCCTGGCAGGACTGACACTAAAAACTGATAGATAACTTTTTAATTATTTCATTATTCTTCCCTGTCTTTCCAAGTATTTTTGCAGTGAACATGTGTTACTTTTATAATCGGGTAAGGAATGGCATTTTGAAATCTCCGTCTCTTTACTCTAAGAACAGACCATGGATACTATAGTCATCCCCACCACTAGTCAGTTACTCTCACTGTGCCCCCTACACCCTCATAGAAATGTATCTCCCTTTCTACACATATCCAGATCCTATACATCCTTCAAGGTCCAGTGTCTTCCAGATTGCCCTTGTCAAATATACTCACAGTTGCACATTCTGTGTATCCCCTTTATTCCCACAGGCCTTCCACTGTGTTAAACACAAAATGCTGGGAGCTCTGTGCACACAGGGCACTCATCAATAGTCTGCCACCCAATGAATCGCATGCCATGAAGAGTCTTTCCTTATTGTTTCCCTTAGTTATAAACACCCACTATCACCTCCTTCATTAGAAGATGTAATTCCTTCCCACAGCATCGTAATTCTAAGAGGACAGCAACATGTTTAGAAAAAAAAAAACTCAGGTTTTATTGCCAACTGATCCCAGCTACACTATGCTGTGGTCTTGGGTAAGTTATTAAAACTCTGAGGCCCAGGTTGAACCTTTGTAAAGTGGAAGTCAAAGGCAGACTGATCTCCTGATCTGCAGGACTTGAGAATTAGAGGAAATGAATATAATAAGAACAATGCCTGCCATCAAGTAGCTGCTTCACAGCCTTGCTCTTTGTCCTACTCTTCATGGACTTAAAGAGCTAGTTTTGCCTGGTCATTCACGCTGTGTGTTCTGGACACAGAACCCTATTACTATTTTGAGTCTCTAGTTTCAGCACCCACATCATGTGGCTTTTCCAGAAAATTCATGAGTCTGTCACTGAAGTGGTTTTCTACTTACCAAAGGCAGTTTGTTTCAACCCCATCAGAGTTCTAGTGTTCTGGGATCCATTTTTGTCTTTTTATTATTATTATTATTATTATTATTATTATTATTTATTTTTTCTTCTCTGTTGTTTCTACATGAGTGACATGGTTTGGCTGTGTCCCCACCCAAATCTCATCTTGAATTCCCACATGTTGTGGAAGGTACCTGGTGGGAGGTAATTGAATTATGGGGGTAGGTCTTTCCAGTGTTGTTCTCATGATAGTGAATAAGTCTCATGAGATCTGATGGCTTTATAACCGGGAATTTCCCTGCACAAGCTCTCTCTCTTTGCCTGCTGCCATCCATGTAAGATATGACTTGCTCCTCCTTGCCTTCCACCATGATTATGAGGCTTCCCCAGCCACATGGAACTGTAAGCCCATTAAACCTCTTTCTTTTGTAAATTGCCCACTCGGGTGTGTCTTTATCAGCAGCATGATAACAAACTAATACAACTCAGAGTCCCAAACCATGTGGGACATTTCCAAACCCTGTCTAGCTTCCTGCTACACACCTTGCCGGCCTCCTCCTGCTCTCCTTGCCCTTCCTCCTGGGCACTCCTGCCCCTGTGCTTTTCTGAGCTCTTTGGCAGAGCAGGGCATTGACTATGCTGCTGTCAATTATCATGTCCATGTCTCACTGCCTCATTCTACACAAACAAAAAAAAGTTTGATCTAATAACCTCTAAGTATTCCTCTCAGGATTCAGCATAAAGTATGTGGCATGTAGTAAATGCTGAAAAATCTTAATGACTTTGGAGGCGGTACTTAGTCACATCCATGGGACTATGCCTTTTTCAGGACGTGGCACATAGAGGGTACCCATTAAATGTTCATTGACTGAATTTTTCAGTTGGTTCGTTGTTTCTTCCTCTTTATCTTTTCTCAATAGTCCCTGTATCTTCTTGAAATCAGCTTCCCTAAAATGTCTGTACCCTAGCTTGTGAATATTCTGCTTTCTTCCACCATTCATGTGAGCAGAGGAGTCTGAGTCATTTCTGCTCTTTAAGGCTTCTGGTATATTAAAAATAGAGCAATGCCAAACCAATTAACAATACATTTCATTTAAATGTTTACATTTAACAATTAGGGTTGTATGGTGAAGGCTCCCTCAGAAATCTGTCAGAGTATCCTTTTAACAGGGTCTGTAGATATAATCCTTACAGGCACAACAGTCGGCCTCAATAATGTAAAGTTGGCTCATGAATGTGAAGGATGAACCACAGCACCTCCTCCCCACCCCATGATAGACCCCACCTCCATTTGCTGAACGTTGAACCTTAGGGGAAAGTATACTAGGGTGTCCAGTCACCTTAGAATTGGCTCTTGGCATCTATGGAAGGCTACAGATCCTTCAATCCTGGAACACTGACAGTAGCAATATCCACTTAGGAACCAGGCAAAATGGAATCAGAGAAAGAGTACAGGCTTCAGGGCCAGAGGGCCTCAGTTTTCCAGGCCACCTCTACTTCACATTAGATGTTGATGTGCAGGCAAGTTGCTTCAACACAGTGTAGGTGTAAGGGGCATCAGTTCAGAAGGTGGCATTCAATATCAAGGAAGGTAGCATTGGTAAACCCACTTAGTAGGCTCTCAATAAATGACTTCGATTGTTATATAACCTTTGCAATCCCTCCTGGAATTCACCCTGTGTCCTGATAAATAAATGTGTGGTGTTTATGGAGGAATCTGCATCTCCTTTGGGAGCATCTACCTAGTTAATTCTAGCAAGCACATTTTGAAGTGACTGACTGCAATTCTGAAGCATTGTGTGAGGCATTAAAATCAGATTAGTTGGCCTTCCCCAAGAGAACTGGTGAATTTTTCAAAACCACCCCTGCTCATTTCTCAGCCAGCTGGAGTCTGGATGTTGACAGTGTTGACAGAAACCTCTCAACGTACAGTGCCAAATTATTAAACAATGTTCAACATTTCAGAAGCACAGTCTTCACTCCAGTTTTATGCTAAGTCATCCAGTATTCTGAGAAAACTGCCATTTGTTGACATGTTAGAATCCCTTCCCATCCTCCCCCATTCTGCTGCCTCCCTAAGCGCAGCTCTAATGGAAATCCAAGGGCAAATTCTCCATTAAGAATCATTTCCTAACTGGACTGTCCTGAAGCTACACAGAACAGGTGATTTGAGTCCTGATTCAACATTTTACTAGCTGTGTAATCTTTAAGCCATGGTTTCATCAGTTATTTATTCATTTGTTTATTTAACAAATATTTATTGAGAACATGCTGAGTGCTTGACTCTGTCTTCTCTGTTCCCTACTCTCATAGAACTTACAATCAGGTAGGAGAGTCAAACATTAAGCACATAACTAAACAACTAATTATTTAAATTATGATCTTGACAAGTGAGACAAAGCAGAAGTATAGGGTCCTGGGAACATGTCACTGGGGTCCTGGCCTACCTGGCATCCGAGGGAAGGTTTCTCTGAGGAAGGCCAAGTAGGACATGTAGACAGAGGGGCAGTGAAGGACCAGAGGTGGCAAGATGCTTGGGGCATGTAAGTGACAGGAGGATATCTGGCCTACCTGCTGATCCTCCCCAGGAGATGGTCCCAGGTAAGGCTGGTGAGAGGTGGGGCCAGATTTTGCAGGCTGGACACTGGGTGTCTGTAGAGGAAAAGGAGGCAGGTACCCCAGAGGCTTCTGGGAGTGTAGGAGTGGGGCTAGTCTTACCAATAACATCACAGTATCATGGAGGGCAAGTGTTATCACAAGCAGGGCATAGGTGATGGCAATGCAGGCAGGCCAGAGAAGGTAGGACCTGTGGATTCCAGCAGACCTGCTGGGCACAGCAGGGTCCCTCAGTGATCAAGACAGCTATGCAGGGGCTTCAGGTCACAGCTAAAAGAACCAGACAGCCACAAGAGTCACCCCCACGTGCCCTACCAGAAATTATTCCCCCGTGACTAAGTCTTTCCTTCGTGCTTCTCCTTCCCTATTCTGTGGGGCCTTCGTGTCCTTATGTCTGCACCCTGGTTTAGCACTTGGCCCTGAACTTCCAATCTCTCAGGCCCGGGCTCTACACTCTCCTTCCCACTCTACTCAGCACATAAAAACACATATACCACATTCTTCTAGGACCGAAGCCTCATAGTTTTGTCAGGACTGACATTTCTCACCGTGGCGGCTTGTTCCCCAGTCATCCTGCTAGGGCCCCTTCTACCCTGTCCTCCTTATATCAACCCAAGGGAGATCTGGTCATGGGGTTCTAGCCTTCTCTGGTTTCCCTTTCCTGCTCTTCCTCCTCCATCTCCTCCTTTTAATTTGCCCTTTCTCCTCTAAGACTGCAGGAGCTCAGATCTAAACACATCCCCCGGGTTACTACAGCAGTCTCCCAACTTTTCTCCCCAATAAGTGCTACAGCCAGAGTTATTTTTATAAACCATAAACCTGACTGTCACTTTAAAGACTTCAGTGAGCACCCAAACTGGCCCATAGGCGCCCCCACCGCACCCCCTCCCCGCCCTGAAGTTTGGCTGGCCCCACCCATCTCCCCAGCCTCTGTCGCACCTCTACCCAGCACACTCCCTCTGGCCCAGGCTCAGACACTCATTTGGTTTCCCAAGCTCTCCCAGGCCTCGGTGCTTTTAACTGCTGCTCCTTCTTCTGGAAAGGCACCACCCGCTTCTCACAGACAACCCTTCCGCCCTCATTTCAGTAATGGTGACCTCTGTGGGACTGTCATCAATGTCTGCAAGCAGTCAGGGTGGCATTTCTGGGCTGCGTAGTGCCCTCCACTCGCCTCAGTCAGGGTGCTTAGCTCACTGATTATAGTGGTTTGTTTACAGGTCTCCCTCCCTCATAGACCTAAGCTAGGGTCATCTATCCTATTCTATTCTATTTTATTTTTTTCTAATTCACTCCACTCTCCTCTACTTCATTGCATTCTATTCTATTTCATTCCATTCAAGATGGAATTATTATGAGATAATACAAGAAAAGTGTTTAGAACAGTGTCTGGCACAGAGCAAGCACTAAATATTGTCTATTATCTGCTGTCTTATATATTAATTTAAAAAATTTATGTATTCGTTATTCAATGAATATTAATTGTGTACCTAGTACAAACCAGCCTCTGTGTTAGGTGCTGCAGGTTCAAGAACAAATAAAAGCAGACATTGACTCTGCCATTCCAGAGCATCCCAGGCCGAAGGAACGGCCTGTGTAAAGGGCCTATGGAGGAAGGGTGAAGCATGGCTAGTCAGAGAGGCTGAGGAAAGCCAGTGCCACAACAGCAGAGAGAGAAAGGAATAGGTGAGCCAGATTGGGCAGTGAGTCAATAGAGTTCTATTTTAAAAATAGTAAGAGGCTACTTACTGAATTCAGGCTAATATCACCAGATTTGCATTGCCCAGGATTGGGAACAGTGAAAATATCTAGTAAAAGCTGTTTGAACGAATAGATGATGCATTAGTGTGTGAATTAATAATAATAATAACAGCTAAGGTTTATTATCCTTTTTTTTTTTTTTTTTTTTTTTTTTTTTTTTTTTTGAGACAGAGTCTCTCTTTGCTGCCTAGGCTGGAGTGCAGTGGCCTGATCTTGGCTCACTGCAACCTCTGCCTCCTGGGTTCAAGCTATTCTCCTGCCTCAGCCTCCCTAGTAGCTGGGATTACAGGTGTGTGCCACTATGCCTGGCTAATTTTTTTTTTTTTTTTTTAAGTAGAGATGGGGTTTCACCATGTTGGCCAGGCTGTTCTTGAAATCCTGACTTCAAGTGACCTGCCTGCCTCCCAAAGTGCTGTGATGACAGGCGTGAGCCACCGCGCCCGGCCAGATTTATGATACTTATTATGTTTAAGGCACTATTCTGAGAGTTTTATATGCAATAACTCATGTAATCATCATGACAACACCATGAGATAAGTGCTATTTTCATCATCTCCATTTTCCTGAGGAGGAAAGTGAGACACGAGACATGGGGTGTTGACAAAATTGCCCCAGTCCCACAGTAAGTGTGGCCAGGATTTCTACACAGGCACTCAACCCCAGATCCTGGGCTCCAGGTGGATGGGTAGATGGAGGAACAAACTTTTGCTAATGAATCACCCAGGGAATGAGAAGGCTTATCTTGAGTCGCATCTCTAATTATGAAGATTGTTCCAGTTACTTCTCTACATGTGTGTCATCAGTGTTCTTCAATTCTCATTAGAGTCACTTAATTAGAGGTAATGCAATTAAGCCTGGTTCTGTTTTCTGCAGTTCATCCAGACTCAGAGTGCTTTCCCTTTCTCCCATGCAGTATAGGGATATCTTCCCCAAATGCTTGGAAGCCATGCAGATGTTTATTTTTAATGAGAGGGCCAGGATATGCATCTAAGGTCTTCTCCCAGTAGCTGTTTCCTCTGTGCTAGTTTTTCTAACAAGTCATTATTTTGAGATCCTAGGTGAGCTTTACTTTACCAGTCGGAATCCCAGTTACACAAAACTAAGCGACTTCTTCCCTTTTGGCATGTATGGATTCTGCACAGTGTGGCCTTCCTTGCTGATGGCTGGTTTGAAGAGCTGGCGCTTGGCCATTCACTTGTTAGCACTGGGCCCTTGACCTGCTCTATCATTATCGCATCTGAGGAATCTTTTTTCTCTTCCTTTTTCTTTCAAGTAGTTTTTCCCCAAGGAAATATACCAACAGCTTTGACAGCCATGGTTATCATCTTTCGTCTACAATTCTTTCTGTAGAATTTGAGCTGTGAGCATGTGTGAAGTAACTGCTCTGCATCAGAAGCATGCAAGAAAGTCTACGCCTTCTTTTAAAATAATGAGAAATACAGAAGCTGGACACCTCTGGGTCTCTTCTTCTATCATGTTGTTAGCATTGTCAGGAGCCAGGATAAGCCAGTGTGTTGCAATCAGCAGCAAAGTGAACTCTGTAAAACCACAATGAAATTGTAATTAATTTGAGTCAAGGAAAAAATTGGAGGTTTTCAGAGAAACATAATTTAGTTTGCCTTGGTTTCTGAGTCTGACAGTAGTTACATGGGAGAAAGAGAGATGGAAATTTGCATTTGTTTTGAAAATTGAGAGCAAAACCTTTAAAGGGTTGACATTTTCAGCAATTGGAGTATTTGTTAGCTTGTCTGCAAAGGTCTTCGACCGAATCCTGAACAATTTCTATTTTGTGTTATTGGTATATTTGTTAATTTCTTTTTGAACATAAGAAAACATTTTAAAGAAGCAATGCAAGGATTCTGGTGGAGCAAAAGTTTAGGCAATTATATTCACTGAATCAAGTAATGTGCCATTCATGGTTCTACGTACTGGGGATATAAAGATGGCTGAATCTGACACTGCCTGTACTATCCAGAAACCCTATTTTGGTAGAAAAGTCCCCCCCAAAAAAACCATCAGTGGAACAAATTGTTTTACAGCTCTTTATTGAACCCCTCCCCATGTCAGATGTCCTAAATTTCATGCTGCTTAATCTTCATAATAACACTGAAAATTAGAGACTATTAGTTCCTTTTACAGAAAAGGAAACTGAGACTCAGAGCTTTCTGACTCCAAGACCCATAGCTTCTGCAAATCACCACACAGCCGTGGTACCCTGACAGGAGGCTAAAAGGGGAGGAATTTTTTTTCCACCTAGGGAGGGCCCTCACGAAAGACTCCATAGAATAGATGGCAGTTCAGTGGAGTGCAGTGTCATTTTGAATTCTATGACAAATTACTGCTGAGAGAGGCCAAAAGCAGAATAGAGCTGAGAGTGCCTAGAGGAGGTGGCAGTTGCGGTCACTGCTTTGGAAGACTCACAAATGGGTAATAAAGTTGTAGCAAAGGGGCATAATGATTCCAAGAGTGAAATGACGCAGAGCTTGACAGTGAAGCTTTTACAGCTTCCCAGTGCATCTATACCAGCTACTGAGAGGCTATTTCTATACTCACAAAGTGAAGTGTGTCATGGGTAAAAAGTCCAGACATCATAATGACTTTGTGACACAAAGCGCAGTGCACTGATCTCCAAATCATAGCAAATGCACAGGCAAATTTTTCTGCCATTGCCTCAGGCCTTTGGGAAGGTGACATCTGCCAGTTTGGGAATATTGAGGGCAGGTCAAAGTGGAAAAAACAGGAACAGGCCCCACTTTTTGGCGTTGTCCCCTTTGACCTGCCCCAGTACCAGTTCCTCTGGTAGCCACAAGGCCAAAGGACTAGAGTGGGTAGTATACAGTGGTTCAAGGAAATGATGTGCTTTGTGTGACTGGGAGTTTTGACAGCAGTGAACTCTACCATTTGTAGAGCAAACATTGGTTCATGACAGACCCTGGACATTTCCCTGTCTCATGCAATCATCACAACAATCCCATAGGTGTTTTCTTCTTATTTCTGTCTTCCAGTTGAGAAACTAAATAACTATCCTCAAAGCCAAGCTCCTAGGAAAAAGTTGGGTAAAGATAAAATATCATGGGTTTAATTCAAAGCCAAGCACTCTTTCAAGTGAAAGACCCCAGGCCTCCTGACGTGTTGCCTCCCTTACTTGCTACCTTGGACTTGTTTCTATTATCATGGTTTAAATGCCAAGACCCCTGGGACAGGGAAGATATTAGGTTATCCCCTTGAGCCCATGACTCTGCATGCATTGTTTCTTGTGCCTCCTACCTGTCCTGCTCCCGTTATACTGGATGAGAGCTGCTAACTCTCAAGATCCCACCCATGTGCCACTCCCCTAGAGGCCTCATGGGACTTCTGGAGTGGTAGAGTTAGATGCTCTCCTCTGCCCCCATGATACCCTGAAGTATCAGCCAGTGCTTTTTTTTTTCTTTAAATAAGCCACTTTTAAAACATAAAACAAACAACAACAAAAATAGGGGCTTTTGCATACGAATCTGGATTTCTAATCTTTGAGTAAACCCAGAATATGTGGGAACTGGGACCCAACCATCATTTTGAGTCTAATAGTGGACACTCCCTTAAGAAGGAGCTTGTGCTGTTCACCATGGTTCCCACCCCTCCCTATTTTACTTACATCAGGCCCACTCATTGGTTTAGTGGTGGCCTGGCTCCTGGGGACATTGGTGTAACTATCTATGTAAATGTCTATCTCCCTAAAGGAAGGAATCCTCCTTCCCTCAGGGAAGGGCCCCATGGTTTCATTCATGAACAACCTCTGGCACAAAGCAAGCACCAGAGAAATATCCTTGAGGGATCCCATGGTTGCATTAAGTTTCTCTGGTCTCATTTAAATGAGAGAGTTAGATCACTTTCCAGCCTATGCCAAGGCAGTTATTAGAGTGTCCTGAAAGTTGTGAGTGCTTGCTGGCAAGGAGCAGAAATAAAGCACTGCTGATGAGGGAAGGGAGGATGGCCTTCACCCACATCCGTGGATCCTGCTCAGAGCTCCAAATCTGCACATGCACCAACCAGATTCGGAAGCTGTGGAAGTGATCTATGACCTAAATAAATGAAAATGTGTGTAAAATGATGGGAAACCCTTGAAACAGACCCTTCCAAAAGTCCAGTTATGCACAACACCTGCGATCTCCCAGCCAATCACGAATCCTGTAATTGGGAAAGGTGTATGCCAAGAGGATTTACTTAGAAGAAACTGTGTCAGCCCTAATTAATGACTCCAGAGCAATCAACCAGGCTTCTCTGATTTAAAGCCCCACAGACCAATCCATGTTAATTGAATTTGATTGTATTTGCTATTTTAATTAGTAGGCTAATTATGAAAATGTTTATTTGTTCATTTGGATGCCATTATCCTCTTACTACTGTGGCTTTTCTGCCTTCCACGTGGGCCAAATGTGAGACCTTCCATTGTTTCCTTGCTCAGTCCTTTAGTTGAAAACTGGTTTTTAACTAGTAAAGGAAGATTAAAAGGTTCAGGTGTCCTAGAGATGCTCCACAGAGTGGCTGTTACTTGAATGTGGGGCTCCCTCTAGCAATTTGTCTTCCAGGAGGACCCAAATGCCTTTTCTGTCTGAGCAAAAGTCCTAATCAGAGCTGGTATCTTTTAACAAGAGCACATCCCTCCCGTTATAATCAGTTTCCAAAGCAGGAGCTATCGGCTTAGCATGGCACAGTGTCAGGGTAGAGGGTAGGTAGGATAAAAGGTGGAGCGTGTGTGGCCTCTGCCTCCAGATGGTTTCTGTCTCTCCAAGGCAATTGATCAGAGAGAGGGGAGCTTAGTGGAAGGAGAAGCAGTCAGGATGGACTTTCAGAAGATAGTGCATTTACCCTTGTTCTAATTCTGAGGGAACTGGGAGTTTTTAAAATCATTCACTCATTTGGTAGGCATCTGCTGAGTGCTGGCTGTGCATTGGGCTCTGTGCTAGGTGCCAGAGGTACTGTGATAAATGAAACCCAGCCATGCTCTTTACAGCCCAGCTGGGGATAGATAGATTAGCATATGATTACCATTCAGTGCAAGCAGTGAGGTGAAGGAGGGAAGCCAGCACAGGAGGCTGGCATGAGGAATGGGACTTCACCCTGCATGAGAGGTAGAAACTCCTAATCTCAAGTCCTAGAGGGGAAGCAAGATCATGCCAGTGCCAACAATGACAGCTGTTTGAGCTTAGGTGAGCCTTGGATGTATCTCATAGAATCGTGATCAAGTCCAAATTCAATAGCATATATCAGGGGCCAACCATGATGCTAGTACAAGTAGGCACCTGCTAAACAGTGCCCACACTCTTGCAATTATTTCATTTCTTTTCCATGAAGCTCCTTCTTCTGCTACCCTGTCTTCTTTTCTTAATACCTCTTGGTGTCTGTGTCATTGTTTTGCCTCTTGGTGGCATGCCATTTTAATCATCAGTTCATTCTGCTGGTATGTCAGTTTCTTAAGGCCAGGGATTGTGTCTCAGATCTCTCAGGGTCGTGTGGGATACAAGCAGGTGCTTGGTGAATACCTGCTGGGGGTGATTAAGAGAGAGGCTCACACATTTCCCACAGTGGGTAGTAATGTGTGACCAGAAGCTGTAATTGCCTTGGAGGCAAGTGATATTCTAATCTGTCACTGTGTTTGTGAAGTTAATATTTCATTTCACATAGTGGAGGCATTGCTAAATTGTTATACCACTCAACTTTTGAAGAGACACCTCATATTAATCTCATCAAACTACTCCAAGTTTTAAACTCACTGTGAATGCAAATAAAGCCTGCCATGAAATAATGCAGGGTAGGCTGTCAATATACTGATGGGGAAATTGTCTCATTTTAGGGACAATTCCAGAACATTAAGAAAATTCATTCGTGGTGTTAGGCAGAGTCATAATAAAGTGAATCATCAGAGGTATTTCCAGTTGAGAGTTTCAGTGATTTCCCAGATTAGTGGATCCTCTGGGAACAATGCTTCTTTATAATGATGCTAAGACCTTAAAAAACAAACAAAAAAACAATCTTCATGAATTATACCAAAGAAGTGTTGAGTGGACCAGATGGCTCAGTTATAAAGAGGATTGTTGCTCCTTGCATCATCCTTTGAATGTGCAGGTGGGAAAAGTTCAGGGACTCTTCTCGGGGAGCTCATTTAATAAGTTTCCTCAAGTGGTTGGAAGCCATAGCTTCCTGATGCAACCTCAGCTGCAAAGACCAAAGAAGTAGGGAGTGAGTCTTCAGCAGCCATAGACCTGCTGGCAGCCTCCCAACCAGGCCTGTCTTCTGAGAGTGTCCCTCCCTTAGCTGCAGTCCACTGGAGGAGTGTGCCTTCTGTAAAAGTTCCTACAGCCTGTTGGCCACAGGACCCCAATTCCAGTGTGAGACCCATAAGTGACCACTGTCAAGATTCACCAACCTCTCCAGACTTTGTTTCTCACCTGCAAAACAGAAATTCTGTCTTTACTTGTTCAGGAGTACTGAGGCTCAAATGGGAACCTAACTTACTCTCTGAATACTATAAAGGTTTTTGACTGTTACCTGACTCAGTATACAATTGTTAGAGAAATGAATAAACATTGGAATTCATATTAAAGATGTAACTGTTTTCTTCTCCCTCACATGTAGTACCAGATTTGTTAGCTCCTTAGGAAGCCTCTCTGTGCCTCCCCCAGTTTTGTAATTTTTATAATCAAGGCTTTTAGAGACTGCATCACCTCATTACAATAAGATCATGCATTAATTGCTCGCTATATGAAGGTCAGGACCACCTTGTGCTGCTGTGCAGGCAGTGCATCATATCAATAGTGCCCGCTGGTGTCATGCACCTCATTCATTACATTGTGAGCCAGCGCACATTACCGCTGTATGGGGTAGGAACTATTACTTTTCCCATCTTAGATGAGGATAGTAAGATACAAAGAAATTAGGTGACATGTCCAAAATAGCTCACATTGTAAATGATGGAGCCACGGTGCCTGGCTCCAGAGGTAATAGTCTTAACACCTGCACCATATCATCTCTCAGGCAGTCTTCTGGGAATGGTTTTACCCAGGTAAGCTAAGGTGCATTGGGCAAAGACAGACGTGTGGTCCAGTGACAAGCCAAGGCCATGAGACACAGGGAAGGGAGCATGAGCCATGATGAAGTGGCAAGGAGGGGCTCGGAAATATAAGTAGTGAGATGAATCCCAATGGTTGTGGGGAGAGCAAAGGATAGGGTCAGGTTCAGTAAAGACAGAGCAGGTAGATCAGGAATTTGGGTTTTCAGACAAAGGGCGATGTCAGGATGCTGGGTTTATGCAGAAGCTCCTGGTACTTAGCAGAGTAGAGCAGCTATTGAAGAGCCCCTCTCGTATGTCTATGTCTAGGAGATTATCAAGGGCCCCCTCAGGTCTCAGGCTGTAACCTAAACATTAGTGATTAACTGTGCAAAGTTTGCTACTGCTAAAAGGTGATGATTTTCTTCATGCTATTGGCTAAACAGACTTTGGCATAAATGTCTCCAAATGCTAGAGTTCTAGGTACTTACCGTGATGCAGGAAAGGGTCTGGAAACCTGAGGGTCCTTATTGGAGCCACCAGTCTGTGCTGGGAGATCTTAGGTGTTATTTGGAAAGCATACTTTTAGTGCCTACTTTGTACCTAAGCTTGTGCTAAATGTTGAGGAGGAGTCCAGAGAAAGAGTAAAGTGGAGAATTTAAACTTTAAAATAATTATTATAAGTAATCCATCCTGCAAAACAATCTGTCCTCTGAGTTCTTGGAGGACAATCTTGATTTACTTTTCTTCCCTTCAATGAAGGTGAATTGTAAAATTTCTGCATATTACTGTGAGAATCCATAAATAAGAATAATTAAGAGTTTGGACTCTGGAGTTAAATTATCCCTGAATTTTATACTGTTTACTAACTATATAACTTTGGGCAAATTAACTACTCTCTTAATCCTCAGTTTCTTGATTAGTAAAATGAGAATGATAATAGTCCTAGATCGATTAGGATTTTTCTGAGTGTAAGAGTAATTCTAACTTACCCTGAATTTGGAATTAAGAAAATGTCTTGTTTCATACTACAAGACACCTAGAGCCAGGGTGGGCAAATCCAGCAGCTCAGTGATAGCATCAGGGACCCAAGTCTCCCTGTCCCTCTGCTCAGGCATCTTAAGCATGGGTGCCATGCTGAGGGTGAGTTCCCTGAGATCCTAAAGTGGCTGCCAGTGGTACTTGGGTCTGCGTGCCTCTTTGTTCTTGCCCAGCATGATAGAACAGGAGAATCAATTCCTCTGGCCCTGGCACATGTGTCCTTAACCTCAGTCTGTCTGAGCCATGGTCATGAAAATCTTTCAATTGAGTGACAGTGAGCAAAAGAATGCCGTACACCAATTTGCTTCTTAAGTAATCAGGCTGCCCCTGTAGGGTTAGGGAAGGGCTAGCTTCAGAACAAATCAGGATCTAATTAGGAAGTGGGATAGGAAATGGATGCTGGGAAGGCAGCCAGCAACAGCATCCACAGGTACCATGATAAGAGGTTTGTCAGGAATAGAGAGATGACACATGGAAGGTTCTGAGCATGTGCCTTAGCATGACCATAGATCACTCTAATAATAAGCAAAGGTGCAAACCCTTCTAGGAATTTCTTTCTGTCTCTGCTCCAAATAATAATCATTTTGCTCTTTTGAAACATGCCCCAGGCACAGCACCCTGCTGATGCTCTGGAGAAGTGGCAACTCAGTCACCTCCCCTCAGAGAAAAGGCTGCTCTTGCTGCAAACAACTCGCAGCTGCTTTATGGCTTTTCCATTTTATTGCAAGTGCATTCCCAGCAGTCTCTGAACACTGTATTCCAGTGTCCTAAACAAACGTCCTTGTCATGCCATGAGAGGCATTTGCATCTGAAGTGTCACCTGGGATCATAAAGTATGGCCAGGTCTGACTGCTAACCACCATGCATTGTGGCTTCTGGAAGCTCAGCTTCTCTGACAACCCTTGTGCTCAGGTTACCTTCAGGAGCTCTGCATGGTGCAAGCCAGCCGTGAGACCTAAAGAACCTAAGAACTCCATGCACAGAGGACAACTGCCCTCCTGGAGAACGTCACAGACTCTGGGCACTGGGGGGCCTTGTCAGAGTTCACTTCCATTTTCAGTTTTCAGGTAGAGATTGGGGCACTGGGTCAAGGAAAGTTAGGAAAGGGAGTTTCAGTCATGGGTTTAAAAAGGAAAGTAACAACCTGATCACCTCCCCCTAGAAGAAGGAGAAGAGTGAGCGATAGGACTAATAAGGAAAATGATAAACTGATGACACAGTCCTGACTTAGTGACTGTCAGATGCTACTGGGCATACTTTTTACCTGTTGGCACTGAGCAGACACCTCAGGCCAGTGGGGCTGCTGACAGTAGGGTGACACCGAGCAGGCCTGACCTGCAGCCATGTAATGCCCATGCTTCCATTGTATTTGTGTTTTTTTTGCGGGGGGGGGCAGGGGTCAATACACATATTATTATTGTATTATATGTATTTATATGCATAATGTATGTATTGACTATTGACTCCCCCTTCCAAAAAAAAAGAAAAAAAGGATACAGGAACAAGTTCATTGTTAGCTGGAGCCCTGAACCATGTCAAAAGCAGGAAAAGACCATTTTGAGGGATGCAACTACAGCCTCAAGCAGTTTCAGAAATGCAAACATAGACAGCGGCAGTGAGGGAAGGCAGGAACAGAAGACAAGGCAAGTCTCTGAGAGCCTGAGTTTGTTACGTTGGCTTGTTCATTTGATAAGAGGTGAACAGAGGGGACAGCAAATAAGACCTGGAGTAACTTCACTGGGTGCCAGAAGTAACCCTCCACCCAGTGGTACCATACAAAGGATGTGCTGGGAGTATCAAGGAATGCTCTCTCATCTTTCGCGGGGTATGGGCTGAAACTGACGGGCTTGGTTATGAAAGGTAAAGGGCAAGGTGCCCTAGCTGACTGCTTGTGAGAGGTTGTGGGAAAAGATAGCTTCCCTTGGCTGTATGATTCTATTCTGGGCAGAGTGCAGCTTGTTCCAGGAAAAGGGGCTTTGGAGCCTTGAAGAAGAGTTAGAAAGGGTCTAGCCCTGGACTCTCCATATCCATAGGCGCAGAGTAAATCTAACCCCATGCTCAAGCCTCCTAAGCCTGCCTCTGTCCTCACTGACACACCTTCAGCACCACCTTTGACCAGCTCTGTCAATCTCCTATGTGATTTCCTGCCAGGTGAGCATGTGTCCCTCAGCCCCTTGGACCTTTGAAGCTCCCAGGAGTGGCCTGTATTGTCCAGTCTTGGCACTGCCTTCTTCTCCCCTTGCTCCCTACACCCTCAGGTGTGGATTCATGCTCAGGTCCCCTGCCCTAAGCTGGAGAGAGACCACTGGGGACCCTCCAAGCTAATAATGTAACACCCCTGCAAGCTGATAGTCCTTAAATTTTTGCTGCACATTTTAGCAGTGAGGATAAGGGCAGGGAGGGGGAGGACCTGAGGAGGTACACACCCCACCAAAACCCTGGAGCCCTCAGATAACCCGAGTTCCCCTCCTAAGAAGGCAGTTAGGAGGCATCCATGATTCCTCAGCCCCACAACATCCCCCAGAGTTTATCAGATTGTCCTCTCTGAAAAAAGTTCTTGGGAATACGCTTTTCCCCCATTTCTGCTATTTTAATGTCTAGTACAGACTGGCACCCAAGGTACCATCTCTGTTCCAGCTTCCTTGAGAACGCAGGCTCGTAGGAAAGGAGGACTGAAGGCTGCAGCCTTGTGTAGTACAGGATCAGCACTTGGACCAGAGCATCCTCAGCTGGTGTTTGGCTGCAGGGCAGATGCCAAGGCCCTCACTGTCACTCTCTACCACCCTCTGTAGCTCCATCTCTTCAGACCTCAGGGCCCCAGGGGAAAGGTAGCCCTGGGACAGGCACCTTGCTCAGGGGCAGAGTGTTAGTCATAGCTCAGTTCCAGAACAAGCACTTTGTCAGCAAAAGGAAAGAAACAGAACTACAGTGTTGGGGAGAGGCAGGGCTTCCCTGGCCTGGGTAATGCATTTCTGGTCTCCATCAGGTGGCCTGGCCCAGCATCTGGCAGCAACGGACCAACCTGAACACTGAGATGGAAACCAACACAGAGTTATTTTCTTGTGCATCATTTGGGAGTCATTGAATAAACATGTATTGAGCACCTAGTCCCATGGCAAGCTTCATGCTGAGGACTAGGGATAGAAACACAAATATACAGTTTCTGCTTAAAGGACCTCAGATGCTGGTGGGGGAGATGGAGGACAAGAGAGCCAAATGTGACGCAGAGCAAGAGGTGCTGAGTAGGAATCATTTCAAGGGATTGTAGACAGAGGAGGAACCTCAAATCATCCCAAGGATAAGTGGTCAGGGAAATTTCTACAGCAGATGTCAATGTACTGAGTCTTTTAGAATAAGCCATTTGCTTTTATTTCTGTTGAACCTTAAAAACACATTAACAGAAAGATTTCCTCTAATGCAGGTTGTGAAAGAGACAGTGTTTGAAAGAGAAGGCACTTTGTATTTTAGACTCACACAACAACTGGAATGCTGTCACTCCTAGAATCTCAGAGTCCTGGTTGTAAAGCCTCTGAGGGATTTCTGGGTTACAGAACTCTGAGATAATCAGTGAATCAAAAAATAAATCTCCTATTTGCAAACCAGCATCATTGCCATGTGAAATCCTGTTTCTCTAAGCAGAAGTTTCTCACCCCCAGAAAATCATGTACATTATCTGAATTAAAATCTAAGGGAGAAATAAAAAACATACCTCATGCTGGGTTGATTTTCTCTAATGATCTGATCCATGCCGCTTTTTTGGGTGGGAAGTTATTACAACCATAAATATTTGTAATTCTTTCTCTGATGTATTATATTTGTTAACAGCGCCACAGGGTAGATGCTGCGCTTGAGAACATAAGCACATTGAATGGTGGGGACTAAAGAAAGAAAGCCAGGAAACGGAGGGGTTCTGTCCTTGAGCAGGCCTCCCCAGCAGTGGCTTCCCAGCAGTGGGTTCCCACAGCAGTGGGCTTCCGGGGTTCTTCCTGAGCACTGGAGTAGGGGGCTTTACGGAGGGCGTTCTGGACCACTGGTCAGGGAACTTGGATTCTAGTTCAGCCTCTGATGCCAGCTGGCATTGTGCTTTTGGACAGAACAGTTAGAAGTCTGGACCCGTCTCCTCTTCCACAGGTTATACAAGGGAAGATAAAATAAGTTAGTATGCAAAGAGATTTTATAAAGCAGTAAGCTCCACACATGCACATCTCAACAAAGGGTTTGTAAGCTAAGCAAGCTACCCACTTCCTCTTCAGCCTCATAGATAAAATGATTGGCATTCTTCACTTCTGTAATCCGCAAGGCTTTAGACTCAGACAAATATGGATTAAAATCCCAGTTCCATGATCTGGGGCAAGTTGCATAGCTCCTCTGATATTCAGTCTCTTCATCTGTTCAGTGAGGGGAATTACTATTCTACTAAAGATAAAGTATGTAATATATTTTATAAATGGTAGTCATTATTATGGTATGTCTTGGTTTCACTTTATCAGTTCAGATGCTTTCAGCTGCAATTAACAAAGTCTGACTCAACTGGAAGAAACAATGAGGAAAATTTATTTTCTCATTTAATAAGAAGTCTGGCTGTAGGACAGATAAGCAGCTTGATAACATCACTGAGGATCCAGTTTCCAGCATGGGCTTCTGTCCTGAGACTAAGCTCTTGCTTTTCTTCACAACATGGCTGCAACAGTTGCGAATGTCATATCCTCACCCAATAATGTTCAAAGGCTTCACCCTGAAGCAGATCCCTCCTGATGTCAATTGACTAAGAAATCCTCTACCAAAGAAGAATAGATCTCTGAGGGGCAGCTAGATAAAACCATCTGTCACACCTCTTCAAATAAGGCTCAAGGGTAGGGACATGATATTTTGTTGCCAGATCTCTTCTATACCACCTTGAAAAGTACTGTGGGCACCTTAAACCTTCACTGAAGTGTTACTACTAATTAAAAACAGTTGATGGAGGGCTCAGTTATTTAAAAATTGTCATGCTTAGCAATCTTGACCCTTTGTGTAGAAAGCTGTCCACTGTGGTCTAATTTCTAAAAGCAAGAAAGAATAGGAAACAATCTAATAATCAAGAAATAATTAAACAGTCCATGTTGTACCCCTCTAGTTCTAGAGTATTAAAAATAATTTTTAAGTGACATGTAAAAATGCTAATATATAATGTTAAGTGGGTAATATAAAGGATGCATATACACCACATTATTTCCACTAAGGAAAGCAAATATATGTAGAAAATAAAATTATGTATAGGGAAAAAGAATCTGCTATCAGAAAGTAGACCAAAATGTTGACAGCAATTTTTCTAGGATTGTGGAAACCTGATGAATTGGTTTTCCTTTTTCTTTCCCTATAATTTTCCAAAATTTGTATGATTCACATGTTTACTTTTTTAACAGGGAGAAAAATAATTTTTTAAAGCAATGGTGCTTAGCCTGATTGCAGAGAATGCCCTCTTGACATGAATCTGCATGTATATTTATATCTTTCTATTCCATCCAAATCAATGTGAAGAAGCAGCTCAGACTGTATGTGAAAATCCTTACGTCTCATGCATTTTTACCAGATTTGTTGAAACAAGTGAGAGATGAGGGAGAGGACTTCTTTGCACTGAGAACAGGTTATATAAACTAAAAGTGATATTGCCATGATGGTGACCACAGAAATGTGGGTTAGGGGACTCTTCAGGGATTGCAAATGTAACACAAAATTGTGGAAGATTTGGGAAACCACAGTTAATATCTATGACAAATTAAAGAGGATTGGCATGCATCCTTATTAAGAGAAGATTTGTTTTGATTACAAAGAGATTAAAGTTCTTTTTAAATTTTTATTTAAATTTTTGGTAGAGACAAGGTCTCACTATATTACTCAGGCTGGCCTTGAACTCCTGGACTCAAGAGATCTTCCCACATCAGCCTCCCAAAGTGTTGGGATTACAGGCATGAGCCACTGCACCTGGACAGAGATTAAAGTTCTAAGGATGCCTCCAAATCAAGAAGTTTGATGAGCTAGATCAGAAAGCATAAAATGTCCTTGAGCAGGCCTCCCCAGCAGTGACTTCCCAGCAGTGGGTTCCCACAGCAGTGGGCTTCCGGGGTTCTTCCTGAGCATAAAATGGAGTTGCAAGTTGCCAGAGGGCCAGTATGATGTGAAGGTGAATGATACAGTTCACCTCACCATGGATAGGTTGCTCATGAAGACCCCCTCCTTCCCCAAACACCTTGCCCATAAAGCAAGGATCAAAGCTTAAGAAGCCAAATGTATTGTAAAAAGTAAAAGTGGAGGTTCCTCTTCAAAGACTTTCCTCCCCATCTAATTAGGAATAAATAGTAACTTGTCTTAGAAGCAAAATTTATTCAAAGACCTGTGCTCCTAAATATTTGCCCTGGTATGTTTATACTGGTCCAAGCAAGCATTAGGTCATAGCCTGTTCCTCTTCTTTATTTTAAAAGTGTTTTTACCTTTCTCAGCATTCCACAAGTTACTTCCTCCTTCCTTTCTTCTCCTCTACCTTTGCCTCTTAAAAAGTTCTAAGTTGCTAGCCATTCGGGACAAATACAGAATGTGAAGTCCCGTTCCAGCCAATGGAAACCAGACACAGCAGTAGGGTGGACGCGTCAGGTTATAAATGACCCTGTCTCCTTTGTTCAGTGTACTCTCGTGGCAAAACTGCTGGTGAGTCTACCCTTTCTGCAGAAAGTAAAAATGGCCTTACTATCTAAATTAAATTTATGTTCAAGTGCTATTTCTTTACAGCACTGGGGAACAAGAATTTCAAACATATACTTTTCCTTTTCACACTCCTACCCCACAACAAAGTGTTAGAAACAAGACATACCATTTTAATGCATTATAATAAGTACTGGGTGTGTCAGAATTCCACACTCTTCTCTGCTGCCGGGTGCTGTGTCTGAAATGCCACCATTATGGCTTTACTCTTTTGAGCCTTGAATACTTCCCAGTTTCTTAAGTTTCCCCAAACCATACTTTCCTGCCAGGGGATAAATCTTCATGTCCTTGTCAGCAGCATCTCACAAGTTAATAGCTGACTACCAATAGGGAAGACTTCTGGATGTGGAGTTGGGGAGGCAAGACAGAGGGAAGAAGGGGCCCCAAAGGCAAGTTCTTCAAAGCTCTTATCTGTTGTATGCCTAAGGCTTCCAGAGATGATTGTTCCCATTAGTTGTTGCAGTCATCTGAAGTTGTACACTACCTACGTCTTTCATAGAACCAAGGGAAAAAGAACCTAGAATGGGCTGGGCATTTCCCATCCATAATACTGTTTCAGCCTCACTTTTCCAAACTGAATTTGGAGGTTTTCACATTAACACATGGCGTATTTAATATTCAAGGCTATGGTTTATTTTTCCATCTCAGATTCCTCCCAAAGATTCAAGAACCTGAGAGACAGCATTCTCCAAAAGCTACCACCCTTTTTGTCCTGCTATCTCCTGAAAGCCATGACATTGTGCTGATGATGAAGGACCCAAGGAATAAAAGCTTAGGGTCGGACTGTAATCTACAGCTTTCTTTTTGCTCCCACATTTCCAGACAAAACTCTCTCACTGACCTGTGTAATTCGGTGTGACATTTTCCAAAAGTGCCCTCTATAACTTTACTCGCTTTAGACATCTCTTTTAAGAGTGAAAGGTCGACTTTTTGGATGTGAAATATTTTATATCTGACCTTTTATCCATCATTGCTAAGATTAATACCAACTGTTTGCCCTGAAGAATAACTGAAAAAAAGCAATCAAATAAGATTATCTATTACATAGAAAAAAATAAAACGTCATTAAAGCAATTGTGTATGTAGCTCTTGGCAAACAGGTCAGTATCATTAAAACAATGCTGGAAAGAAGACAGAATACAAAGAGACAAGACTAACCCACAGAAACAGACGCACACATGCACATATACACATGCGCTGAATGAGCCAGGGTTAATTCTTGAGGGAAAAACAGAATCATTAGAATTGAAGCTAGGCTTACTGGTACCCAATCAAAATCTGATGCTCAACTGTGCACTAAAGCAACAAATGCTCTTATTCCTCTTCACAACATAGTCATTACCCTGTACTCCAGAAGGACAATAACAGGTAGAATAACCCTAAACACTCACAACCTGCCTCTGTTGCCCTAGCAACATGCATGGCTTATGAAGCACTTTCATGCATGAGAAGGACCCCAAAGGTGGCTTGTACCTTGATAGGATTAGTGTTCTGCTGGGCTCAGGTTAGGAATGTAGGTCTCTTGAAGACCACTAGCCAGACCTTCCTCATATCTCTCCTCAAACTTTAGAAAGGGAATTGGGGAAAACCTCTCAACATGCTACCTAGTATACTCAAAAGAATGTGCACTTTGGAGTCACACAGCACTCCTTTCAAGTGTTGGCTCCACTGACAAACAGCTGTGTGATCTGGGCAAGTCAACCATCATGAACCTCAGATTCCTCATCTGTCAAGTGAATGTAACTGCAAAGCCTACCTCTTAGTGTTTTTGTGGGGATTAAGTGAAATGAGTACCATGCACTTGATAAGTGTCAGTTTTCTTGCCACTCATCTTTAAAATACTGTAGGATCTGAATAATTCAGTGTAGCATAATTTCTAACTAGTTGTCAGATATACTTAGCGATAGGTACATTTGTTTAATGAAAATGTACTTAGAAACCTAATATTAAATTAGCCAAAAGCTGAGCTGTGGGGTTGGGAAACCTGGAGCCCTAGCACCTCAGGCCAGTTTTCCTTCAATCCCAGCCCTCTGAGGGCATCCCAGAAGCCCATGGGAATCACAAGAAGATGGTTTGTTAGTTGTTCTGGATTATCCTGATGCTTCCTTTCACTTGCATTGGTCTTGGTACTGATTTAACTTCTTCTGAAGGGAACTATGTATCTTCTCCAGCCACAGACTAGGAAGTTATGGGAGCTGGACTCTGCTCCCAACCAAACCAGGGCAGACAGACACTTTCAGGCATCTTGCAAAGTAAATAATGTGTCTTTTTCTTTTTAATCTTTCCCGAAGTTCTCAGAGAAGGACCACACACCACGATAATCAGCAGAGAGACCAACTCCTTAAGCTGTCTTGTTCATTTTTCAAAACCCAGGGCAGACTCACCCTCCACACAGAATGTTACTAAGCTGCTGGGTCCACACAGACTTCTTCCTTTAGTGTCCACCTCATTGAATTGTAAAACATTTGGGATTTTAGGGATCGTATGTGTTAGCTATCTTCCTATGGTTCCCACTCCTCTTTACCCTCGAGTTTTCCTAAGCTAGAAGCCCTAGGGGAGCTCAATACAAACACGATGGAAAGAAGAGAGCTGAGGCCTTCCCTCACAATACAATTCTGTATACTGCTTGTAGGCAAGGCCGCTCTGTTGAAACATGAGATATGGAGAATCCTGATGAGAACCAATCTAGTAGAATGGTAAAGACAGTGGATCATGGAGACAGTCTAGATGTGAACCCTGGCTCTATCACTGAGTAACTCTGGTCCAGTTACTTAACTTCTCCCTGCCTCAGTTTCCTAACATTTAAAATAAAAATGATAGTAGCAGTACTTTTCTCAGATAGTCATTGTGAGCATTAATATGATGGAAAGGCTTTAAACAGTACCTGGCATGCAGTATGCATTCAGTAAACTTCTCCTTGACACTTTACTCCGCATTTTCTAATGATGTGAGTTATTATGAGGTTGTCAAAAATAAAAACAAAAGCACTGAACTCAGAGTTAGTATCCAAATTGTAGTCTTGGTTTCTCTATCAATTTGATGTATGACTTTAAGCAAGTTACTTTCTCTTTTGGGACTCAGTTTTCCCCCATTCAGTTCATCATTTGGCTGGAATAGATGATCTGAAAGACTTCCTGTTGGCCGGGCATGGTGGCTTATGCCTGTAATCCCAGCACTTTGGGAAGCTGAGATGGGTGGCTCACCTGAGGTCGGGAGTTTGAGACCAGCCTGGCCAACATGGCAAAACCCCATCTCTACTGAAAATACAAAAAAGTTAGCTGGGCATGGTGGCACATGCCTGTAATCCCACCTACTCAGGAAGGTGAGGCAGGAGAATCAATTGCCTGAACCTGGAGGTTGCAGTGAGGCAAGATCACGCCACTGCGCTCCATCCTGGGTGACAGATTGAGACTGTCTCCTAAATAAATAAATATAGATGTCTTCTGTATCTTTTGACTTTACGACTTTGTGTTTGATGGGGCAGAAATGGCTGATTCTAGGGTCAGCTGCCTGGCCTCCTCCCCATGTCTGCTTCCTGTGCTGTGTACCAGGCATTCACAGAACAAACTCTAACCCTCTAGTGAAAGGATTGAGATATGGCTTATAAATGCATGTGACACATCTTGAATTAAAAAAAAAAATTCATCCTAACTTTATAAAAAATCAAACTCTTTTCTTTGATTTTATAGGCATAAGCACTTTAGGTCTATTTATGGGGTAAAGATCCAAGCTCTGATCAATGGTCTCTCATCTGGCTTCCTGTATTCATGGCATGGCCCCAGCAAAACAGGCATGGGGATCTATGGCCAGGTGCCACTAAAATATAAATGTCCCTTCATTTCTAATGGATGCTGAATAATGCAGCTTATATCATTAGGCCAGTCATAAAATATTAAAAGTTAAGTAATTCAATGTTACTCAAGAGCCAGGGCCAAGTTGGTGCCTTTTTCTTCCCCTGTTCAGGGAGGAATGGCCCTGAGTGCCCAGCCTGGCCCCTGAGAACTGGCAGGATGTGATGCCAGCACCTTTATTGTTTAGGGCTGGAAGTTGTCCTTCCTAGGGTTCTATGATGCTGGCTGCTTCAGGGGAATTAATGGCAGAGTGCCAAGCCTTCAAGCAACAGCTTTGGCTTCTCCTGGAAGAGAGACATACTTAGGGGCTGCTACTCTTCCCTAACTCTTTGGGAAGGGAATCTTCAGAGATTCCCAGTGTCTGATTTGGCAAGTAGATAGGCTGTGGCAGATACTTGTCGTGCTCCATGTCATGACTCTTCAACCCGCCTGATTTCAGTGCAGTGATGATAGGTAAATCCACATTGTCAGCATCTCCACATCTTTTTGAGTTCACTCAGCTCACATTCAGGTGCTGCCCGGAAGTGTGGGAAAGTTATTGCTCCTGTTGGTGGTTCCCAACTAATGAGGGGTGGTCAACAAGTGTCCCAGCCACCTGTCTTTTAAAGGTATAATTTTGATATGCATTTTATGTGTTTATTCAAAGGATCTCTGGCAGTACTAAACCCCAGTTTGCCCATAGCAATAACTAGCCCATTTCTGCACCTTTCAATGCTTCCTTGTCTTGTTTTTCTTGCCCTCTCACTCTGGCTTCCTGAGGTCACCTCCCAAGTAAATTACTTCATCCAAGTACTAGTCTCAGGCTCTGCTTACAGGGGAACCCACACCAAGATAAAGGTTCACCATATGGAAGGATTTCTGGAAGGAGAAGTGAACTTTGGAAGCTTGAGGCCTGACAAAAAAGCCAAATAGCTCTAAAATTCGGATTCTGTGAAAATAGCTGAGCTTGAGTTGTACCACTTGTTCTGTGCACATCTAACCTGGACTTGCAAGGTGAGAGCATTGTACCCAGTTGTGTAAGTTGGGCATTGTTCGTAGGCATCTAACCCTAGGGTTTAAAATCAGGCACTTGCTCTGCTCACCAGGTGTATTAATCAGGGTTCTCCAGAGGGACAGAATCAATAGGCTATATCTATATAGAAAAGGGAATTTATTAGGGAGAATTGACTCACACGAGTATAAGACAAAGTCCCATGATAGGTCATCTGCAAGCTGGGGAAAGACAGAAGTTGGTAGCATGGCTCAGTCCATCTCCAAAAGCCTCACAACCAAGGAAGCCAACAGTGCAGCCCTCAGTCTGAGGCTGAAGTACTGAGAGCCCCCAGGAGGTTGCTGATGCAAGTCCCAGAGTCCAAAGTCTGAAGAATCTGGAGTCTGAGTCCAAGGGCAGAAGGACAGGAAGCAAGCATCTGGCACGGGAAGAGAGAGAAAGAGGACTCGGCACGCTGCTCATCTCTCCTCTTCCACCTGCTTTTCTACCTGGGCTGGCAGCTGATCAGATGGTGCCTACCCACAATGATGGTGGGGCTTCCTTGCACAGTCCACTGATTCACATGTCTGAGTCCTCTGAAAATACCCTCTCAGACATATTCAGAAACAACACCAGCCATCTAGGCATCCCCTCAATCTAGTCAAGTTGACATCTGATATTAACCATCACACCAGGCCACACCCTGAAGTGCCAGGCTGCATCTACCAAAACAAAAGACTCCTTTTCCTAACACAAAAGTATTGATCATTCCCTAGGCTGCATGGCTTCAGGTTGACATCTTCACCAAGGATATCTGGACATCTTTTTCCAGTTCACACAAAGGCATTTTATAGGCTTGTTGTGGTCCTCAGTCACCTGGACTTCTGCCCTATGTCTGATGGCTTCTATTTATAAACCTAACCCTGTAACCAAGGCAGTTAGTCTCTCTTCCACATCCCCTGTGACATTTTCATTTTGGCATCTGCCTTTGGCTAATGCTGACTCCTTTACTCATTCTTCTTCCTGTAAGGTGCTTGTTTGCCAGTGCTTGTTCATTAAGTCTCCACTATTTTTAGTAAGCTTCCAAGCTCACTATGTCTGTTCCCTCCAAACCACTACCGTGCTTATTAGATTCCATCCATCCATTCATTTGTATGTTTATTCTTCAAGAATATTTTCAGTGTTTTCCAATAATATGCTTGGCTCTGGGTTTGCAGACATGAATCAATTCAATCCCTGTTCTAGTGGAAAAATAAAACAAGCAGAGAGATAAAGAACAGTGATAGAGGGAAGCACAGGGGCTCTGGGAGCCGGGGCAGGGTCCCTCTATCAGCCCAGGGGGCCAGTGTCAACCTTGTGGAGGCAGTGACAGATGATTACCTGAGCTGTCTTAACACTGGGTAAAGAGGGAGGGGAGGAGATGTGGAGGACAAACCAAGAGAGAACAGCAGGTTCAAATATACGAGGACAAGAAATGCACACAGAAGACTCTGAGCTGTTTAATGTTCTTGCGTTATCAAACTGGAGGCAGGAAAAAAGAGATGAAGCTGGGGGAGGGGTGAGCAAGGTCCTATCCTGGAGGAAAAGCCTATTAAGATGCTTATACTCAATGCTGCAAGCAGCAGGAAGACATGCCAGCTGTTCAGCAAGGGCTTTGTTCTTGCTTATCATTGGCAAATGGTAGAAATTTCAATAATTTTTTCAACATTTACCTGTTTTTTTATATGGATTGCTATTTGTTTTATTGGGCTTGGATGTACACTTGTCTGTAATGAGTGGACGAGAAATGTTGTGAATATACTTAGTCTTTTAAACCTGGAAGGTGCTGAGCAAATGAGGAAGTTCAGAGCCTATGAATAACTCTGTCTACCCCCTTCCTGTCACACAGTGTATGCTTGTTTTTTCTTTTCTTTTCTGGCAAAAAAAAAAAAAAAATTATAGGAAGGATCCCTTTGCCCTTCCGACAGAGATAGGTAGGAGACAAGGAGGAGTAAGAATAGGAGAGTCAGTTAATGACTTGGCAGTAGGCTGGGTGGAGGACCTCATCCCCTGTTCATTTCCTCTAGATCTTAGCAGAACCTTTGAAAATTAAAGAAGGCTCAGCTGAGCAGAAAGAGTTTGGGTCTTAGTGTCTTACTGACCTGTATTCAAAGCCAGGTTTAGGCTTAGGCAAGTTTTCAAATTACTCTGAATCTCAAATCTCCTTTGCAAGGGAGTCCATGATCCTGCACTGGGGTGTTAAGGCCATTAAAAGAGACAGTACAGCTGTAAGTACCTGGCCCAGAGCTTGACTGAGTAGGACCCCAGGTGGAGCTCACCGAATGTTGGATTGCTCCTCTCCTGCCTCTCCTTTCGGCGTCACTTCTCTCTGCCTCTCTTTCTGTAAGTGCACGAGCTTGTTGCCAAGGCATATCAGCATCATCCACCTCCTTCATCTCTCTGCAGATTAATCCACTTCCATGCTACCACCAGTGAGGACTTAACTGAATCAGAGATCTGATTATGCACTTCTTTTGCCAATAATTCGCCCTGTGACTTTTGGCCGGTCACATGTGCTGTCTGGGTCTTAGCGTGTCTCTCTGTAAAAGGGATGAGTGGACCAGATTATCTCTGAGAACCCCAAATCTAACATGATAGGCTTGTATAATTCCATGGCTCTCCACTCTAGAAAATAAAGCCCAAGGCCTTATCACATCATGTAAGCTTTCCCAGGACCCCTGTGCCCATGGTCTGACTACAGTTTTACCCCTTGTTTCCTCTTTTCCACTATTTAGTCCCCTTCCTCCTCCCCTCAGTAGAATTCTCTGCTACTACCTTGGTTTCCCGCCACATTAGGCATTTCATCATCATTTATGCCAACTTTCATCATAGAAACTAACAGTATTAGAGTGGAGACTGTGTGTGTGTGTGTGTGTGTGTGTGTGTGTGTATCTGAATTAATTTAAAATTATTGTGAGTAGGCATTACTGAGGGAAACACAAAGAAAGCCTTAACTTATTGTCATAAAATAGGTTGGTGAGTTAATTTGAACAGATTCTATAGAAAGTTGTTAGGGGTGAAACACTGACCCCAGAAATATTTGCAGCTCCATATTCAGTCCTCTGTTGATACTTTTATGAGCAGATCAGATAAGGGCTGGAGAAACGTGAAAAAAAATTGCACATGGATTTTATGTCTGGATGATATGTCACTTTGATCAAGGAGAGGCAGACTGTTGTTATGGAAAGAGCAAGAGAAGAAGGCGGGGGGTAGAAGCCTCATTTTGACTTTATCTTAGCCTTCCATGCGACCTTGGATATAGCTGCTTAACTTCTTGGGCCTCAGTTTCCTCATCTACAAAATGAAAATGCTCCTATTTCTGGAGGGGTGTCACAAATTGATGGAGATAGTACATATAAAGGTACATCAAGAAAAGCATCCAAATGCTACCCTAGAGGGAGGAAGTGTTATCATGAAGTCATTGCTTATCATCCATTACAGAAAAGCTTTCTAGATAAGAAAAAACAGTCACTACTCCAGCCACTGAGAAATGACACATTCCCATGGCTGTGACCTGAGTAAATGGAGGACTTGTGGCAGCACTCAAGAATAAAAATGAAAGAACAGTGTTGGTGGATTCATTCGTCACTGCCCAGCTGAAAGCTTCTGCTCTGTATTACTAGTACATTTGCTTTTCTGTGAATAGTGAGCACACAATATTTGCTAAAGAACTGCTCTGTGCCAGGCCCTGGACTGGACTGTGGAGTCACAGATGGAAGGACAGAGTCCCCACCTTACAGCACCTTATGAGGAGCCACATGAGGAGGCCCATCAACAAAAATAATTTCAATATGTTCTGCTAAATGACAGAATGAAGGGACATTCCTCCATGTGAAGCTGAAAGAAGGGTCACTAATTTATCCCAGAGCAATCAAGAAAGCTTCACAGAGGAGGGGGGCAACAGAAGTGGAGCGGAAACAGAAGGTGGCAGATAAGATGAGCCTTGGAGTTTGAGCTGAATGTCAACAGGCCGAAGTTGGAAGGAAGGTGTGGGAGTCAATGGGCAATCAGGCTTGAAGCCAGTCCAGCAATCTGGGAAGCTGACCCTGGAAATCAACCTTATATTTACCCCCAGAACCTCAGGAATGTGCGGTCATCGTTACCATTTGTTGCTCCCTCTTGGACAGGCAAACACAGAGCCTTGTCTCCAGGGGAGCTGGCTGAGTCCAGGAGGGTATAAATCTCCATAGAGGAATGGCAAAGGGGGGCTTTTAAGGGAGCGACTGGATCCTTACCCTGGCCAGACATTTCTTTGGCTGAAGGTTGCCTTGGTGGGGCCTCAAAAGCTGGAGAATCTTCACCCTCTACCTGATAAAGGCTGCTGCATCTCCAGCTCTGTGAGTAGTAAGTTGGACCCTGGTCTTGATGAAAATCCAAGCATGGGATGGGCAGCCTGCCTTGGCCATCCAGGCCCTTTGGACCTGGTGACCCATTTGGTGGCAGGAAGTGGAGTCAAGGCACAAAATTACCCATTTAAGAATCGTGTACTATATGGTGGTAGTAGTTAAAGAAATATAAATTTCGGTACCACCTTCTATTCTTAAAAATAGTTGATTATGGCAGGCAGCAGGTAGGGAAGTTATTGAGGAAACTCAGAGATGTGTGCATTTGCTCAGAAGATGTGAAAGGCCAAAAAAAAAAAAGCCCCACTGACCCTGGAAGTGGCTATTATCTGACCTGAGTCAAAAGGCACAGTGCAGCCCCCAGTTCTGGGGCCCTCCCCTCCTCCACAGGACCTGGGTCTGCAATATCCTAAGACATAAAAGACAGCTAGGGTTTCAAAGAGAGTTGAAGACAGAAGTCAGATTTCAAGCCTTGGAGACTACATTTCTCACTGATTACTATTATTTGTAATAAAGACAAGGGAGAATACAAGTACTTACAAAGATCTTTCCAAGTATCCGCTGGTTCCTGCGATGCTAAAATTAATTCAATCATACACCTGTAATTTTCGAGCCATGGGCTTAAGGAAGTCAATCCTTCAGAGAGGAGAGGAAGAAATGAACTAACAAAAGCCTTGAATGTGGCTGTGTGCATGTGTATGGCAGTGGAGAGGTGGAGTGTCCCTAATGGCCTTCTTTCATCTCATCTGCACTGCTGTTAGGATCCCTCCCGTCCCATAAAACTGGGGCTCCAAGCCACACCAAGTCTAGGTTAAACTAGACACCAGAAAATTGCTCTTTAGTCTTTTGTAGTGTCATGGTTGGGGCTTTGGAATCACTTGAAAAACTAGGATGAAGGAGCCGATTACTGCTCTGTTGATTACTGGTAAATCTGTTGTCAATTGGCAGTTATTTGTGGGTCACATACTGGTGACTCAGGTTATTGATGAATGAGTTATTGATGATCAGTACTAGCTACCATGGAATGCTGACTGTGTGTTGGGCACCGTGAAGGCATTTTAAACATTTTATTTCATGTAATCCTTATAGTAGCCATATAGAACTGATATTCATTTCTCCATTACACACAGGTGGAAACCAAGCTCACAAAGCAGCTCTGTAGTAGAGACAGGATTTAAACTCAGGTGGAACAACCAATTACTCAGAATTTCTGGAGCCCAGGGCAACAGAGAAGGAGATGAGGCTGGACTATGGTTAAGGAGGAATCATGAAGGATCTTGAGCACCCTTCTAGGGGTCTCAGAGTTTCTCATTCCTGGTTTTTCAGGTTCAGAGAATCTCCTGAGGTGTGCAAGCCCCAAGGCATGGCAGAAGTCTCTCACTGTTTAGCACCCAGATTCTGGGGCTCCGTCTGTCATAGAGACCCCACCTAGCCAGTGTGGGGTTGGGAACTTACCCTCTGCCAAGCACACAGACACCCCAGCTTTCATCAGCCTGTCAGAGCTGGCATAGACTTGCCAAGACTTTGTTGAAAACCAACTGCTTTCAATGTAATAAAAGCCAAAGTCCTGGAGGGGAGAGCTTTTGTATCTTTTTTCATGGAACCATTTGCTGCTGCTCTGTGGATTGTGCTGCAGAGAACTGGTTGCCAAAGGCTTTTTGGCATTCACTGGACAATGGGCTAACGGGGCTGCGTCACAGCTTCACAGGTGAGGGAGGGGCTAATGGTTCTCATTGTCCTTATGCTCCCATCCCGCCCCACCTTCCCCACACCACCAATAATTCAAGAAGATGAACAGGTGAGGGGAGAACTGAGCAGCTGTTTCCTCTCCATCAGTAGCAATTCTTCAGTCTCTGGAGGGCCGCTGCATCACTTGATGCTCAGCAGGCTGGATTACAGGATCCAGATTTCAGGAATGTGGGGCTTACTTCTTGGGAGCTGTCACTCAGCCTTTCTAATTCTAGAGCCTCAGTAACTGCCCATTCTAGGTTGTTGTATATATTTATTTCTTGGATCCGTTGAAACAAACACAAACTGGTTAGCTTCCACTACAGAAATTCATTGGCTCTTGAGCCTGGAAGTCCAAGATCAATGTGTTGTCACATTTAGTTCCTTCTGAGGGCTGTGCAAAAGGATCTGTTCCAGGCCTCTCCCTTAGCTTCTTATAGCCCCAGACATTCCTTGGCTTGTCAATGGTATTCTCCCTGTGTCTTTATATTGTCTTCCTTCTTTACATTCTGTCCCTTTACATTGTGTCCAAATCTCCTCTTCTTTTAAGGACACCAGTTATATTGGAATAGGGCCCACCCCAATGACCGTATTTCTACTTAATCACCTGCAAAGACCCTATTTTCAAATAACATTACATTCACAGGTACCAGGGAGTTAGGATTTCTTTCAGGGGACACAGTGCAACACATGACAGTTAAGATGCTGCCTTCATGCCTGAATCCGCATGGGAGGAAGTAGGTATTGGTAGGTGTCACAGCTAATGGAGATACCACCAGGTCATGGGGCTGGCCTTGCCTTCAGTAGGATTTCTTGAGCCCCAGATTAGGTTCTCAACTAAAGCATCTCTGCAGGGGTGTCATGGAAACTGAGACTCCACCAGCTGATTATTTAATCAGCAATGCCGCCTTCAGAAGTCTTTGGATACTAATTGAGCCCTTACTCATGGGCTAGAATTAGTTTATGGGGTTTATATGTATTAACTGATTTAACCCTTATAACTTCCACATGGGGCAGAGACTAGCATGATGCCCAACTTACTAAGAGAGCAACTCTCTTGTCTGGAGTCATGGAGCTAGGGAGTGATAGAGCTGGGGGGAAACAAAGGCACTCTGGATCCAGGACCCAAGCTCTTGATCTTAAATTATTGAAAATGCTAATTTCTAGGCTTTTTCCCTCAGAGTATATCTGAGTTGGGCCCAGGAATCTGAAGTTTAAGAGCACTTTCTGATGCAGAAGGTCATTGACCTTTGGGCCCTGGGACAGCACCAGCACCCTGGTTTTCTTTCTCTGACTGATCTCTCTCTCTCTCTTTCTCTTTGTGCTCCCCTCTCCTTTAAGAAACTTAGTGATAGATCTCCATCTGCATCCACTCCACTTTCTGCTCCGTACTGCAGCCAGTGAAATCTATTTGAAATGCAAGTTTAGGGTCATAAGTCTGTCTGTGATGCCGTAGCTCTTAGAATAAAATCTGAATCTATAATATCACCACAAGGGCTTCTGTAAGTCGACCCTGCTTATGCCTGGGTTCAAGTCTCAGCTCTATCAATGCTCTACAGCCAGTGTTTTTAGCCCTCGGAGCCTCATCTATAAAGGAAGAGTAATGCCATCTTTCCCACAAGGGTGGCAGAAGGAATGAAATTGGGAAATACACATAAAATGTCCAGTCCCCCCCCGGCCTCAGTAGTGCTCAGTGAACGGTGCACTCAGAATTGTCAGGTGTTGTGTGGCACTAAGCTTTTCAGAGAGCTCTTATTCGTGGGGACCCTGTGAGATCGTCTGATAACTTTACTGCATGGGCCTGGTCACTAGTTTGCACAAGGCTTTTCCTGCGTGAGGCCTAGTGGAACACACATCTTGGAGACCAGAAGGGGAAGTGTTGGTGGTCCTTCTTCCAGACCTGAAGATGCTCAGTGAGCAGGTGCAGCACCCTCCTTGCCCCCTTATAGCCTGGCTAGCTGCTACCTTAATCCAAAATGCACTGAGTTTATCTGTGTTTGTAGACACCGGGGTGGGCTTTATGGGCTGTTATCTAATGAGCTGGGGAGCACAGATGAGTATTCCCGCCGCCTGACACAGACCCACATAGGCTGCTCCACTAGGAGGGAGTAGGAATGTGTCATGCTGCGCAGTGGCTCACCTGGGTGAAGCTGCCGTGTGCTGGCAGACGTGACCCACAGCCACACCATCTGCTCCTTGGATGCTGGCTCATGTGTGGGCTCAAGGTGGACAGTCCAGGTTTAAGAATGGTTCTCAGAACGTTGGTACCTTGTCTGTACCATAAAGGGTTAGATCAAAGGTTCTCAGGGAAATTTTTTCCATTTGGACTATTTGTGCTTTTTTGAAATTTCAAGAATCCTTCCCCCATGACCAGTGTTCTGTGTGGAGGGTAGAAGAATGCTAGCAGACTGATTCTCTCTCTCTCTCTCTCTTCCCCACCTCCTTTCTCCAAGGAAATGGTATTTAGACCAGAAGAGGCCCTTTGGAATTATAGTGAGATTTGTGAAGAGTAATTACAGGGATTTAATTTGCTAATCACTTACTCTTAGAATCTCAAAGCTAGAAGGGCCCTTCCATCATAGTGGTTTTCAAATCTGACTGTGCATCCATGTCACCTGGGGAGCTTAAAAAGCTACCAATTTCCAGGCCATAAACTCGACCTACTAAATGAGATCCCTGGGGCTGAGAACCAGGAATCTTTGCATCCAACCTGGTGGTGTGCTACCTCAGAACCATGGGGGCCTTGAAACAGAGGCTTAGATGTTGTGTCCTTAGCGAAATTACATTCGCCCTGTGGTTCCCCAAGGTACACATAGAGCCACAGATACCACTCAAATACTCAAACTATGCAAAAACCATTACACATGACATGGTTAATGAACACTGTTATAGTGGCCGAACTGTGCTTAGTCATATACCCATTTGTTCTTAGTGTTCTTATCTCTAGAAGGTTGACTTAGTCCAAGCAACAACACTGCCTTATGCAGGAAAAAGAGCCCAGGTTTTAGAATTGGATGTGGGTCCTGACACTGGCTCCACCACACACTAAGTGTTATTTGGATGTGTGACTTTGGGCAAGTCACAGATATCCCTCAGAGCCCCAGTTTTCTCTCCTGAAAATGAGCGCATGATCTTGCAGGGTTTCCATGAGATTTGAAAGAGATGGTACTTGTGAAGGGAATGGCATATAATATAATGGTACAAGTCTAGGCTCCTCTCCCTCCCCTTCTCCTATAGGCTGCATGTATCCTTTATAATATTGTTTAAACTAGTCCTTTCCTAGCAGATGTCCTCCTACAATATGCATTTTATCTTAGCCCAGGCTAATTTGTAAAGTACGCCTAAGTTTAAGATGTTCTAATGTACTTCGTACATATACATCACCTTCCCCTGGTTATGGAATGTGATAGTAATGTATGCCGGCCAGCTTTGCAAATGAAGGCCAGAGTGGGAATGAAAAGGATTAAAAAACATAAGTGTAGAATAACCTTTATCTGGGTTAAAAAATACAAATAATCTGTATACCCATAGAATGATTGTATATGCAAAGAGAGGGCTATAAACCATGTTGTTAACAGTAGTTATGCCTGGAAGACACAATTATGAATGATTTTTCCTTTCCTTTTGTTGTTTAATAGACTTTGTTTTTTTAGAGCTGTTTCAGATTGACATAAAAATTTCAAATGATGGTACAGAGAGTTATCATAAACCCTACTCCCAGTGTACCCTATTATTAACATCTTATACTGATGTGGTACATTCGATATAATTAATGAGCTGATATTTATACGTTATTGATAGCTGTAGTCAGCACCTCATTCAGATTTCCTAACTTTTTACCTAATGTCCTTTTTCTGATCCAGGGCCTCATTCAGGACAGCACATTCCATTTAGCTGTCACGTCTTCTTAGACTCCTGTTGGCAGTGATAATTTCTCAGGCCTCCTTGTTTTTGATGACTTTGATAGTTTTGAAGTATACTGGTCAGGTATTTCGAAGAATGCCCCTCAACTGGGACTTGCCTCATGACTTTTTCATGATTAGATGAGGTTATGGGTTTTGAGGAGGAAGACCACAGTGGTAAGTGCCATTTTCATCACATTATATCAAGGTACTTGACTTACCACTGTCGACGTTGACCTTGACCACCTGGTTGAGGTAGTGTTTGTTAGATTTCTCCGGCATAAAATTACTCTCCCTGACCCTTTTCTTCCATGTGATACTTTTATTTCCTTTTTATTGCTGCATATTATCTAAGGTCCCTTTTTCCCCCAGTGAGCATAATTACTTGTATAATCAAAGAGAAAGGAGCTCTTTTTATTTTGGAAAACATTGACAGTCTCTTTAGACTTTCATCCTTTCCTTATATTTTGTCTTGGCATGGTTTTCAACACTATTGCACAGTCTTCCTCTAGAAGTCTCAGCTGCGAATTTGGCCACTGGCCTTGATTCCTGCTAAGTGTGCCTCTGACCTCGTCCCCATGCTGCCTGCCTTGCAGAGGGTGTATCCGGCAGAGCAACTTCCAATAGTGTCGATGGTGTCAGAATGAGCAGGCCCATAAATCAGCCAGGGAGGCTGCACCCTCACTGTAAAAGTGAAGGGGACTTTCAGCCGCATTTTCTTCTTGCTGTTGAAAGTAAACAGGGCATAAATCTTGCTGAAGAAGAAGGTTTCTATCCAGCCACCTGCAAACACCCCAGCAGTTTGGAGGACAGTCGGCTTACACCTTCTTCCACTCAAAACACAGCACCCAGCTCAGGACCAGGCACACTGTGTTCAAGTATTGCTGGTAGTGGGCCCCCGGGGGCCCCACACCTCCAGTGGCTTTTTGTCAAAGAAGTTAGTCTGCGATACATTGAAATTAGATAGCTTTTACTACAGTTACAATGTCCTGGCCACATGCAGCAGGCACTGTCCTAAAATTTACTATCCTTAGTGAATATATATTTTATATGTGTATATATATAATATTTTTTCAAGAGAAGCAGTCCTCCAGAGTGAGTCTGACAGCAGGTGGTTAATTGCTCTGTTTTAAAGGGAGCCAGGTGTGGAAGGCAAGGTTCAGTGAGGACATTGTGAGGGCTGGGCACCCTGGGGTAGACAACCTGCTTCACTTATTTAACATCTGAAAGAGAAGAAAAAGAGTCTTCAGTTATACCTTGTCATACATAGCCTTGTCTTCCTGGCCCAGGTAGCATTCCTTTGTGAAGATGGAAGATTCTTACCAAGTTGCCCAGCTATGAGTAGTTACTATCTTCTAAAGCAGACTCTCTCAACCTCGAACTATTGACATTACGGACTGGGTAATTATTTGTTATCCAGGGACCGTCCTGTGTATTGCAAGATGTTTAGCAGCACCCCGGCCCCTGCCCACTAGATGACAATAGCACCACTCCCTTAAGTTGTGACACTGAAAAATGTATCCAGATTGCCAAATGTCCCTTGGGGGACAAAATCGCTCTCACTTGAGAACCACTTTTCTAAAGGGATGAGTATCTTTCTAGGTCCTGTACAGTGAAACATATCTGTACTTCTTTCATATGCTTTTGTTTCTGCTTGGGGTCTGGAAGATACACTTCCAGCTTGTGTAGGGCAGATGACTTGCTCACCTTTCACTGCAGAGAGCACAAAGGAAGACTAGGGAGACAGCCCCCTCTCATGTTCCTATTCCAGTTATCTATTGCCATGTAACAACGCATAATGAGAGAAAGCAATGATCATTTCTGGATTTTGTGGACTTTAGAAGAAACACAGCAGGGATGATTTGCCTCTGCTCCTGATGTCTGGGGTCCTCACTAGGAAGACACAAAGGCTAGGGGTAACCTGAAACCAGGAACTGGAATTGTCCAAAGCTGTCTCCATGCACAGGCCCAGGAGTTGATACTGGCTGTCATCTGGAACAAAGCTGGGACTGTGGCCAGAACATCTTGCAGCCTCTGCATGTGGTTTGGGCTTCCACAGAACATGGCAGCCTCAGGGCACTCAGATGCTTACATGGTGTCTCAGGGCCCCAAAGGCTAGTATCACAAGAGAACCAGGTGGAAACTATGTTGCCTTTTATGGCCAAGGCTTAGATCTCATGTGGCATCATTTCCAATGTGGTCACAAGCCCTCCCAGACGGGAGGAGTAGTCAAAGTCACATTGTATGAAGAGCACATAGGCAGGGTACGTTTTTGTGGCCATCTTCTCTAGTTTCTTCCCTGACTTTATCTTTCTGTGGAATTTGTTTCCCATACCTCATCCCATGGGCCATGGCTCTTGGCTCTTATCTCCCAGGCTCACTGCTCTCCTTTCATTCACCACAGAGGCTGCTCCAGAGTGCCCTGAAAGAGTGAAACGAAAACTACCCCCTAGCTCTGCTAGAAGAGGATGAGGCTGGAGTTTTGTTAGGTACATTCCCTCTGAATATCATCAGTGGCTCTGAGAACCTTTTAATTCTCAATTCCCTGATCCTAATAATAGCTAACTCTACTATGCCTTAAGAAAGCTCATTTCAAGCCAAACCACAACACTGGTTACCATGAGGTTAGCTCAACAAAAAATTGTGGTGCTGGTGTACTTGACATAAGATTGCACGTAAGTCTGTACTTTTAAAAGACCATCTTAAAGAGTCAACTTGTATCTTCCAGGGACTATCAATGCAGTGCATAAACAGAGAGCTTAATAAATGTTTACTGAGGAAGTATTTCTGATCTCAGTGACTGGGCATTTTATTGTACCCAATATTATCTATATTAGAAGCTTGTGAGATGTTTCTTAAGCCTGGAAGTTCCAGACAAAATATTATTATAATGAGTTTGACTTTTCTTTCATGTTCATCCAAGTTCTAGTTACACTGAGTAAGTTTATACGGTTATTCTAACTTGAAAGAGTTTCTAGGCTGTGACCATAGCAAAAATTTTGCTTATGAATGTTTTGATCCAGTGCTGCAAGTAGTCTTTGTTGCTGATGTATGTGTAGCTCACTGGCCTTGGCAGAGGACTAGCTGGTTTGGTAATTCAACCGTCTTTACCGAGGAGCTGCTGTGTGCTCAGAACTGTGCTAGGTGCCAGGCACGGATGACTACCCAAAAGAAGGCAGTCCCCGCCCCAAGCCTCAGAGTCATTTTTGCTTCCTTTGGCTCTTTTCTGTTTGTTCCAGTTGGCTATAATTGGCAGCTTGTTTCTTCTCCAGCGTCCTCTCTTCCTATACCTCACCTTACCTGCTATAGTTTCAGTAATGCTACATAACAAGCTACCGCAGCGTTCACTGACATACAACAGTAAGCATTTATTTACCCCTCCCATGTGTGTCATCATCTGGAGTTTAGGCTGAGCTCAGTGGAGATTAGATTCAAGTCTGCTCTACACACAGCTCATTGTGCTGTGCCTGGAGGTTTCCAAGACATGATGCTGTCATGGCAAAATGGAGGAGCACAGAGGACAGGGCTGACTGCACAAGCACACATTAAGCCTGTGCTCACGTCATGTCCGTGAACATGCCAATGGCCAAAACAAGTTGTATTGCCACTCCAACATCACGTTGCATGCCAGAGACAACCCCAGGAGGCAGGAGGAGAGTGTGTAAATATTTCCTGAAGAGTAATCTAATCTATCACACCCAGTCCCTTTTCTATAAGTGCCATGGTCTTTCTGGCCTCTAGAGTTTTTGTGTGCCATCCCTTTGACCTGAAATACCCTCCCACTGGGGGTCCAACTACCGCACTCTCTGACTAATTTCTACTCATCTTTTGAGATTCCAGCTAGTGGCCACCTCCCCTGGGGTACCTTCCCTGATGACACACTTAGGTTCCTTGCCTCTCCTGTGGGTCACATAACAGCTTGCACATATAAACCTCATCACACTGCATATATTGAATTGACCTGTCTTTATCTCCCCCACCACTCCATGAATGTTGACCCACATCTTATCACCATTATTTCCCCAGCATGCAGCACAGTGCTTAGAGGTTTTGAAGAGCAAACGCATGCTGTGTTAGTGGTGCTGGGTGAGGGGATTGCGACTTCTCTACACTGATGGCTCTGGAGAAGCACAGAAAGAAATGGGGCTCTGGCATTTCCAAGTGGGCAGGCCATTTGGAATGAACCATACGAGCCGTCTGGGCACATCTGAGTGTATCCAAAAAATGCCATCTGCTTTCAGGGCATGTCGAGACTAGGAAATCAGTGTAGACCATGTGGCTTATGTTCTGTTCTGTATGGTGTCATATCCTCATTTGCCCTTTTGCCTTTTGTTTCCCTCATTTTTCCTTACATGAGGAGTAGGTTTGTTTCTTGCCAGTTTGTTCCCCAAAAGTAGTTTTGGGGGATCCAAGATCCAAGACAGGGTGGCATTGAGTGGATATAGCCTTTTTTTCTTTTTTTTTTTTGAGACAGAGTTTCACTCTTGTTGCCCAGGCTGCAGTGCAATGGCGTGATCTCGGCTCACTGCAACCTATGCCTCCCCGGTTCAAGCGATTCTCCTGCCTCAGCCTCCCGAGTAGCTGGGATTACAGGCGCCTGCCACCATGCCCAGCTAATTTTTTGTATCTTTAGTA
Source organism: Homo sapiens (assembly GCF_000001405.40). Taxonomy (NCBI): domain Eukaryota; kingdom Metazoa; phylum Chordata; class Mammalia; order Primates; family Hominidae; genus Homo; species Homo sapiens. Next base: position 140,345,434 of record NC_000003.12, read on the forward strand.
GAGATAGGGTCTCACTATGTTGACCAGGCTGGTCTCGAACTCCTGACCTCAGGCGATCCGCCTGCCTCAGCCTCCCAAAGTGTTGGGATTACAGCCATGAGCCACCGCGCCCGGCCGGATATAGCCTTTTTTTATGCAGGATTTATCATTGGTGATTATGTGTGGAATTTTTTTTTTTTTTTTTTTTTTGGTACAGGGCATGGAGCCAGAAGCATGGAGCAGAAGGCCGTGCATGTGTGTAAAGGCAGTAGCATGTGTGTGGCTGCCACTCAGTTTTGTTTGGATTTTTCCAGAGGCAAATGGGTAGGTAGAGGGAACAGACTTGCTAGCTGTTTTTAATCCACTTCAGACTTCAGCTTCTTCAGAATGGAGCTGGAGATGGGAACGTATATGTTTGCCGGATGGTACTTTAAAGTCACAGCTGCTCCTAATTTAAAGGAATCCAAAGCCTTTCGCTGTGAATGATCATTCTGAAGGTAACTCAATTATCTGTATTTGCTGGTTCAATATGGTACACTTGGATGTCATAGCCCATCGTCTCAGCTTACTGCAACCATGCATGGCTTCCCATGCTGGGTCTCCATCCAGAGAAGTGAGTGGAGAGATTCAGAAGTCTCTTCCAAATCAATACACAGAATATGAGATATGGCAGGGGGTGGCACAGCCCCAAACCCTGCTGTCTCTTTTTGTGCCATTTCTAATTCCCCTAGGCTTGCAAATGTTCAGATGATTCTCTTTATCTGAAAGGTGTGTATTCTATGCCAGTCGAGTGAGCTATAAAATTCATCAGTTACCACACTGTTTATTAACATTTATAATTTCATATTTGCCAAGTCCCCTCAGCCACCTTGCATATAATAGCCCAAACAAGTTCTTTTGGGTATTCTCATTTAGGAAAGGGCTACAGATAGCTAGAATGAGAATGTATGGAGTAGGTACAGCATGTATCTGGCACCCTCATCTTGTTTCTGGTGACCCATACTCTGGTTGTTGCTCCCTTTCAACCCACTCCGTGTAACTATACCCTGTTCTGAGATCTGACTTCCCATGTTTCCAGATCTTCCAGGCAGTGTTCCCAGCAGTGGGCAAATGCTTTAAACAGAGTTGTTCAATGAACTTGTGGGATGAAATTATGAGGATTAAGTAAGCAAGTTTAGGAACAAGAGTCAAATATACAGAAACTCTGGACAAAGTCATTATTGATCCTTATCCAAAATTGGGGCTGAAAACTTACTTTTCAGTCTCTTTTCACAGTCAGCCTCTCCCTTTCCATAGTGACTCTTGGCCAGTGACTCATGCATCTCATGGTGCGCCCCTGCAAAAATGAGATAATAACAACCTTGAAGGTGGTTGGGAGGAGTGTGGGAATGGATAAAGAGGGAAGTGTATGTGGTTCTTGGTAGATGCTCCAGAGTCTGGAATAATGGTTAATATTGGGAACTTGCATCTCCCAATCCACTTACCTTACCTAAACTAGTAGCACAGATTTCCCTGTAGTAGTGCCTTAGCCTACTGTGCTGTTCTTTACTTCTAATGACTAGATAGTAAATACTGAAAGAATGTCTTTTCTAACTTTTATTTTTCACAACTTTTCTCTCTGAGGAGGGATTTCAAGGCTGAACTAAAGTTTTGTTTTATTTTCTTTAAAGGGGCCCAGGTTCTGTTTTCTCCTGAGAGTCATACACACATTTTGAACAGAATTGTTTTTCTTGATGGTTTTCTCAATAAACACCACTGACTGAAACATGGAGTAAAATGTGTTATTTGGCATCTCCTACTAGACCAACAACAACAAGAAAATACATTTTGCTATTGAACTTTTCCTTGTTAAACAACAGAGGTTAGGTCATTTCCAGTGACATGGAATCTAAGAGAGGGTTTGGAATCTGAACAGGTTTGGCAGGACTGCTGAAACTTGAGCCCACTCTGGTTTTGTTTAATGACTGTTAACAAGGAGGTGCTCCAGAGCCCACCATACTGGTGAGCTCCAGACATTTCCAAAAGGCCTAAACCTGGTGTGAACATATTAACTCATCATGATTCTGCTGTTTTCTGAGCAGGCAAATTCAATAAAACACAAACTACAATGTGTTCTTCTTGTTGAACATGGCAGGAGCTCTGCATAGATAAGGCCTCAGTGGATTATTTCTCTTCTGGAGTCAACAGGGAATGAGCCATCCTAGCAAATATACTTTCACAATCTCCAGGTAGTACTTGCTTTCCCCTCACTCTCAGGAATTATTGTTAATGGGTCGATTGTGTGTTCTTTTCACATGAATATTCATCAAATCATCATAGATCTACTACATATATACTACAGTACCCTATCCTAATTTGCCTTTTCAGGGAAAAATGCATAGAGATGGAATTGTTAAAGAATTTATATGTGGAATCTCTACATTGCTTTTAATCAAGAAAGGAAAATAAAGTTTTACCCAATAGACAAGTCCAATCAACTAATGCTGGCAGCCTGGAGAGCTAGGTTGAGAAGGATTCTGAGGCTGAAAATTGGCTAAGCAGGAAGGATGCTCTGATGAGTTAGCATTGACTATCACTTGGAATGTTATTGATTATCACTTGGAAAGTTAGCATTGTCTGTCAGTTGGAAAGGAAGAGTAATGGCACAGGTACTGAGTGTTAGCTCTACCTCCTAGACATACAAAGTTTACCAATTGTGGTCAAGTATGGAGCTTTGACCTTGGAAATGTTCTTTCCCCACTCTGGAAATGGTAGAGTTACCAACATGGAAGTAGTGGCTCTACTTCTTTGGATTCAGTTTCTCAGAAAGAAACCACATTTTGCAGTCTAGTCCCATAAGCTTGGATGAGCTGAATTCTAGAGCCTCATTTCTTCGTGCATTGAATCCCAAAACCAAGTTTTCCAACTTTTAAAACATGTATTTCAGCTTAAAAGGGCTTTTTCTTGCTCTGATCGCCCTTATATTCATGCCGTGATTTAGAGTCAATCAGCAAAGACTATTTTCAATTTCCTTATGTTCTTCTTTCTTCATCCTTGTGTCCAGGCCAGGGCAGTACCCCCTACCCCAGTCACTAACCACCATCAGGCATCAGCATCAGTCTGCTCTCCCAAGGGTATCTGCTATTAGTCACATACATCTCAACATGAGTTTCACTATTTTTCTTTCTCTTAGGGAATTATTTTAAAATCTATCCAAGGACTGAAAGATTTTCCCCAATTACAGGAAGGTAGGCCTCAGTAGTGGGTGGAGGATAAAATTTCATACAAGAAGACCTTCATATTATGCTCCAAATCACACCACATATGTAATAGCCCAGTCTGCCTAATATGTGAGGCCAGCCCTGCTTCTATTTCCTGTACTGGAGGAAATTCCTTCCCCGAAGGTTCCACTGTGTCAAAGATACACATCCACAAACACATGCACAGAGATGTTCTCTGTAGCTTAGGCAGTCTCTCCCCTGTTCTCCCAGTCCCCTGCTTCTGGCACAAATAGAATCCCCATGACTTTGCCAAGACTGGTTGTCATTACTGTGTGATATGGTTTGCCTGTGTCCCCACCCAAATCCTCATCTTTAATTATAATCCAAATTGTAACCCCCACATGTTGCAAGAAAAATCTCATGGGAGGTGATTAGATCGTGGGGGTGGTTCCCCCATTCTGCTCTTGTGATAGTGAGCGAGTTCTTATGAGGTGGTTTTATAGGGGGCTTCTCCCCAGTTCCCTCTGTACTTCTCTCTCCTGCCATCATGTGAAGAAGGATGTGTTTACTTTCACTTCCTCCATTATTGTAAGTTTCCTGAGGCCTCTTCAGCCATGCAGAACTGTGAGTCAATGAAACCTTTTTCGTTTATAAATTACCCAGTCTCGGGCAGTTTTTATAGCAGCGTGAGAATGGACTAATGCACTATGGTTGACTGTTTTCTTCATTTTATATCATAAATGAGCATCTGCTTTGTCACTGGGTCAGAACCTAATTACTTTTAAAGTGTGGTAAAGGAAGTTAGTATAGGAATAAAGGCTCGTGTTCTCTTTTGTAAAATGAAAATCCTTTTGCAATGGGGATAATCCATTTATTGATTCAAGAAGCATTTGTTTGTTCCCTTAATACAATCCTGTAGATTCTTAAGAAGACAGTAGATGACATTCCAGTGGGGATCCAATCTATGGCTGCAGTATTGGGTGTGGTATGAGGGGGTGGGAATCGCCAGATCTAAAATCTGTGAATCTGTGAAATCTTTGAAATGGTTGCTCAGACATTTGAAAGTTCAGGTGCTTGAATCAAATTATAAGGCAACAGGACCCAGAACTGAAACAACAAATGCCCATTTACAATCTTTGCTTGCTACCTTTTCACCTTGGCTCCACGACAGTTTCCTCTTCTAACAAGACTCTAAAACTGCATGTTGCTAGCATGGAGTGAGCACCCACCCACCTGTTTCACCATCACTCTGTCCTGATGGCAGGCTTCATAACAGAAGACAACATCTTATATCATGGTATCTCTATCCAAGACCACCTCTGACATCCTCCCCTCCACCACCTTGTTGACATCTCTCATAGATTGAATGCGTCATCTGGATGACAGTTTTTGAAACTTTGTCTGAAGTCCAGAAAAAAGAGTCAGGAGTTAGACAAAGGCTGAGGGTTAATGAACCTCTTTTTACTACACGCACACCTTGCAATCTCTGGCTTTGACAGCCCACGTGATTCTGCCTCTTGCCTTGTGGCAGATTAGAGTGGGGGTGGACAGGAAGAAAGATAATAACTTTGGAAGGCTGAATGGAGCACATTTCAGAAGACCAAATCTTTCTTTAATGGTGCCAAGAACACTACCTGCCAGAAATCCACGCTAATCTCAGAAAATAATAATAGCTAGAGGAGTTTCACTCATGCAAAATGAACTTGCAAATGCAGATATTATGTGGAAACTAAAAAGCGAGCTACAGAATTCTGCCTCCAACACAAAGCTTTGCCATGGCCATTGGGTTCCTAAAAGTCAAAGAGTGAGGAATTAGATCTAATGAAGAAGATGGGATGTGGGGTAGGGAGGGGGCATGAATTGTGAAAGCACCTATGCATGTTTTGTCTCCAAAGTAAAACACTGAAGAACATACTAAATAATGAGCATACCAATGACATCTTAAAATGGCAATAGTGGGTACTTCCCCTGATTGGGTTTCATTTACTCATTTATTCATTGCTTGCTAGAAACTTCTTGAACTCTCCCTTCCCAGATGTTTTGATAAAATGCTTCTAAGTTCATATATATCTTTTGTAGATGGCATGCATGTAATGAGGCACTTACTTATTTTGCTACATTTAAGTAAACAATGATTTTCTGCCTTTGACCCCAGGTTACTGAAGCCTGGGGCCCCTAATGGTTCTGAAGAGTTTGAGATTAGATGCTTGAGATGGAGGAAGTCAGGAGTAAAGTTGCCAAAAATCTAGTTAAGTGTTTCACAAAACCCTGGACTCAACAGCAATCCCTGCCCCTACCTGTCCTGTACATACCTGAGCTCCTCTCAGACCCTGCAGTAGATTTATTCCTTGTTTGCTCAGCATCCCTTGCTTTGCTCATAAACTGAGAGAATTAGTGCTGAGGAAAAGGTACTCAGGATGCTTCAGGTGCAGAGAGAGAGGCCAGTAAGAAGGACCAATAACAGGATGGAGAGACGCCAACAGGGAAGACTTCCCAGAGTGGGGGACAAACACTAAGTATTGAAGTGTGATTTAAAGTGGATGCAAGAGCTTGTCAAAATAAAATTTTCAAAAGTGTTTGTGTGTGAGAGAGAGAGAAAGAAAGAGAGGGTTTAATTTAACCTTTTAATGAAAGAACCAGCAGGATAACAAAATCAGTACAAAGAGAACATAAGAACTGAGATTTTATAGTCTGTGAAATAAAAAGGAAAGCTGAGAAGAGATACCTAAGTGAGATACAAAGCTGGTTCATTCTGCAGGGCAATAAAACTGTAACTTTTAAGATTCTTTACTACTAGCATTTCCCCTTGTCAGTTTTCTATAAGTTCACCTCTAACCTTTAAAGAGTACAAAATATCTGCACCCTAATCAATAGTAAATAGTATATCAAACACAGTCAAGTCTTCCTAGAGCAGAGGTCAGCAAACTAGTTCTGTTAGGGCCCACGTAGTAAATGTTTTAAACTCTGTGGGCCAAAAGGTCTCTATCACAACTACTCAGTCAGACCATTGTAGCACAAAGCAGCATAGGCAGTATTTAAATGAACGGGTGTGAAAAACAGTGGTGGGCTGCATTTGTCCTGCAGGCTCTAGAGGCCCGACCTCTGTTGGTGGAGCAAAGATATATAGCCTTAAAGGGTCATATAATCATCTTTGAAAACTTATATTCAGGTTTTGTTTTGTTTTTTTTTTTTCTTAATAGGCTTAAAGCAAATGAAACAGCAAGTGCAAAGGCATTGATGCATAAACTCACACATTTTATTTGAGGAGATATAAACAAGTAAAAATTCCAAGAGTACTGATATGTGTAGATTAGTGATACAGAGAAGGACAAAACTGGAAAGTTAGAAAGGAAATTTACCATCTTTTCTTCCTGTAGAGAATAAATGTGCCTGAGTAATATACCTTGGCAAGAAAATGAGACAGACCTGGTTCTAATCCCAATGAGTAGGCTGAGAAGATTGAGCTAATCTTCCTAAACCTTGGTTTTTCTGCTTAAAAACTAAAGATAATAGTTGGATCTTCCAGACGGTTGCTGTGACATTTAAAAGAGATGAGGTATTTACCAATACTCAGTAAGTGATATCTCTTAATTATAAAGTTATCATTACTATTCTTTATCAATCAAAGCCAAAGGGAGGTCCTAGGGCTACAGACGAATCCACAAACATTTGTTGGAAAAGCACAGGTGTTAGGACCAAAAAGGCAGGATGGAAGTCCCTATTGCTCAGTTTCTTCCCATTACAATACAGTCTTTGGTCCTTGAGGCTTTGTCCTAAGACAACTCAATCTTTCCCTCCAATATCAAGCTGGACTCAGAAACCAGGGCTTTTCTGGAATTGCTGTTAAGAATCTCTCACCCCTATTGTAGCAGCAGTTTATTAACTAGGATTCTGGAACAATTACCTTGTAAACAAGGGCACAGTAAATGTACGTTACAGTAGAGCTGCTTGGGTTAGCAAATACATTTGCATTCCGACAATGGATGTGCTCATTAACAATGATACTTACCTACTCATAAAAGCCTCTAAGACCCTGTAAGAAATACAGCAGTCTTTTCCCTTATGCCCCTGTCAGCATGTCCTGTGCTTCCTCAGAGCTGCTCTCTAAAATGATATCTATTTCTGGGACTTTTTTTTCTCTAACTGTTGGGGCCTGTTATCTTCTTCAGAGCAGGGAAATTCATCTCTTTCTACCCAACCTCCTGCCATCTCCAGTCAGGCTACATCTTTTCAGAAATTCAATCTCTGCCTTACTCAAGTTGCTAGTAATACAGTTGGCCCTCCATATCCATAAGTTCCTCAACTGTGGATTTAACCAAACTTGCATGGTAAATATTTGGAAAAAAATTATATCTGTACTGAACCTGTGTAAACTGTTTTTCTTGTCATTATTCCCTTAACAATATAGCATAACAGCTATTTACATGGGATTTATATTGTATCAGATATTAAAACTTATTATAAGTAATCTAGAGATTACTTAAAGCATACAGGAGGATGTGCATAGGTTATATGCAAATACTATGCTATTTTTATCAGTAACTTGAGCAACTGTGAATTTTGGTATCTAAGTGTGTTGGGGTTCTGTAGAGGGACACAACTAATGGAATATATATATGTATGTTTACACATATATATATATATATATATATGTTTATTAAGTTTTAACTCACATGATCACAAGGTCCCACAGTAAAGCCATCTGCAGGCTGAGAAGCAAGGAAAGCCAGTCCAAGTTCCAAAACTGAAGAAACTGGAGTCCGATGTTCCAGGGCGTGAAGCATCCAGCATGGGAGAAAGACGTATACTGGGAGTCTAGGCCAGTCTCGCCTTTTGACATTTTTCTGCCTGTTTTATATTTGCTGGCAGCTGATTAGATGGTGCCCACCAGATTAAGGGGTGGGTCTGCCTTCCCCAGCCCACTGACTCAAACGTTAATCTCCTTTGACAACACCCTCACAGACATACCCAGGATCAATACTTCGCATCCTTCAATCCAATCAAGTTGATACTCAGTATTAACCATCACACCAATGAGGTCCTAGAATCAATTCCCATGGATATCAAGGGATGATTGTATCTACCTCTCATAGCAGATCTAATGCTTACTGAGATGGCCAAAATAAAATATTAATAATTAATGATAATATCTATTCTGGGCCATTTATGTATTTTTCAATTCTAAATAGTAATACTCAAAGATTAATGATATGAATGCTAGGTGGTGTTGTCCATCTTTTCCTGGGTTCAACTAAACAGGCTGCTTTGTGATTGTAGGCAGAGGGACAACGCCAAAATGCTGAGGTCACATCAGACCATAGAGGTGCTGAACTACAAGAGTGGGCCTAAGGCAGATCTAAGGCTGAGCCTACTGGAAAATGTTTAGCTTGGGAAATCAGCTCAATATTCACCCATCACACATTAAGTACTCAAGAATATGCTGGCTTGTTCTGTAATGGCTCCTTCCATCTAGAGAATAACTAGGCTCAGAACCTTGAATTTCAGAAGGAAAGGGATGGAGGATGTAAGGCCAGACAAGGTATGAAAGACCCTTCTGAAAATGGCAAATGGAGCTTCTCACATCTGACAACATCCTGGTTCCATAGGATGTTACCCAGAGTTGCATGGATTAGGATGGAACTTTGGGCTACTCAAGGGCACTGTAACTCCACCTGGGAGTGCACCTCCTGTTTGTTTATCAAGCTTTGTAAGATTCCGTACATATAATGGTTAAAGACATCTCATGCCCTTTAATTGTAAAGAAATTCTGCATTCATTGTCAGTTGGTGATATCTTTCTACGATTCACACTGCCGTCTTCTCATGACAACCACGTATGCTTTATTTCTGTGTCACTCCATTCATGATTCCACCCACATTGACAAATTTCCTAGAGCTCTGAGTGGCACTCTTGGTGGAAAAGGATCTCTGTCTTTTACAAAATCCTCCCCAACTCCCCTCCATAGGCATCTCCTAAGACATGGCAGGAGACCATTTCCAAATAGTGCCACCCTAGCCTACATTGTAGCCACAGGCATGTCTGGACTTTAATGGGGGAGGGCTGTATCTGGAGTGAGCCTGGCTGAATTAGGCTTGGTCCATGGTTAGTGGGAATCAAGCATGAAAAAAGTAACTCCTTTTAACTACCTTTTGTATAAGACAGACTCCAAAACAGACTTTGCTTTCTCTCTGCTTCCCTGCCATGTTTCCCTCACTGTCTTCGAAGTTGCCGGGTCAACATTTACCTTTATAAGGTAGCACTTCTGGAGAATGGTGCCCCTGCTCTTGCACCTACTATTCTCCTGCTAGTTGTCAGACACTCTTCAGGGTGTGAGGTGGCTCTTCAAACACCTTCATTTGCTCCACCCCATGTGACACTCTAGGAGGCATCTGAAGAAGCTCAAGACCTGGTCCCATCCTTATGGGATCTAGACTTAGTTGGTAGGGGAAGGAGCTGCACCCAGCTCTCACTGTGTTATCAGAAGACCAGATGAGCAGTTGTATAAGCCCAGGGTGTTTTACACAAAGAAAGTGGCATTGGTTTTAAATTGTGCATGGATAAAAAAAGTAATGACACTTCTTAGAATGTCATTTTTTATTTAACAAAGACATTTCTTACTCAATTTTTTGAACCTAAATATGAAACTTCACTCCACTGGTAGTTGAAGTTGGACTATAATTGGACTCAGGAAATTTGTCTACAATTTTCTGTACATTTTAGTCATTTGAGTCTTGTTTTCTTTATCTGTTAAATGGGAATATTAATATCAATTTCATAGGATTGTTGTGAGGCTTAATGAGAAAATGCCCTCAGCATATAGCATAGTTCCTGAGATGATGCCTGGAATAAGGAAGTTGCTCAGTAAATACGTCAGTAGGTGGAGGGCTGTCAACAATATGGGCTTATCAGACACAATGTTGGGACAGCAAGCATTTGCTGCTAAATTTCAGGGATGAAGGGTTAGTGTGGATTGGAGCATCCCAGGAAGTGTCCTGGGGAAGGAAAGTTGTGCTGTGCAGCATGGGTCAGAAAATTTGAAAGGCAATCTGGCTGGTGCCAAGCATGGGGAAGTGACTAAGAAGGCAGGCTCATAGCACCTCGCATTCCCAGGAGCAATGGGGATGCCATGGCTGTATCAGTGGCTGCCTCACAGGATTAGTCCTGGAGGCCACAGCCTGCCAAGGGACTGTCATGTTCAGGATGTCACAGAGAAAAGAGGCTTTTATTTCATTCAAGGGCTGCATTTATTTTTCAGTAGGCGAGCATGTGCTTTTTGCCTTCTAAAAATGTAAATTAATATAAGCTTTTGTGTTTGAATAAAAAATGAATGAAAAGTTGACCATAAATATTTTTGAGTATTTTGCAAAACTCACCTTAGTGAAGACACAGCTCAGGCATCACCACTTCCTTCCAGAAATCTTCCAGGGTCCTTCATGCTGGGGTAGGGAGCCTTCCATTCTGTGGTATCTCCACCATGCAGATTTGTCACACTGAGTTCTGATTGCCTGTTTTTCCCATTGACTGTGAGCTCTTAGAGGGAAGAGACTGGCCAGCAGTTTGCAGAGCCTTGGACCTACAGCTCAATAAACATGGGAACTTAAAAAGAAGATGAGAATAGAAACAAATCATCATCAGAGGGAGCAGAAAGCAGAACGTGTGCTGGGAGTCAGCAGAGCAGAGATCACCCCATTGGACAGATCAGGGTAGATTCACAAAGCAGTCTGCATTTGTACTTTTACCTGGAGATATCTTTGCACCAAAACTTCTATGACTGACAAAACTCTCTGTGAGGCAAGCCCTACATGGACCTGAGCTGGGTGACATGTTAGAAAACAATTATCCTTAATTAAAAAGAAAAATTCCAGGGCTGGGCGCGGTGGCTCATGCCTGTAATCCCAGCACTTAGGGAGGCCAAGGTGGGCAGATCACAAGGTCAGGAGTTCGAGAACAGCCTGACCAACATGGTGAAGCCCTGTCTCTACTAAAAATACAAAAATTAGCCGAGTGTGGTGACGCACGCCTGTCATCCCAGCTGCTCAGGAGGCTGAGGCAGGAGAATTGCTTGAACCCAGGAAGCGGAGGTTGCAATGAGCCGAGATCATGCCACTGCACTCCAGCCTGGCAACAGAGTTGGACCTTGTCTCAAAAAAAAAAAAAAAAAAAGAAAGAAAAATTCCAAACATACAGAACATACAGTTCTAAATTTTGTATTACCTTTTCTGACAATGAAAAGGGGAAAGATAATTGGAAATTAAAATGCACTGGGTACCAGTTACTCTGTGGAGACCATGCTCTGCATTGTGTCTCAGTCTGATAGCATGCCAGTGATATAGTTGGCATGACCCTCCATTTTACAGGTGAAGAAACCGAGGCTGACAGAAGAAAGCAGCCCTGGGCCACAGGGATAGTACAAAGCAAAGCAAAGGCACAGAAGAAAGGTCCAGTCTAGAAACTCAACTCAACCATGTAACCATTGTGAGTCTTGAGCAAGTCCCCTCTCTTGAACCTCAATCTGGAAAATGGAGATGAAATGAGATATTTTATGCTAAAGCTCCTAGTGAAGGGTCGGGAATATAGTAAGTGACTAACAGATTTTCATTTTTCTTAAATTGCCAGAAATATTACCAATTATATTCATTATAGCCCACGAATCTTCTAAAGTTGCAACAATGGTTACCTTCCAAGGGATATATGCATCAGATGGTTAAAGAATGTCTTGCCAGGAAGGAGCCAGAAAGATGAACTCACCCTGCATTTCCGAATGCAGCCCCTGGGCCAACAACATCAGAGCCACATCCACAGACACCCCCTCCAGACGTCTTTCCAATGGACACATGCCCATGCATTCATACCTGTTATTCCTGCATATTCCAGATGCGCAGATGTGGGGTGGGGACAGACCCACAGAGGCCCTCTGGGAGAGGTTGCCATGACCTGGAGTGCTCACTTTAGCACTCGCCCTGTTGACCCAAGATGGTCCCTTTTGTGAGGGAGGCAAGCAGAGGCAGGAACACTGAGCCCAGGCAGAAAAGAGGCCGCCAGGAAAGAGAGAGCAGGGCAGAGACTCCACTATCTGTCTCATTTTGTGTTTTTCTCAACATGCCTTTAGAATGAGATTCAGAGACAGGGTTAGTCCTATGCAGAGTGCAGAGGAGTATGGTTTAGATGCTATCATCTTCAGCATGGCCCAGGGTCACCAATATGTTCTAGTCAGCTCCAATGCTGAGCTGACCAACCTCAATGACTTTATGCTTAGGAAAAATTTGAGTTTCTGGATTACATGTCAGGAATGCAGATGCTTTTATGGATTCTAACAGCCCATAGCAAGGGGTTAATGTAAAGTGCCCTGGCAAGAATGTCTCTCCCTGTTATAGCATGAGCCAGGCTGACACTGAGGGAGGCTACTCATGTCACATGGGGGTTAAGCTGTCTTTGATCCTCCATCAGAGCTGATGGCTGGTGAGTGCTTGCTGGGCAGGGTAGGACTCCCCAGGCTCTGTGTTAGAAGGTGGCCAACCAATGGGTCTCCTCGACTTGGAATTCTGTGAATCCTGCCTCTCCAGTCTCTCAAAGTGTTAGGGAGACATGGCCAAGCCCCCCCTCCATCTGTCCTTGGGAAAACTTTCTGGAAGCTTCCTGGCTTTAGGAAGCATTTAAAGCTCCCAGAGGTGGCTCTGGGCTGGGGTCAGCAGCTTCACAGGGCTCTGGTCCCGGTGTGTGGCTAAACAGCTGGTGACCTTGGGAAAGACTCTGAACTGTCCTTTTGGGGGAATTTTTAATCTATAAAATTTTTCATCCATAAAATGCCTGAAAGACCTACCACACTGTAGTATTAGTAATTTAAAGATCATTCCCTTAATGAATACTAAAGCACTTAGAAAAACATAAGGCATTATCAAAGGCAAGGTATCAGAAATGCCTTTCAGCCATGGAAATGTGATTAGAGACCATGACCCTTTCTTGGGTCATATCTTGCATATTTGAATCTCTGCACAGACCTAGAAGGGACCCAAGAGATTATTTTAGATTAATATTATTCTAGTTCTCAATACTGGCAACTTATTACCTGGGAGCATTCTCAGAAGTATCAATCCTTTACCAATGCCCCCACCTCTTCACTCCAATCCCCCAACTCCCTTATTTTGATCCCATTAGTCTGGGGGTGAGATAACAACACCTGTGTTTTTTTAATGCCCCAGATGACGACACCTGGGAAGAGAGAGGCGGATTTGTAGGTAACAATGCAACAGGGATCAGGGAATGGCAGGAATTCCCTGCATGGGTACACACCAAGGCTGTCACAGGTGGTGGAACAAATGAGAGAGCAGAGGCCACAGCTAAATCACCTCCCAGGCAGGACTGGCATCCAAACCCTCTTCCAACATTCAGACATCTATACCAAGAGCAAAGATCCTGTCGTTCAAAGTGTCACCTCTCATCTGCCATCACCCAGTGTCCCACCCATAACATCAGCCCCGTGAACTATTGCCAGAAGCAGGAGATGGCAGTTTCTTTGCTGGCATTTGTAGAAAAAAAAAAAAAAGGCTTTGGTTCTGCCTCCCACTTGAGACCCTAAATTCTTCAGAATAGGGGCTGCACCTCCTCATTTCTGCATCCATTGATAGAGGAAATCAAACAGAAAACATGTTTGGTGGGCGAGTGAGTGAGTGAATGAACAAAAACGTTGGAACTTCTCAAATGCAAGGCTTAAATTTAAACCATGTATGTCACATAATGAAGCCATTTCTATGCTTAACTAGCTCTTCTGCTCTAAATTTTAATTGAGTCAGCATAAAAATAATTTTGATAGTTAGCCAGGGCTGCACTGATGCTAAACATTATGTGTACACACATTAAGAAAGGAGAAGGAAAAAGGAATGGGGCTTTTGATTCTCTGCCTAACTCACAATAAACCATCTATGGTTGTAATTGTTTATAATAACTTAATGGCATAATTACTCCTGTGCAGGCTGTCCAGAGCAGCAGCAACACAGAATGATCTCAAATACATTGAACACGATTTAAAATGAAGGCGGACCTCACCTCTTGTCATTTGGGTAAGCTTAGTCACAATATTTTACCACTGACATTCACCAACCTCAACTTTAAAGGAAGATAATAATATCTACGTTGCTGAATTATGAAAAGAGAAACTTAATTACTCATTTCCAATTATATCCTCTTGCCCAGAACTAGTCACTTGACAGCAACCTAAGTGCAAGGGAGGTTTGGAAATGTGCAGTGAAGGTCTACTAGCTCTCTGTGGGTGGTGGAAGCTCAGCAGATACAGATATAAATATAGATAGATGTTGATATAAATATATACACTTTATATATGTATTTATATGTAATATATATACACACATACATACATATTTTATACACACACACACACACACACACACACACACACACATATATATATATAGTTTCCTCATACAATTTCTCCCACTCCCATGCTGGGAACACATTTATAATTTAGGAGTATGTACTGGTAAAACTACTATCCTGGAAAGCAAGTTACCCAAGTTTGAGAACTCATCTCCCCCTGTAATCGTTCCTTTTTTCTCTCCTTTATTCCTTCATTCACTCATTAATCAATAGATATTTTTCAGGCTCTCCCATGTGCCAAGTAGCTGTAGATGTGATTGAGGGTGGCCTCTGTTTTCATGGTGCTGACACCCTGGCAGGCAGGCTTAGGTGAGCATGGAGTAATAGACAATAAGTAAGTGAGAAAGTGACTTAATACACAGAAAAAATCCATATAGTGAAAAGTGATATACTAAAATAAAACTGGCTGGTGTGACAGCAAGTACCTGGGGAAAAGGAGAAGCATTTGAGTGATCAAGAAAGGTCTCTCAAAGGAGTTGTCATTTGAATAGAAACTCAGATGACTGAAAAAGTCATTCTTACACAGTCTTTGTCACTAAGTAATGAGAACGTGCTGTGCAACCAGAAGATGTCACTGCTGGGAAAGTGGGGCAGGGAGGTCAGCAAATCCTCTCCCTAAAGAAGAACAATACAAGTGAAAAAGCTCATCCAAAACAACCATCTCAGGACTCTGGGAATTTATCAAAAGCAAATAAAACACTGGGGGAATATTAGGAACAATTTTATGCCAATAAATTAAACAATTTTGATGAAATGGAAAAAAGTCGAAGAAAAAAAACCCCAAATAATTAAAACTGACTCAAAAAGAAATAGAAAATCAGAATAGACTTCAATAAGCAGACAAATGGAATTACTAATCATTAAAAATATTCCCACAAAGAAAAACTCAGGCCCAGATGACTTCACTGGTGAATTTTGCTACATACTTAAAGAAGAAGTAATGCAAATCTTTTACAAACTCTTTCAGGAAATAGAGGAGGAAGAAATACTTGTTGGTTTTTTCTGTGTGGTCAGTACTATTCTGATATCTAAGTCAAACAAAGGCATCACAAGAAAACTACAGAACAGTGTCTCTCATGAACATGAATTCAAATTTTCTCAGTGAAATATTGACAAATCATACCCAGCAGCATAGGAAAAGTATTATACAACATGACCAAGTTGGATTCAGCCTAGAAACCAAATACTGGGTTAACATCCGATAATCAATGTAATACACCATCTTCTTAGATTGAACAAAATTAGACCAAAATCACAGTCATCTCAATTGCCATAGAAAAAGGATGCGAAGAAATTCAAGACCTACTCAAACTAATAGAGAAACTTCTTCAACCTCACAAAGAGCATTAACAAAAAATGTACAGCTAATATCATGCTTAATGGTAGAAGATGGAAATCTCTCTCCATAAGATGGAGACAAGGTAAGGATACTCATTCTCCATACTTCTATTCAACACTAAACTAGTGATCCTAGACATTGAAATAAAACAAACAAAAAGATATTAAAGACATTTGGATTGGAAAGGAAGAAGTAAAACTATCTTTATGCATAGAGAACGTGAACCTGGATGTAGAAAATTCTAGATTCAACAAAATTATCTTAGAATGAATAAACAAGTTCAGCAAGATTGCAGTTACAAGATCAATGTTAAAAAGCAGTTATATTAATATTTTTATATTAGAAATGAACAATCTGAAAGTGAAATTTTAAAACTGACATTCAAAATAGCATCAAAAATGATAAATACCTGGGAATAAATTTAACAAAAGAAGTACGACTTGTATACTGAAAACTACAAAAACATAGCTCAGAAAAAAAATAAGAAAGATCTAATAAATGGAGAAATAGTCCTGGTTCACGGATTAAAAGCTTCAATATTATTATAATGGCAGTTCTCCACAAATTCATTGGCAGATTAAACGTAATTCCTACCAAAATTCCGGTAGGCTTTTTTGCAGAAATTGACAACCTGATTTTGGAAATGCAAAGGATCCAGAATCTCCAGAACAATTTTGAAAAGGAATAACGAAGTCAAAGACTTAGGCTTTGTGATTTCAAAACTTGCTATAAATCGACAGTAATCAGCACAGTGAGGTACTGGTATAAAACAGGAGTAAAGATCAACGGAACAGAAATAAGAGTCTACAAATAAACCCTTAAACTTTTATGATCAAGTGACTTTCAACAGAGATGCCAAGTTAATGTAATGAAGGGCAGTTGTTGCAACAAATAGTGCTAGTATAATATATCCACATGCAAAATGGTGAATTTAGACCCTTACCTCACAAAAGACACAAAGACTAAAAATGGATCATTAATTAACTTATACGTAAAACATAAAACAATAAAACCTATAGACTAAAACACCGGAGAAAATCTTCATGACCTTGTGTTAGGCAATTAATTCTTAGATATGACATGAAAAGCATGACTCATAAAAACATTTATATAATGGAGTTAATCAAAATTTTAAACTTTTGTGCTTCAAAAGACATTAAGAGCATTAAGAATGTAAAAAGATAAACAACAGACTTGGAGAAAAAAACGTACAAATCATATATCTATTAAGGACTTGAATGCAGAATATATAAATAACTCTTACAATTTAATAATAAGAGAAAATCAACCCAATTTTTAAAATGGGAAAAATGTTTGAATAGGCATTTCATTAAAGAAGATATAAGGATGTTCAATAAGCACATGAAATGGTACTCAATCAATATAATTAGTCATTAGGGAAATGCAATTTAAAACCACAGTAAGCTGCCATTTCAGGCTTCCAAGAACAGATATACCATAATGATTTTAAGAAGACGATAACAAGTATTAACAAATGTGAAGAAACTATAACCTTTATACATTTCTTGGTGGGGGTGGAAGAGTAAAATCATGCCACCACTTTAGGAAAACAGTTTGGCAGTTTCCTAAAACGTTAAATATAAACTTATCATATGACCTAGAAATTTCATTCCTGGGCATCATCTAAGGATATGAAAAATACATGTCTACATACAGACTTGTACATGAATATTAATGGAAGTATTATTTATAGTAGCCCAAAAGTTAACCAAAATGTCCATCAACTGTAGTGAGTATATAAACAATATGGTATATCTATACAATGGAATATTATTCAACAATAAAAAGGAATAAATTACTAATAAACAGTACAACATAAATGAATCTCAAAAACACTATGCTAAATAAAAGAAGTTAATCACAGTAGACTACATATTGTATGATTCCATTGGCATGAAAATGTCCAGAAAGGGCAAACCTATAGAGAGAGAAAGCAAATCTGTCTCAGGTGGCTGCCTGGAACTAGGGGTGAGAGCCCCCAACTTGACTACAAATAGGCACAAGGGATCTTTTGCATGTAATAGAAATGTTCTAAAATTGGATTTTGGTGACAGTTACAGAACTCCGTAAATTTATGTAATTGAGATATGCACTTACAGTAGGTTAATTTTAAGGTATGTAAATACTTCAATGAAATTGCTTTAAAAAATAGATTCTGATTCTCCAACATCACTGATAGCATAGCAGAGTCTTGGGTACCATGGCAGCTGACAGTGGAAATGCTGGGCAGTCAGAGGGACCCGGTAGGCACTTAGGGTTCTGTCTTCATTTGCATTTCTCCCTGCCTCACATTCCACCCAAGCCGGGTTCCTTCCCAAAGAGGTAGGATGGTGGTGAAAATGTGGAGGACCCTATCCTAAGGGCAATGGGCAACCATCCAAGATTTTAAGCTTGAGGGTAACAAGATCCAAGTTGGGTTTCACGAAGACCCTCTAGTTGCTTGGTGAGGGATGAATCGAGGAGGGGGAACCTGGGGGCTAGGAGACCAAGTGGGTTACTCTGGCAATGGCCAACTTAGAGAAATGAGGAGCAGTAGGAGGCAGGAAACCCTGACTGGGAGGCCTCTCTTGTTTCTCTCATTCGCAAACCAAGAGGTGATAAGTTACAGGATGCAGCACCACTCACAGTGCTTGGCATGTGGCCAGCACACACTCCCTGTGCGTTTAATCATCAGTAGGTGTTACTCTAAGGTCCTTCATTGCTGTACTGTTTTCTAAGTCCCGATTCTAGACCTCAAGGAGCACTTTTTTAATGAGTCCTCCATCTTATCCACCCGCTTCCCAGAAGTCACTTCCAAGGAGTGGACACAGTTATTTTTCGTGTGAAGCAGACAGTCATGGGTATCAGACACACTCACCCAGAGTTCCCTGGGAGGACCTTCTGGAGGGGACCCTGGAGGTCTGAATGGTGCTGGCCCTTCTCCTTGCCCTTAATGCCCTCAAGCTGGGGGCCTGGGGCTTGATGGATTCTGTCCTAGGGTATCATTCCCTTCTAAGAACACGAGTTTGAGAAACCAACAATTACCACAGAAATTGCATGAAGTCCCTAGAATCTTACCTTCCTCTTTGCACACCATTTGGTCTCTGGTCTGATTCTCTGGTGACCACCTTGAAACTTGTATGTGTGAGGCCACTGCATGTTTGAAGTTCCATTCAGATGCAGCAGTGAGGAGCAAGGGTACCTATGTCCAGGGCGCCAGGAGCAGGAGCTAAGGGTGGGGTAGGGAGTGAGCAGCTTACAATAGCAGTTGGAGAAAAAAGAGCAAGAGAGTCTAGTCCCTGGGGTCTGGGAAGGGGCTTGGATAATGAGGCAGGGGGAGGGCCAGTATAGAAGCAGAGGCCCATCTTGGGAAGATTCTTAATTCAAATTTCACATCATCGCTTACCTTTGAGGAAAATGTGTATTACAGCCACAGGGAAATTTATTCATTCATTCATTCATTCAGGAAATATTGATTGAGTGCCCACTGTTGTCCAGTCCTTACAGTGGGCATTGGGCACACATTAGAATCACAGTGGTGAATGAGAGAGACAGGTTCCTGTTCTTACAGAATGTAATGGTCCAAAGCTGGGAGGCAGATAGAAAACTAGTAGTTTTAACATGGTGCAATGCTGGGGGAGCCCAGGTGCTGAGGGATAACTGGAAGATCTTAATCCAACATGAAGATGCCTAGGGGCTGCCCCCTGAAGCAGGTGATGTGCCAGCAGAGACCTGAACAATGAGTGTGAGTTAGCAGGAAAACAGGGAAGAAAAGGGAGCATCCCAAACGGAGAACCAACCCTCAGCAAGGACTAGGCTAGGGAGAGCAAGGAAATTGCTGCCGGACTAATATTTCATGGAAGGAACTAACAAACTCATGTACAAATGCATGAATAAATGCTGCCTCCTAAAATAGGTGGAAGCCACAGAGTGTTTGGTGTTGATACAGAGGTGGAGATGCTTGAGTTGCTGAGCCAGGGCAGCTTTGAGCCAAGCAGAGGTGGCGTGCTAGGAGAAGATATTCCCATTTCAAAGGGATTTTTCAAGGAGACCCACTACAGGGCCCAAAGCAAAGAATTCTTAGTATCTTCAAAATGCAATGTGACTTACGCAGAGTTTTCAAAATCAATCAACAAACAAATGGTCTTATTTGCACAGCCCTGTACCATTGAATAGTCCTTCCACAGGTTTCCTCCCATGTCCTTCCCACAGCCCAGGGAGGACAGCAAGGCTATTGTGATCATCGGGGAAACTAAGGCCCAGAGAGGTGAGGGGACTTAAGGCCACACAGATGGTAAATGGTGGTGCCAGAACCAGGACTTCAAAATCTGACCCCTGGGGTTAAGCTTCCTCCCACCATTTCTTCATTTGCTCACTCAGTACTCACCGAGGCCTACACATGTCAATCTGTATTTGGGGTTGGTGCTTTGGAGATAGATGGGGCAGAGGGAGCTGCACATTTGAAACAAAAACATTTTCCTTTGCTTATGATTCACAAAGCTGCTGGGAAACATCTAGAGAGAAATCGAGGAACAACCCCACACCCTGAGCTTGCATAGAGGGCCTCCCAAGGAGCTTGTATTCTTCCTCCTGGGGGACCACGCTCCAGGGCGTCTCCTCACTGGCATTCTTAGAAAGGGGGCTGGCACTTGCTGGGCCAGAAACCCTCTCCACGCACAGCTGCTTACCTACTAGCTGGCCAAGGACAAGCTGACACAGGAGGGGAACAAGCCACAGTGCCCTTGCCATGACAGTCAGCCGTGTTCATCTGCTGCGTGTCAGAGAGGCACACGTGCACACTTTCCCTGATCGTACTGATCCCTGGGATGGATGGACAGTGTCCTTATCACCCCTCACCTCCCCTCCCCTCCCAGAAACTGCTGGCTAGGATTCGTGCTGGAGAAACCTTGCTGTGTAAATGGAGACACTGTCTGGGGGTAGGGAGAAGGTGACACTCAGAGTATGGGCAGCAGCCCCAGCCTAGAGCAATCAGTCTGATTATTTGTCTCTCCTGGAACCAGTCATGAGACAGGAGACAGGATCTCTTCTGCCTTGAGAGAGCATTTAAGAAAGCAGGCATGAAATATTTAGAAAGAAAAATATGTCAGTCTAAACCAAGACACTAAAATGCATGGCAGCAGGCCAAACCCCCAGGCTGATTTCAGACAGAGGTGCCTGAGGAGGACCCGCTTGTATAGGGCCCTTGCATTGTCATTAGCTCATGCTTGTCTTCCCTCTCTCTTCTACCCCAGCAAGTTGCTGCCTTTCCTGGGCCTTCACCTCACTTCATTTGCTCTGCAATTCCCTCCACTCTCTGCACCAGCTCAGACACTGCCTCTTCCAAGCAAGTGCCCACAAAACCCTTCAACTGAGAGTGATTGTTTATGTCTCTCTCAAAACTCCAGCCAAGGTTGTTCCTATTTGAAATTTGTCCTTGTACTCAGGACCTTTCTTATATATTTGGATTTTTCCCTTGTAGCGTCAGGGACCAGCTGGCAACTAGGAAATGTTGAAGAGCCGATGTCCTGGGCGTTGTGAATGACAAGGCTGCTCTTATCAGCCAACCCAGGGTAGAACTAGCACCAAGCAGGGGCTCGGCAGCATCTGCAGGAAGGCAGGCCAAGCCAAACTCAGGTGGACTTAGAAGGTGGGCTTGGTATGGTGGTTAGTGTGGGCATGGTGATTAAGCACTTGGTGCTGGGCCCACCACCAGATTCCAGCCCTCCCACGCTATGCTGGATGATCCACAGGTACACTGAAGGGGTGCTTTAGACACCAGAAGAATAGGAGGACACATAAAAAGGAGAAGAATTCAGCTACAGGGAAATGTATTTGGAACTTTACAATTATGGAACTTAGACGCTACACTTGATCTTAGCCAAAAGACCGAGAAGCAATGCGGTGGCTCACACCTGTAATCCCAGCACTTTTGGAGGCCGAGGTGGGCAGATCATGAGGTCAAGAGATCGAGACCATCGTGGCCAGTATGGTGTAACCTCGTCTCTACTAAAAATACGAAAATTAACTGGGTGTGGTGGTGCATGCCTGTAGTCTCAGCTACTTGGGAGGCTGAGGCAGGAGAATTGCTTGAACCGGGGAGGCAGAGGTTGCAGTGAGCCGAGATTGTACCACTGCACTCCATCCTGGTGACAGAGCAACACTTTGTCTCAAAAAAAAAAAAAAAAAAAAAAAGGAAAGAGAAGAATTCAGCTACAGGGAAATGTATTTGGAACTTGACTATTACAGAACTAGAAGCTATTTTACTTCTAGCACCTACCTGGGTTTTGTGTTCATGTCTTGAATTATTTGTTTCTATTTTGAACTGTGAGGGTTGTGGGGCTCCACAGCATTTTTAATACACGAGGTCCCTAATGTTCTTATTCCAGCCTTAGCTGTACCTCTTATTAAATTTGTAGCATTGGGTATAGTTGGGAACCTCTCTGAGCCTCAACTTCTTCATTTGTAAACCATAATGGTAGTAGTTACCACATAGGGATGTTTGATTAAATTAGGGAAGCCCAGTTTCAGTTCTCAGCTTGAGGCCTGGAGCAAAGTGAGTGCTTGGTTAACACAGTTGTCACTGTAGCTGTCCTGGCCCAGGAGGAAGCAGGAGTGGTCATGTTACATCACTGGGAAGAAGGAGGGAAACAAACTTGTCTTCCAGACCCTAAAATCTAAATCAGGGAGAATACTGGAAACTCCTAGGTGATGATTTTTTTATTTATTCCAGTGCATCTTTACTGAGCACCTAAAATGAGCCAATCACTGTGCACAGGGAGTGCAGAGCAGGGATGCCTAAGTTAGCCTGAGGATGGCCATGGTCAAGAAGCCTCCCAGATGAGGTGGCCCGGCTGTATTTTAAAGGACTAGTGGCAAGTTTTATGAATCTGTGTGCCCCCCAGAGCACTCCACGTGCTTTCCTGCATTGCTTGTGCCCTAAGCAGTTAGCACCATCAACAAGCTCTCTCCCTCTGGCTTCCAGTTGCTTAAGCCAGTGGAACCAAGCAAGAGCTCAGAGGAAGAAAAGGGAGTGATGCCAGGTTGTTCATTGCCCTGGGACCTTCCTGCCTAGCCATTACAGGCTGGATGCGCCCTTAACCAAGAGCTGGAAGTCCTGTTAAATGGCCCCATCATCACAGCCTCTGGCTTCGGGTCTCTGAAACCACTTTCTCATCCCCCACTCCAGGCCAAGGGGTGGTATCTATGTCCCTGGTTCCTGCCCGATCCCCTGTGGTTTCTCTACACTCAAACCTCACCATCATGAATAGGCCACTTAGGCATCCTTCCTGCTTCCTCCTAGGACTCTGACTAGCACAGGTAGGGAATTACACAAAGACAGAGGTAAAGAAGAGCCCACCACCTGTGCAAAGACTGGTCAGGACTTGAACCCTGAAAGGCCCTCTGCATGGGAGGCTGGTGGACGTTCAGGCTGGAGAAGTAGGCAAGGACTCTGTGACTTTTTGTGTGAAACCCTTTCCTTCCAGAGCACCCACAGCATACTATTCATTTTATGTGAACATTTTAGAAACATTTATATAGCATTATCATTCACGGATTTTCTTACGGTGTTCTGGGTAACCTTTAAAATGAAAGCATCTGGCAAGCAGTTAGAAAGGCAAGCAAAGCCTTCCTGCACTCTCCTGGTTAGCTTGCCTCCCTCACAGTGCATAATTTAGGCATTTTAACTGACTGTTTTCTGGGACAGTGTGAGCTCTTTTAGGATGAGACTTGCCAGCTTTTTCTGGGTCACAGTGCCCACCTCAAGTAGAGGTTCAGTAGCTTGTTTTTAAATAAATAAATGAGTCTCTGGCTAGATTGTTGCTGTTCTGTTACCCAGCAACATCTAAGACCGATTGTTTAAATGAGGAAGAATAATTAGTAAATTCATCAATTGGATTCTAGACACTTCAATTGTTATACCTTACAATTTAGTTGTCTTGTGTAAAATTCATCAGCAGTCATTATAAGTCAACAATAAGAAAATAAGAGATAGTTTTATGTCATAGGTTTTTATGAACTTCATACTTGCATTTCATTGCAGGCAACAGAGGGAGGCCAGCCAGAGAGCTTTCCTGCCCCTAACATCACAAATTAAACCTGGGATCAGCATAAACTTACTGTGATGATTTATCACAGAAGGTCTTGCATGGATGGATCCCTGCTTGGGCAATGCATTTGCTATCCTCTGGACACAAACAAAATCTGATCAGTTGAGATGTCTGATAATAATTTGTTAAAAAAAAATGAAGATATGCCAACATGGTCCTTTCAACTTCTGCTTGGCCGCATGAGTTGGAGCTAAATATTAGCCGAGCCACTTTGGACCAAACATGCTGCTCCTGTGGCCACAGCACACCCCTCCTCCACCCCCAGCTTGTTGCCCTTCACTCAGACCTGCCTCACTCATTTCTTACCTAGCCTTGTATTACTCACCAGGAATTAAAACCTCTAATTGCAGACTGTGGAGAATCATATCTATAGATGGACACACATGGCCCCACTATGGGTAGCACCACCCAAAGCAGCCAGTAGGCTCCCTGTAAGTTGTTTCTGGGGATCATTTTATGTTATAGATGTGTACTGTATATCAAAATAGAAAAGTACACATTTACAATGGAGACTAATTAGGATTCTTTCCATTGGGTTGTGGGTTGGGAGGTCATGTCTTTAGTCAGAATTGCCCCTTCAGGGCAAGTTAACTTTCACAGAAAAACACTCCATTAGTCATGAGTGACAGGTGAGAGGACGTGTGAACAGGTTGTCTGACAGGGACTGGGTGGTCCAGAGCAGGGCCTCTCAACCCTGGCCCTGGGTTAGGATGCACAGCCTGGGCCTTCCCTAGAGTCTGCTTCAATTACTCACCATTGAGGCCTGCTATCAGCATATGTCAAAGCACCCCCCATGCCCACGCCTTGATTCTCATGTCAGTCAAGGTGCAGAATCGCTGGTCCCAAGGAAGTCAGTCTTGTTAAGGTCAATAGTCATGGGATTGAAGTACAGTCCAGGATGGAAAGCTTGGGGTCTCTGCCTGTACCACCAGACCAGAGACCTAAGGTGGCTTTGTGTTGTTCACCCTGGATTTTTCACGCAACACAGCGTCTGGCATATGGTAGGTGCTCAGTATATATGTAGGAGAGGGAGGGAGGGAGAGAAGAAGGGAGGGAATTGTCATGGAAAGCTTATGACCTGGTTAATAATGATCTGGCAGTTCTAGAATATGGTTGTTGTATCAGGTTTCAAGAAGAAGGAGATGACCCCAGCACAACTCCACTGGTCTGAGAGAACTTTATTTACTCGGCATGCCCTCACCCTAGGCAGTCTGGATTAGAGCTTAAGTGGGAAATACACACAGCTGAAAAAAGAGAACCATTGGGCCTGCAGAAGAACAAATATACATTTCAAGGATGAGTTGCCTTCTGGGAGCTGAATAGCTTTTTCTGATGTGAAGCTCCCAGCAGTTGGGGGCATGCTGGATGCATAAGTACACTTTATTTCTTCCATCATAATCTAAGCACACACATGCCCCACCCTAGCACCGGCCCCACCCACCCCTAACCTGGACAAGCCAAACACATGACACATACCTCCAACAACTTGGCTGCGAGGGCATGGTGGCTCCAGACATCAAACACCCTTCTGAAGGTCTGTGATTTCTGCAGAGTTTGAGCCTCATAAAAATTTAAACACCTGCTAAGTGAAAACAACACCTTTTGCTGTCTTTCTGGCAAACACCTTCTGCAGAAATTTTCTCACTTCCAGAGGCAATGTGTTTCACAGGCAATTCCCCTGGTACTGAAGCTGCTAACAGATAAAGGGAGCCAGGTGAGGCATGCCTTCCAGGAGTCCCAGCAGGTACCTCTGGAGACAGGGATCTGAGAGGCCTTTGGAAGTGAGGGGTTCAGGGCTGCATTTAGGCTGGCCTTTGAAGATAAGGGGTAGAGGCTGGAGCTGGAAGGCATGGACCTGCAAGTTCATTGGAAAAAAATCTGCAGAAGATGGGAAAACCTATTCACTGGAACACAGGCATTTGGGGGTGGGCAGGGGTGGGAAACAAGGAGCTGTCATAACCAAGGACTGACCATGTTGTTACAGTAGCCCTCAGAGACTAATGCACACCCAACCCTGACCTTCCTCAGGGCTGGCTGGTGGCTGCCCCTGGAACCTTCCTGTAAATCAGCCCCTGAGGCCCTGCCCTCCAGTTGGCCACCTGTGCCTGGGCATGTTGGGTCTCAGTCCACACTCAGACCAGAGCCTCAATATCCATTGTCCCATGGAATCCTTCCTCACAGAAAGACAGAGACGGAAATTAGATCCTTACTTTCAGCTGAGAGACTGCAAGTCAGGGAGATTATAGGACTAGCCAAGGACCACACAAGCATTAATTTCTTGGCATCTCTACCAAACCAGTTATGGTCCAATAGCAGGCAGCACATGTTCAGAAAATATGTGGTCTGGAAGCTTCACATTAAACTGTGGCACTTCTGATAAGTGGGCATGCTGTCTGAAACTAGCCCTAACCCCAGGGACATACCTACATTTCCCTTCCCAGGCAGAGTTGTTGTAATACATTGATGTTTCATGATGGGCTGTGGGAGGCCAGAGAGACCAAGCCAGTAACGACTGCGTGGCAACTGGGTTTGTAACTGGGGATCTGGGTGGAGCAGGGATAACTTCAAGGACCTAAGATGAAAGTGGAGGACCTTGGGTGGGGATATCCCAAACCTGAAAGATCCTAGAGCTGGGAGGGAGGAGCAGGAGCTTTGTCTACTGTTGCCCTGCCTGGAATCCCACACTTGAACACTCATGTCTTTCTCCCCAGCCACCGTGCTCCTCGTAGTATCCGGGATGAAATTCTCACTCCTCAGTCTGCTTCCTCAGAGCATCTTGAGATGGCCTCC